>NC_000002.12:200519921-200822951 GCF_000001405.40 Homo sapiens | reverse complement strand
ATTTGTTTTGCCTGGAAAGATAGAAACTAAATGCAGAAGTTTCTCAAGGGGAAAAAGCTCAACTTTCTTCTTCCCACCACCTCTGCCACATTATGATTTCCTAAACTTTTCAAGTCTGTTCTCCATGGCTTCTCTAAGGATGAAAACCAGAGACCAAACAATTGAGCTTTAGGATATCTGGAGTTAAAAATGCAAAACAAAACAAAACAAAACAAAACAAAAAGTTAACATGCAAGCAATGGTCCACGTACTCAAGATTCATGTTAAATGAATTCGATTATTACATATGGGTTTTTCATTGATGAGCAGGGCTCCGGGCATGCCATATTATCTCACAAATCATTGCCTTTTGAGACTCTGGATACTTTTCCAGTTTAATTTGCAAACAGAATTTTTATAACAAATTATTTTTTAACCAAATCATATCCTTAAAACTGTTTATAGAAAACCCAGGGAATAAAGTGAACTGTTCATTGTGGAAGGCCTTAAATTACATTATTACAGTAGAAAATACAGGAGGTAGAAGATAACTGAAAAGACTAATGCAACATTAGATTCAAATCTATAGCTCCTGTAGCTACTTAAAACATGGTTTTAGAAACTAAACCCAACATTTCCAGCAACCATAGAAACAGTTAAAATAAAATTTGCCATGAAAGCCCTTATATCATGCTTGATACAGGGAGGTAGGAAGATGTAAGAACCAGGACACATGAGACATGACATTTTATCTACAACTCCTGTTTGCTTTACTGAGGGTGTAGTTTCAAAATTCAGTCACCTTCTTCAGCTTCAGATTCAGATTCTAGAAAAGGGGAAAAAAACAGTCAAACATTATGTATCAGAAGGCAAAAGTTCCCATTTATAACTTTGAAGCTTCTTTAAGACAGAGTCTCCCTCTGTCCCACAGGCCGGAATGCAGCAGCACCCTCTTGGCTCACTGCAACCTCTGCCTCCCGGGTTCAAGTGATCCTCCCACTTCAGTTTCCCAAGTAGCTGGAACTACAGGCGCCCACCACCAAAACTGGCTAATTTTTTATTTTTAGTAGAGACTGGGTTTCCCATGTTGTCCAGGCTGGCCTCATACTCCTGGCCTCAAATGACCTGATCGCCTCAGCCTCCCAAAGTGCTAGGATTACAGGCGTGAGCCACCACACCCAGCCTCCATGTAACTTTGAAGCTGTTAACGAATTTTATTAATAACCTATTTACATGAGGCAGATATTCAAAAGCATTCACTTGGAAATCCCAACATTTGGCTGGGTGCAATCACATCTGCAATCCCTGTACTTTGTGAGGCTGAGGCAGGAAGGTTGTTTGAGCCCAGGAGTTCAAGACCAGCATCGGCAACATAGTGAGACTCTGTCTCTATATTTTTAATTAAAAAAAAAAAGAAAAGAAATCCACAAATTTATAAACATTAAATATTCTCAAAATTTTCCATTTCATGAAGAACATTTACTATTATGGCTGAGCCATAAATATACTATAATAATTAAACTCTAGCTTTCGCCACCTGCCTTATAACAAAAATCTCTACTCCAGGTACAAAATGGCATCAGAAAGAAGGAAGCATGTGTGAAGATATATTATGGCCACATTAAAATTAGCTTTACCAAACAAACCACACAAAGGAAAATCCTTACCTTCTTCAGCATTTTTGAGCCATTCTACAAACTTTTTCATTTGCTCAAGGAAAACACTCTTCCCCTTTGCAACATGTGCATCTTTATACCACTTCAAAATGGGCTCCTCGCTCAGGACTTCAGCTGGAAAGAAAACTCATTGCATTAAGGGAGTTTTAATATACTCTACTCAGCGTTAGAACCACCACCTAATGTGCAAATGCCTGCTTAGCAAACAAACTGCTGAAAAGCTAAAAACATCCATGAGAAATGGAAGATAATAATACATGTGCGCATACCAACTACACTCAACGGGATCAAGACTGGTCTGATTAGTGCAGAATTTCAAAGTGTTATGACCAACTGCAATGGATTTTCTCCCAACAGAGGTCTTGTCTTTACTAGCCACTTTAGACCAGGTTTCTAAAATTGGGATCAGGAGAAAAGGGAACAATATAACTGAAATTGGGGTTGCTATAGAAGCACTCTGAACTGGTCTTGAAGGACTACGGAAAGTCAACACTGGGTGGGGGAGTAAGATGAACAGAAGCAGGATTCACACAGGCTGAAGACTCCAGAGCTATGACTACATAGCTAAGACTACAGACTGTCTGGAAAAGGGACTTGGGGATTTTTTTTTTTTGAAACAGGGTCTCACTTGTTGCCTAGGCTGCTGGAGTGCAGTGGCACAATCATGGTTCACTGCAGCCTTGACCTCCTAGGCTCAAGTGATCCTCCTACCTCAGCCTTCTGAGTTGCTGGGACTACAGGCTTGCGCCACCATTCCCTGCCTAATTTTTTATTTTTTTTGTAGAGATGAGGTCTCCTTATGCAGTCCAGGCCGGTCTTGAACTCTTGGGCTCAAGCGATCCTCCAGCCTCAGGCTCCCAAAGTGTTGGGGTCACAAGTATGAGCCACCACACCTAGCTGAACTTTGGGAATGTATACCTGGTTAAGAGTATAGGAGGCAAGTTTGAGGACGCATAATGATGGCTTTAGATTTCATACTTCAACTTGTGAATAGGGTTTAGATGTTTTAAACAAGTATCAGTGCACTAAAAAGCACCCAATTTAATCAGAGGTGACTCATAACTAGAAGTAAAATATTTCAGGGAGCTGATGTCCAGATAACTCATCATTTGGATAATTTTGTGTTTATAAGGGTTTTTATTAAGTGTTATTTACAAAATTCAAAATCTAAATTACCTTTATAAAAAAGCACCACTATTTTCTGGAAGGCTTTCATGAAATGAATGTTGTCATAGCAATACTCCTGAATCTTCAGTAACAGAGTCAGCTCAGACTGACCTTGAGTAGTAAAGGCAGCAAGTAGAGGGCTGTATTGCTTTTAAAGGAACAGAGAAAAGATTTAGTCATTCATTACAAATAACCATCCATTACAAAACTCCTACAATACAGACAATATAGAACTTAACTCATCTTTTATAATCACTGCAAACTATAACTTATTTACCAGAAATTTAAAAAATAGGCTGGGCACAGTGGCTCACGTCTGTAATCCCAGCACTTTGGGAGGCCGAGGCGGGTGGATCACTTGAGGTCAGGAGTTCGAGACCAGCCTGGCCAATATGGTAAAAGCTCGTCTCTACTAAAAATACAAAAATTAGCCAGGCACTACTTGGGAGGCCGAGGAGGCAGAACTGCTTGAACCCAGGAGATGGAGGCTGCAGTGAGCTGAGATCACATCACTGCACTCCAGCCTGGGTGACAGAGTGAGACTGTCTCAAGAGAAAAAAAAAAAAGCAGAAAATCTAAGTAGCTAAGTAAAATAAACAATACTATACCAAGTAGTCCAAGTAAATGTCAAACAATATTAGTATTTTAGAGGGGGGGAAAAATTCCTATTTTCCAATACCCCCTTCAAAAGCAAACATCTAATTACAAGCTGAAGTTCCTTTTCATCATGTTCTTTTTTTTGAGGCAGGATCTCACCCTGTCACCCAGGCTTTGTCTGACAAAGCCATCATAAGCTCACTGCAGTCTTGATCTCCAGGGCTCAAGAGATCCTCTGCCTCAGCCTCCTGAGTAGTTGGGACTACAGGCATGCGCCACCACGACTGGCTATTTTTTGTGATTTTTAGTAGAGATGAGGTCTCACTATGTTGCCCAGGCACGTCTTAAACTGAGCTCAAGCAATCCTCCTGCCCTTGCCTCCCAAAGTGCTGGGTTTACAGGCGTGAGCCATTGTGCCTGGCCAGGCCATATTCTTGTTTTTAACCTGTGAACCACAGCCCAATTCAGAGCATTATCATCAATAGCTAATGTTACTATTTGTTTATTTACTGGTGGGCCATCCCTAGGAACCACAGGATGTGATAAATCCTCTTAGAAAAATATAGTCACAGTTCACTTATCACCACGTGAAAGCAGAATAGTTTGTTTTGTCAAGGCATAGTTCTAATACCTTCAAGTGCTTGATGGCTTGCTCTGCTACAAGCTCCTCTTTTTTGTTCCATTCCACAGTGCTCATTACACTTGACCAGACTATTCCGATGACAACTGGCTCTGGGATGTTGTTTTTTTTCATCTCCTCCTTGACATATAAAATTATCTGCAAATGAATCCAAATTTAGTAACAGAAGTCAGTTTTGATTATGTACATACTTCACACATCAAGTTTAGACCTTTAACAAAAACTAACAACTCCTTTTCCATGCAACTGGCAACCACATGTGTACCACATATAAAAAGAGACCTTTACAACTGAAAGGTGCCCTGAGCTCCAGTCTCTTGTATTTCTGGGCCTCAGTCAGGCACTGAAGAAGCATATGCAAAAGAATGAGGCAAAGTTCCAGTATAACATCCTGTTACTATTAACTCAATCTCATCCTGGTGAAGTAAGTTCCTCAAATTAGTGAAAATCTCTATGCCAGAAGCTTAGCCATAAAAAGACGGTTTAAACAAAAACTTACATCCTTAAATGGATCACCACGGGACATCTGTTCTTGAAGTTCTTTCTGGAGCTCCTTACGAGCTCCGATGGTTTGCTGATTCCGAACATATTCTGAAAGCTCTTTCAAGCCTGCCTCAGTAAAATATTTTGTGAAGTGTTCAACACTTTGCTTATTGGCAGGAAAGAGTTCCTAAAAGAAGAATTTATCTGGTTAAACTTTCTTTAAATCAGATTAAGAAAAACACTTTCTTTTCACAGTCTTAAAAATGAGAAATTTCTCTCATTTACATCCTTGGCAAGAATGGGAAGAATGAAAAAAAGTTACCAACCATCAGTCTGTTATCCATGCTGACTTTCCGAAGACTTGCAGCTACTGCATTGATATCTTTTTCATTTATCCATGATTTAAAGAGCTTCACAGCAAAAGCTGCTGAAACTCCTGTAAAAGAAAATAGCTTAATTAACAGAAGTACCTTCCCTGGTTTCAATCACTGTGTCCCCCTATATCCTTCCCTTCATAGTTCAATCACATGGGATTACTGACTTTCCTCACAAACTTAACCCTGAACTTTCCTGGGCCACAGTTTATCACTTCTCCAATCTCCCTAGTCTACCACTTGCAAATTGTATATTCTTGGCCAAGTTACTTAAAGTGTTTTCCAAAGTATAAATTGAGGGCAACAGTCTCTACACTTGACAAGACTGTTGTGAGAATTACAGTAAGGTAACTTAAATACTCACTACTGCAAGCAGTTTTTTAAAAAAAAAAAAGCTTCAAAAAAATTACTGTAGAGAATAATCCGACAATTGGAGCCAAACAGGGAACTGATTTTCCCTTCCAGCTTGACATTTTCCCCAAACGTCATCTTCTCCAAGTCTCCCAATTGGTATTAATCTCTTCTGGGGTTCCCACAGCATTTCTCATTTTATTTTTATTACATATAACAACATTTTGTCTAAATCTGGGTATCTGTTGTATGCCTAAAGAAAGCCATTAAACCTGGATGCCAAAGGTATTCATTAAATGTCTAGTGAATTAGACTGAACTTATTAAATTTAAGGCTGGTTAATAAACGAAGACTTTCACAGAAGTCACATCTATGAACAGTAAACCATGCTCTTATCCACCCCACTCTGAGTCAACTGAAGACCATCCTTTAAGGCTGATTACCTTCTTTAACCAAATTTTCATTATAAAGGCTATTAAGAATGGATGCATTAAGTGTTCCATTAGCCAGAAGAACACCAGTCAACATAGCTAGCTTGTTCCTCTCCGACTCTGAAAAACCCTTCAAGAACAGCAGCAGCTGTAAAAAGTAAAACAATTAAGGGTTAAAACAGCAACTGCATTACAATAAGAGAAGCAGTAAAGCATGTTATACTGGCTACCTGTTCAATACGTGGGCTCTGGGATCTAACCATCCAAGTTTACATCTAAGTTACAATACTCATTAGCTGAATGATCTCGGGCAAGTTACTTAACCTCTGCACCTCACATGTAAAATGTGGATAATAAAACTTGCCTCACAGGGTTTTTATAAACATTGAGTGAATTAGTATCATTAGAACAGTGCCTGGTGCTTGATAAACATATCAAGTTTTCTGGGCATCTATATGCAATATTGGGCCAGGCGTGTTGGCTCACACCTATAACCCCAGCACTTTGGGAGGCCGAGGGCAGATCACTTGAGGCCAGGAGTTCAAGGCCAGCCTAGCCAACATGGTGAAACCCTGTCTCTACTAAAAACAGAAAATTAGCTGGGCATGGTGGCACATGCCTGTAATCCCAGCTACTCGGGAGGCTGAGGCACGAGAATCGCTTGAACCCGGGAGGCAAAGGCTGCAGTGAGCTGAGACTGAGCCACTGCACCCCCAGCCTGGGACACAGAGTGAGGCTCTGTCTCAAAAAACAACCCAAACAAACAAGCAAAATTACTCCAAATCTGTGGCGGAATTAGGATTTAACATTCCTCTTTCTAACCCTATTTTTTTCTTTTCCACAAAGTACATTATTACTCATACCTTTTTTACTTCATCTTCAAAACCTTTCTCCAGGTATTTGTAGCGCCTGATTAACTTGTTAAAAACCTATGAAGAACATTAAATGAATTCAGTAACTTCATATATTTCTAGAATAGCAAAGTAGTAAACCTTTCACTCGATGTAAGTTTATGAGCTGCTTAAACCAGCTTGAGAAGAATTCCTAGTGACACATAAGAATGTCCAGGTTAGATGTACTTTAATTCTTTGCTTACAGTAACACAAACATAACTACGTATGAAACTTTCCAATGAGATCTTGATTAACAAGCTAATCAGCTCACAACTCATTTAACTTTAAAAATAAATGTATGCAGATAAACTAGAGAAATCACAATACGAAACTGACTTTTCCAGCTTGACATTTTTCTTAAAAATTGAGTAATTTCAGGACAAATAGGAACAGAAGAGTTAATTTCATTTTTCCCTATTTTGTTCGCCTTAACACACCTTAAGTTTCTAATTCATCCCGTTGCACCAAGAACAGTATCCCTAAAATTTAAAATCAAATTCCTTCAACTTTCTAACCACAACTCTTAAAAGTAGAATATTCCTCAAATATACCACATGGATAGTAGCCAACTGAAAACAATTATGTAAAGTTTCATTTACCTGAGCAAATGCTTGCATGGTCTCTAGATCTTCTTGGGCTGCAAACACGCAGACATCTGTACGCATCATGTCATCTGCCAGTGTACCACCTGGGGCTAAAGTTGGATAAAACCAAAATACAACAAAACCAAAAAAATCACTCCATTTTAACAAGTTTGCCAAATAGTTCATATTCTAGACTCTCCATAATCTCCATATATTATACCTTTCTAAATTATTAAGCCCACAAACCACAGACACTTACCCAGCATTCCACCAGCCACCAGAATGTCAAAGAGTGTTTCTGCATATCGACGGTAATCAAGTTTTGCTCCAGAAGCATCAAGAAACTTAGCTACTGCTTCCAAATCAGTACCGGTTTCAGTTAAGCCTTGAATAATACAGTCTTGAAACTGAGTAGGGTCAAACCTCTCTTTTTCATCTGGGGGGACAAGGGACCCAAAACATTTAGTTTTAAAAGATTTACCAAAATGCCACAAAACTATCACCTTATGAAGATGCAATTGTTAAATAAGTTAGATTAAATTCACATCCTTTGCATGTTTCCCCTCTGCAAGTGTAAGACAAGATGGCCCACTCACAAGAATTGTGCAACTTTTCAAATAATTTCACAAGTGATCTAAATGTGCTAGTGTCTTGTGTTCCTACTGCCATAAGCCAATTTCTACTGGGAACGCCCTCCTACTGCCTCTTGGCTTTTCCAAAATTTAGGCCATCCTCTAACAGGTACATTTTATTCCTTTGGGTTTTGTCCAGACACTGGAGCTCTTGATCCTTTTCCTTAAATGTCCATAATATTAAACAAACAAAAAAATTGAACCAATCCTTTGGCATTTATGAAGGTGAGCTTTAGAAAGTACATTTAATGAGCACCCAATGACAGAAACTATATTAAGCATTTGCTTTAATCCTGTTAACAACCTTGTGAGGCAGATTTTTCCCCCTATTATTCAGAAGGAAAACTGAGAGTCAGAGAAATTAGGTAATCAAGAGACTATATTGTGTAGTAGTTCAGTACATGGGCTCTGGAGTTAAACTGCCTGATTCAAATCCTGACCACCATTTAACCACCTGAATTCAAGCAAATAGTCTCACTCGCCATGCCAGAATTCCCCTACTGTAAAATGGGGATAAGAATAGTACCTATCCCATAAAGTTGTTGTAAATACCAAATGACATTAATAAAATAGAAAGCTCCCAGACCACAGCCTTGTGCACATACCTGACCTTTACTGAGTTGCTTTCACACACTTCATAATAGGGTTTTGCTTTCCCAATCTAGGCTAGATGACATCTGTTCACACAGTACTAGGGTGACAAACACCTCTGAGTGCCCAGCACTTTCCTGGTTTTAGCACTGAAAGTCTTGTGTCTGGAAACTCCCTCAGTCCCAGACAGGGAGTGTTGTATACCCTACCCAGTACCCTAACCATCAACAGCCAGGCCACGAATCATCTCTATCTGGAACCGGGGAAGTTACATCTCTCCCTGATGCTAATAATAAGAATGCTAAAGCTACTTGCTATTATTTGTATCAAGGTAACATCAGTAACCCACATATTCAAGAGATACACTTTCCCATTTTACTGCCAAACTGTTCTAGTTTACAACTCCAGCTCCTTAAGAAAATTTACCAGCTAAATCTAAATGAATCTGCAAAGATTAGAATCAAATCACACTTTGGTCTCCCCACCACTACTACAAGGGGACAGACAGCCTATGATTAGTGATTTTAAAATTCTACAATATATATCTCAAAATGTCTGCTACTTAAGGAAGAAAAAGAAAAACACAACTTATAACCAGTAGCTGACCTAGTTCTTCATTTCCTCAAAACCACCTGTAAAACAAGGTTAATATGCTTTTGACCAAAAACAGTAAAAATATATCTGAGACTACGTCTTATTTAGCTTTATATCACTAGCACAGCACTTTGCTACAGAATTCAATACTCACCTAAGTACACACTAATGCAAAAAAAAAATAGTAATATAATTCTAATACTTTTTCTACTAAGTCTGTATTTCAAAAGACATTACAATGTGAATCCTGTTCCACAATTAACTTCCATGGGTGAAGTCTGAGTTTTCTCTCACAAATCTTCACAAAATCTGGGTGACTACATTAGGAGTTCTCCTTTTATAAATTAACATTTTTGCTCATTTAAGTTTGCTTAAATGAGACTGCCTGCTAGTGAAAACAGAGCCCTTATTTTTATTTTTAAAAATATTTTACCTTCACACCGAAAAGAAGATTCACTAACCGGCTTAGAGATATATTGATACTAAAAATTAAGGCTTGAGCAGTAAAGCAGTAGAAATATTAAAGGTGTATGTGAAATGGCAGTCAACGAGAAATTCAAGTTTCTTTCTGGTATCTTCTTTTGAGGCTTTAGTAATATGCAAGTACCTGTCAGAGAAGGCAAGATACACAAGATGTTCTGGAGGTTTGAAGAGAGACATTAAAACGTAAATATTTACCTCTTTTTCTAGTTTTAAAACGCTGGCCTGATAGCGTTGGCTTTTGCTGCTTTTGATTATTCATAAAAGACACCCTAGGAAAGGAGAAATAAAGCCTTAATATCAGTGCCATAATACTAATTTTTAAAGCAAAACATCAAACCTTAGTCTAGTCACATATGAATCAAATGGAACACCCACTCTCAGGATATAAAGCTGGCAATTATACCCGATACAGGCACAAAGAATTACCTGCACTTGAATCAAATGTACGTCAAAATGTGCATTTCTCTCTACAAGAAACCCTTCAAATTAGTGCTGTGAACTACTTTTAAGCGACATTGTAGTGCTACAGTGATCACCCGTCATAAACCTAATTGTTCAGTTTTCTCCACATTCCTCTTTACATTCACTTACATCTTCCACGACCACTAAGCATCGCAGAACGCAAAGAGAGATTATCACCATAGTCAGCAGGCATCCAAAATGTGTATGCCAATTCTAAAACACTGTCAAAAGGTGAACCCCTTCTTCTGACAAGCCTGGTTACGGGCAGCACCATCCTACCCTAGGTCATGCCTGTGACCGCAACAGCGGCCGCCTTGCACCACTCAGGCCTGCAAAACTAACAGCCAGCCCAGCCTCCTTCGCCCATATCCCACAGTCCTAGCCTCCTCCCCGGTAACGTGTCTCCCAATCCACACCCTTCCCATGCCTCCCGCCCGAGCCACAGATCACCCGCTTCCCGCCCAGGACCCCATCGGCCACAGCGGGGCGCCGTAGGGTCCCGCGGCTCTTTCTCCACTGACCCTGTCGCCTGCGGTGGCGGCCGCCGCAACGAGCGGACCACAGTCACTGAGGCGCTTTGCGCCGGGGCCCCAGGCGCCCCGTACATCCGCCCGCCCTCCAGCGAAAGCAGCGGCGGAGGCGGCGGCCGCAGCGGTGGTGGGTGGCAGCCCCTCCGCCCCGCCCGCCGGAAGCCCCCACGCGTACATCACACAACAGAGGCCGCGGCGGCTTTGTTAGCCAGGCCGGGCACGGCCCAGAGGGAGCCCGCCTCGGCCACTGCCTTCGCAGCCAGCGCCGCGGCGCACACCCGGACCCCACCTCCCCACCCGGGCCGCCGCTACCCCTCGGCCTCCCTGCCGAAGCGGCGGCCTTTCAGGCCCTAGATCCGGCCCGGCCTCAAGAGGCGACCTCCGTTCGGGCCCATCCAAGCCGGGCCGCATCCAGCCCGCCGCCTCCCTCTCCCTCTGCCCGGCGTCCACGACCCGCAGCGTCCGCCCGGGGTGAGCGGGGCGCCGCGTCTCACCGAATTTAAGGCGAAGAGGAAAGAGCCAGAAATCCCCGATGTACCGGCAACTGCGGCGGTGTCTCCTCTGCGACCGGAACTAACGCCAGGAGGAGGGAGAGGTGCCACCCCCGCCCGGACCGCTCTCCTATCGCGAGATTTCTTCCCCTTGCCCCGCCCTGATCGTGGACAGGCGCTTCCGCCTTTTCTATTGCGCGCGGATTAGGGTGAGGGACTGGGATAGGGGAGGGGAGAGACGTTTCCAGTCTTCTTTATTCCCTTACTGGGTTCCACGTCGCCTGGACACTTGTCCTAGACTAGCTTATTTTTCTTCCCCCGCTGCGTCGTCCGCCCTCTTCACACATGGAGGGGTTGGAAGAGCGGAGCCGGCCCCCGCCGGTCTCGAAGTTGGACGCGTCCTCCTGGAGTCCCTCGCCGCCGGCCCCCTCCTCCAGCACCGGAAGTCGAAGCCCGAGGGCGGGGGGCCCTCGGGTCGTGCGGGGGCGGAGGCTGGGGGCGGGCATGGGGGCGTGGTTTGGGGAAGGAATCCGCACCTCGCCTCCGCCCTGGCCGGGATGGGCGGAGTTCGCTCCAGCTGAGTCCCCTGCCTGGCGACTTTTCTCTGAGGGGCTGTCTCATTGTTCACTACCTCCCTTAAGAGCGAAGAGGACACAGGCCGAAGATTGAGAAGGGGAAATTCTGTCCTCCAACCGCGGTCCCTGCGCGCTGCAGCGGTTGTCTCCCGAGTGTGGTGGCTATGGGGACTTGGAGAGCATCAGAATCCCTTGGAGGACTTGTTATAACAGACTGCTGGGCCCCACCCGTAGTTTCTCATTCTGTAGGCCTGGTGTGGAACCCATGAATGTGCATTTCCAACAAGTTATCTGTGATGCTGCTGCTGGTCCGCACCTTGAGAACCCCTCAGTTAGAGGCTATATCATCAGGGAGCTGGGGTACGATCAGATTAGATAGTGCGTGTGAAAAGCACTGTGGACGTGACAAAACTCTGTGCAGATAAAGATGCACAGCGCCTCTAGGATGTAGCCCCATGTTTTTATTCACTGTACAGTAGTTTACTTCTCTCCAGTTGCTTCCTCACTCTCTGGTAGGAGGAGAGTGGCTTCTCTTCCCTAAACCTTTTGATAAAATAGTTTGTTGACTTCTTTTCCCTAATTAACTATCTGACCTCTACCCCACCCCCCCGCAACTTCATGGAAAAATGACTTTCTCAGCGTTCGTTCCTGAAATTATTGCCAAACCCAGTGTTTTATTCTTCACCCTGTTTGCCTCCTCTGAGCATTGAATGTTACCTACCTCTCTCCTTGAATCCTGGCTCCAGCTATCCTGGTTACGTTCTGAATGTGCCTTTGCACGGTATTTTCTGACTCTTCTTTTCTGTACTGATACCTTTTCTTTCTGGATACTTTCTTCTATGGCAGTCTCATACATTCTCAAGGATTTAACATTTACTCCACTTAAAAGAGTTCCAAGATCATCTACTGAATCATTAAGCAAATATTTGTTAAATCCAGGCTCTATGCCCTTCCAAGTTGAGGCAACAGCAGTGGGAAGGAGGCAGGAAACAAACTGCATCTGTTGGAGGAACTGCAAGAAGCTAGTGTGATTGGGAGGGCTGTGGGGAGCAGAGGGAAGTGGCTGGAGTCTGATCTCTAAGTGTCTAGCCCCTTCCTTTCTCCCAAGGCCCCAGTCCACACTATCTGGCATCTTCACTTCATGGCTAATTTAACACTGTCAGTGCTGTCAATTGCTCTTCCCCCAGAACTGTATTTTTCACATCTGAAGTTCTGTTAAAGGACAACGTTTCACAAATAAAAATGATAACTAATATGTCCCTATATGTATCAGGCCCTCTTCTATGCACTTTATGTAGTAACCCCATTTCATCCTGAAAACTACCCTGTAATCTAGACACTATTATTAGTCCCATTTTACAGATGGAAAAGCCGAGGCATCGAGGTCAGGTAACTTGTCTAAGATCATAGCGCTAGTAAGTGGAAGAGGTCCAGTTGAACCCAAGCAGTCTGGCTTCACCATTATAATGCACCGCCTTACCACCAAGATCTTATTTATTCATTCAACAAATATTTATTCAGCTAGAGACCAGTAGAGATAGTGACATGTTACGCCTATGGCCTCACAAAGCTTATCTTCTATTTTTGCCACGTTTTAAAATTGTATCATCTTTCCCCAGTACCATCTTGATTTAGGCATCTATTACCCCTAACTAAATGGGACTTTTGCAATAACTTCCTAACTGTACTATCCCCTTTCTCAACATTTCCAGAGCAATCTTCTCAACTGCAAGCTGAATCATTTCTCTTCACTGTTTAAATGCCTCTGTTTATACTCAGGGATAGCTCTGACCAATGTTTTTCACCTTTACTTCCCATCACATTTGTGGTTCTTAACCTGTTATTACCATCATTGTGGGGTATGTAGCAAATGATTTTTGACTAAAAATGATATTAAAGTAAGCAGATTATTTTCTTTAAAATGTAAAGTGGATTAAAGGTTTTCCTGAACTCCTGGCCTCAAATAATCCTCCCACCTTGGCCTCCTGAAGTGTTGGGATTACAGACCACACCTTGCCACTTATCTTTTCTCTGCTTTTGGGTGCACCCATGGGAATAGGCACCGTGCAGCTAGCAGGGGAAACGTTGTTTGTGAATTGTATTATGGTAGGAAAAGGTTCCAAACAATTGAACTCTATGCTTTGGTCAGACAGGACACATCTTGTCTTGACCTTTCTTGAGATGTCCTTCCCTCATTTTCCACTGTCAAAATCCCACTATTGTTTCAAGCCTTATCTCAACTACTGCTTTTTTCCCATAAGCCTTTCTTAGTCATGGATGTGAACACATTCCTTCTTTGTAATTGGGCTACAGGCATGAGCCACTGAGTCTGCTAATTTTTTTTTTTTTTTTTTGGTGATGATGGGGTTTTGCTTTGTGGCCCAGGCTGGTCTCAAACTCCTGGCCTTAGGTGAGCCTCCCGCCTCAGCCTCCCAAAGTGCTGAGATTATAGGTGTGAATCATCACGCCTAGCCTTGCCCAGTTTTATGGTTGTTTTGGGAAAAAGGATATGCTGATTTCTTCACTCTGCCATTGCTGTGAATCCCCCTTAGTACTTTTGGATTTAAAAATTTTGAACTACTTAAAAAGAAAGGTGCTAAGTGCAACATGTGAATGTGCTACTGCTTTTAACTTCATTGATGGGAATGGATACCTAAGTGTTTCTTTTTTAAAAGCAAGTGACAATAGGTTTTTATTCCTAACAACTAGAAGAATATCAAGGGCCTGTTTTGAAAAGCACATTGTTGCCCTTGGAAAATGAGCTGGGGGAAGTATTTATTCCTATGCTTTGAGTCTTGTAGAAGCTTATAGAACATCCTATGAACCTGGCTTAAATATTGTAGCATATGTATATGAAATACTTCTAGTTACACACACCTATATATGTATGCATATATTTATGTATGTATGTGTGGCCAGAAGTATTTTCATAGGCTCCACAAAATTTTTACAGTGAAAAAGCTTTGAGGTACAATGAGCTTTTAAATAATTTCATTTTAGGTAAAAAATGTGTTAAATATCATTCACTTGCTACATATCTCATATATACCATTTCTTTTACTTCTTCATAGAATTATTTTAATAGTTATAATTATTAATAATATTTGACATAATCAAGATAAAAAGCATTGCTTAGTTACATTAACATTTTAGTAATATTTGTTAAATAAATACCCTCTTTTAGCAAACACACTCTATTATTTAGATTTTAGTTTTTTTTTTTTTTTTAATAGAGACAGGATCTGGTTATGTTGCCCAGAATGACCTCCAACTCATGGGCTTTAGCAATCCTCCCACCTCTGCCTCTCAAAATGTTGGGATTTATAGGCGTGAGCCACCACACCTGGACTCGATTTTTGAATAGGCCGAAATAATTGGGAAGCTTAGGGATTCAAGAAATTTGGCATACATGCATTTTCTGTTTCTCTCTCTCCCCTCTTAACATCAGAATAATGACAGGTTAAGGTGAAAACTCTTTGCTCCTGTAAAGTGCTTGTTCAGAATATAGTTTGAAGTGAGTTGCCAAATAAGTGATATTTGGGGTGATTTAAATATGTGCATTCTAAGTTATATAGCATTCAAGACATTCATTAAAACGAAGCAAAATAAAAACCAACAAGAGAACAGTGTAATGGCATGTGGTATGTTAGCTATAGGATTGTTTAGAAAAAACTGTTTACTGCTTATTATTAATAGTTCATATCTCCTAGAATATTACTGCAGAACTGAAGATTAAGAAATGTTACTAAGAGGCCGGACGTGGTGGCTCACGCCTGTAATCCCAGCACTTTGGGAGGCCGAGGCGGGCGGATCACGAGGTCAGGAGATCGAGACCATCCTGGCTAACACGGTGAAACCCCGTCTCTACTAAAAATACAAATTAACCGGGCGTGGTGGCGGGCGCCTGTAGTCCCAGCTACTCAGGAGGCTGAGGCAGGAGAATGGTGTGAACCCGGGAGGCAGAGCTTGCAGTGAGCCGAGATCCCGCCACTGCACTCCAGTCTGGGCGACAGAGTGAGACTCCGTCTCAAAAAAAAAAAAAAAGAAATGTTACTAAGGACGCCAGATCCAAACATCTCTGTGTTGGAAAATTATCTCCAATGCATAACGGTTTCCTTGGCATATTTAGATGGCCATCTTTCTTTGATGTCTTTTTTAAAACCTACATTTCATTTTTTGGGAGCCTCAGTGCGATGGAATTTTTTTTTTTTTTTTTTTGAGACGGAGTCTCTCTCTGTTGCCCAGGCTGGAGTGCAGTGGTGCGATCTTCACTCACTGCAACCTCCGCCTCCCGGGTGCAAGCGATTCTCCTGCCTCAGCCTCCTGAGTAGCTGGGATTACAGGTGCGTGCCACCACCCCTGGCTAATTTTTGTATTTTTAGTAGAGACGGGGTTTCACCATGTTGGCCAGGCTGGTCTCAAACTCCTGACTTCAAGTGATCCGCCGGCCTCAGCCTCCCAAAGTGCTGGGATTACAGGTGTGAGCTGCCGCGCCCAGCTGATGGAAAGTTTTTATTTAAGATGAAAAAGCAACTAAACTAAATAGAACTTAATCACTGCCTTATTGCTATTATTAGTAGTACTACTGCTATTACTTGGTATGTACTACTATTAGTAGTAATAGAGTGGTCACAGTAGACCTTAAATTTATAGAGGATGTTACTGTTTACAAAATATTTTCACATGCATTTTATAATTCTTCACAGAAACTTTGTGAGAAAGTAAGGCTGCCTTGCTTTCAAAGCAAGCTAACTATAGATAGAATTGATGATTATTAGTCTTCCAGAACAAGGCCATGGACTACCATTAAGTAAACTTAATGTCAATTTATCTGATAAGAAAAAGTGGAACCTTTTTTCTAATGATACATTTCAGGTCCTACTCTTAAAAAGCAGTCTTGGAAGATTTCCCAGATCTTTCTGGGATAAAATTAGTTTTCTTTAAAAAAGCAGTTTCATTTTCCAGAACTTAACCAGTATAGAAGGCTTTAGCATCAGAGAACTTTATACAATAAGGCTTGCCCAGCACAGAGATCCTTAGCACTAGGTGACTAGTTATAGTAAGTGCTGAAATGAAATTCTCTGTTAGTTCTCTATACCTGTGCTTTGAATTCAACTCACATTTTTCAATACCTAAATGCCACGAAGAACTTTCAGAACCTAAGCGTGTTAGGCCGTTCTTGTGTTTCTATAAAGAAATACCTGAGGCTGGTGCGGTGGCTCAGGCCTGTAATCCCAGCACTTCGGGAGGCAAAGGCAGGCGGATCATGAGGTCAGGAGATGGAGACCATCCTGGCTAACACGGTGAAACCCTGTCTCTATTGAAAATACAAAAAATTAGCCAGGCGTGGTGACACGCACCTATATTTCCAGCTACTGGGGAGGCTGAGGCAGAAGAATCGCTTGAATCCAGGAGGTAGAGGTTGCAGTGAGCTGAGATCACGCCACTGCACTCCAGCCTGGGCAACAGAGTGAGACTCTGTTTCAGAAAAAAAAAAGAAGAAGAAGAAGAAATACCTGAGGCTGCGTAATTTATAAAGAAAAGAGGTTTAATTGGCTTATGGTTCTGCAGGCTGTGCCAGTGTGGCACGAGCATTTGCTTTCAGGTGAGGGCTTTGGGAAATTTACAATCATGGCAGAAAGTGAAGTGGGAGCAGGGACATCACATAGTGAGAGTGGGAGCAAGTGTGAGTGAGGTGGGAGGTGCCACACACTTTTAAACAACCAGATCTCACGGGAATTCAGAGTGAGAACTTACTTATTACCAAAGTGTTGGTGCTAAAGCACTCATGAGGGATCCGCCTCCACGATCCAATCACCTCCCACCAACATTGGGAAATACATTCAACATGAGATTTGGGAGGCGAGAAACATCCAAACCGTATCACCAGGTAAAAAGGGCTATAAAATACCATTAAGAACATTGGGGTTTCATGACTTCAGAAATTTTAAGAATTTCTTGCCTAGGAAGAACAATGTACAAGCAACAGATTTAATTGCCTTTGAGAAACGCTTTTGGTGAGAACTCTTTAGGAAGGACTCTGCTTTTCCTTATGTGCCTGGTGTGCTGTAATGGAGGCCCAAAGATAGTCATGGTGCTTGTGACATGCACTGTCCAGTGAGGGACATGGTACAATACCACCACGAATGTATCATACAAGGTGCTATTAGAATATGGAAAAGGGAGTGACCAACTCCACAGGGCTGAGAAGGAAGGGGTTCCCAAAAGATTTGGAATAGGAAGCATTTGAGGTAGGTCTTGGCAGAAGAGAAGAGGTTGGTCAGATGGGGAAGAGGGAGGTAGGAGCAGCATGTGGAGCAGCCTGAAATGTAGCTGTCACATTCTAGAGCAGGGAGCAGCTTGCTGTGTGTGGTGTAGGGTGTATGTGTATCTGTGTATGTGTATGTTGGGACAGGGATGGCAAAGATGAAGAGGGGGTTAGCTTGAGAAGGGCTAAGAGCCCATCCTAAGGAGTTTGGTCTTCACCTATGTTCTGCTTTCTATGTGGTAATTCACTTTAAAATGCTTAAGAAATTTAGTGTAAACTATATGATATATTTAAACATAAGGTAACTTTTTTCTACACCCTAGGTAGCATCAACTTGCACTCTAGGTGTAGTTAATTAGCATTTGATGAATCCAAATCATGAATCCACACTTCAAAATTGGTTACCTACACATTTCAACTAATTTTCCAAGAGTCCATTTTAAGGTTTTGTTCCTTGGTATAGTGGATGTTAGAAATAAGATACGTGGTTGGTTAGAGACTTTACACTTGCTCTATGAACCTCATCCGAGGAAGGTGGAGGAATCCAGCAAGCGATGCTGGCAGCAGCCTTCAGGTGTGGATTGCTATTGGTTCTCAGTACTCTCCTCCCAGAGGGCTAGATGATTCTGCCGTCAGTCTGTTGTGTCCATTCAGAGTGAATCTGTCATGTGAGATGTTTGACTTATCTCTAACTTTTAGTGGGGGCTGTGGATATTTATGAAGAGGACCTGCCAATTGCTGTGTTCATCAATTGCCTAATTGCCTGAGATCACTGTGTGACAATCTGGTCAGTAGTGGAGACCACTAGAGATTATCTATATGATACCAGCAGACTGTCAATATTATAGAAAAATTACTCTGGGGAAGGGAAGCATTGGTGAGCTGGAGGATAAGACCCTGTTGGATTCCATTTCAACCAAGTCAATATAACCCTCCAACAACCTGCTTTTTGTATACTTGCTTTTCTTTCTCTTCCCTCTATGGATTCTTGAGCTACCCAGATTAGGCCAGGTACAGTGGCTCACACCTGTAATCCCAGAGGTTGGGAGGCCAAGGCAGGAGGATCACCTGAGGTCAAGAGTTCAAGACCAGCATGGGCAACATGGTGAAACTCCATCTCTACTAAAAATAAAAAAAATCAGCTGGGCATGGTGGTGTGCACCTGTAATCCTAGTTACACAGGAGGCTGAGGCAGAAGGGTTGCTTGAGCCCAGGAGTTTGAGGCTGCAGTGAGCTATGGTGGTGCCAGTGCACTCCAGCCTGGGTGACAAAGTAAGACCCTGTTCCAAAAAACCCCCCAAAACAAAACAGTACCCAGATTCTGGCATTGCCTCTTTGGGTGGTATATCAGGATAGGGTAGGGGTGGGAAGCAGGATGTGGGAATTTTGAAAAAGCTCCTTAAGTGGTTCTGATAGATCTACTCTTGCTTCTTCTAGGGATAGATAATTTAGGAGTGGGAAGAAGAGCATTAGGGCCAAGGAGAAGAGGATTGGATTGTGTGTGTGTGTGTGTGTGTGTGTGTGTGTGTATTTCCTCAATTTTTGTGGATTATGAGCAACTTGTGGAGATTGAAAAATGAGCTCCCAAACTTTGATTTATTTACTTTTTGGATAAAAATATAAATAAACTATTGGTAACAATGGTGTTTGAAAGGCCTTGGGAGGAATATATTTTCATTATACTTATCTGGATAAGCTTGGAGGACATTTACATTCCAACAAATTCTTGAGCACAAGGAACAAAGAAACCAAAGAAATGGAAAAAGGTCTTAACTAAATCGGTACAGGCTCTGTTCTTGTTATATTTACTAAAAGGAAAAAAAAGGAAAAGAAAGAAGTTTATCATTTTTTTTTCAAATTTTTTTATTGTGGTAAACATACATAACCTAAACTTTACCATTTTAACCATTTTTAAATGTACAGTTCAGTGTTATTAAATATATTTATAATGTACAACTATCACCACCATCTATCTCTGTAGCTCTTTTCATCTTGCAAAACAAATCTTACACCCGTTAAACAATAACTCTGATTCTCCTTCCCCACATGCTTGGCAACCACTATTCCGTTTTCTGTCTCTCTGATTTTACTACTTTAAGGTTTTCATATAAGTGGAATCATACAGTATTTGTCTTTTTGTGACTGGCTTATTTCATTTAGCAAGGTTCCTCAAGGTTCCTCAAGGTTCATCTATGTTGTAGCTTGTGTCAGAATTTCCTTCCTTTGGAAGGCTATTATTTGTATAATATATACCACATTTTCCTTATCCATTCCTTCATTGATGGACACTTGGGTTGCTTCCACGTTTTAGCTATTGTGAAAAATGCTACTGTGAACATGGGTATATAAATATCTTATTGAGACCTTGCTTTCCATTCTTTTGCTATAAACATAAAAGAAGTGGAATTGCCGGCCAGGCATGGTGGCTCATGCCTGTAATCCCAGCACTTTCGGGGGCTGAGGCAGGCAGATCAAGAGGTTAGGAGTTTGAGACCAGCCTGGCCAACATGATGAAATCCTGTTTTTACTAAAAATACAAAAATTAGCCAGGCATGGTGGCATGTGCCTGTAATCCCAGCTACTTGGGAGGCTGAGGTAGGAGAATTGCTTGAACCTGGGAGGTTGAGGTTGCAGTGAGCCAAGATTGTGCCATTGCACTCCAGCCTGGGCCACAGAATAAGACTTCATCCTGGGGCAAAAAAAAAAAAAAAAAAAAAGAAAAGAAAAAGAAAAAAGAAATGGAGTTGCTGAATCATTGGGCAATCTAATTTTTGATTTTTGAGGAACTACCATACTGTTTTCCACTGCAGCTGTACCATTTTACATTCCCATCAGCAGTACACAAGTGTTCCAATTTCTCCATGTCCTGGCCAACACTTTTTATTTTGTGGTCTTTGTTGTTTGTATGTTTTTCAACTTTTATTTTAGGTTGAGGGGGTCCATGTGCAGGTTTGTTATATAGGTAAACTCATATCATAGGGCTTTGTTGTACAGGTTATTTTGTCATCCAGGCGCTACGCCTAGTACCTAATAGTTATTTTTTCTGATTCTCTCCCTTTTCCAATCCTCCACCCTCAAGTAGGCCCCAGTGTCTATTGTTCCCCTATTTGTGTCCATGAGTTCTCATCATTTAGCTCCCACTTATAAGTGAGAACATGCAGTATTTGGTTTTCTCTTCCTGCATTAGTTTGCTAAGGATAATGGCCTCCATCTCCCTTCATGTTCCTGCAAAAGACATGATCTTGTTCTTTTTTTATTGCTGCATAGTATTCCATGGTGTATATATACCACAGTTTCTTATTCAGTTTCTCATTGATGGGAATTGTATTAGTCTGTTCTCATACTACTATAAAGAACTACCTGAGATTGGGTAATTTATGAAGAAAAGAGGTTTAATTAACTTACAGTGCTGTAGGCTGTATAGGAAGCATGGCTAGGAGGCCACAGGAAATTTACAATCATGGCAGAAGGCAAAGGGGAAGCAAGGCACATCTTACATGGCAGCAGGAGAGAGATAGCACAAAGGGGGAGGTGCTACACACTTTCAAACAACCAGATCTCATGAGAATTCACTATCAACAGAACAGCAAGAGGGAAATCTACCCCATGATCCAATTACCTCCCACCAGGCCCCTCTTCCAACACGTGGGGATTACAATTTGAGATGAGATGTGGGTGGGGACACAAAGCCAGACCATATCAGGTATTAGGTTGATTCCATGTCTTTGCTATTGTGAATAGTGCTGCAGTGAATATTTGTGTGCATGTATCTTTATGGTAGAATGATTTATATTCCTTTGGGAATGTAATGGGATTGCTGGGTCAAATGGTAGTTCTGTTTTTAGCTCTTTGAGGAATCGCCACTCTGCTTTCCACAATGGTTGAACTAATTTACACTCCCACCAAGAGTGTGTAAGCATTCCCTTTTTTCTGCAACCTTGCCAGCAGCTGTTATTTTTTGAGTTTTTAATAATAGCTATTCTGACTGGTGTGAGATGGTATCTCATTGTGGTTTCGATTTGCATTTCTCTAATCAGTGATATTGAGCTGTTTTTCATATGCTTTTTGGCCACTTGTATGTCTTTTGAAAAGTGTCTGTTTATGTCCTTTGCCCACTTTTTAGTGGGGTTGTTTGTATGGAGGTTCATCATTAGTTACATTTAGTCAATAGATTATATGTGTTGTAGAATATGAAATTTATTCATTTAAATTGTAAATAAACTATTTCATCAGGTTAATCGCTGTATAAATTATGTAGGCTCTTCTTACATACGGAAGAACCTTAGAGTCCTGTGTTTGTTTGTTTTTCCTTTGTTGGTTGCATGTCAGCATCTAACTTTAAGCATATAAACCAAGGAGGGAGTGTGGGAGAGGGGTGATGGATGAAAAACTACCTATTAGGTACAATGTACACTGTTTGGGTGATGGGTACACTAAAGTTTCAGACTTCACCACTATACGATTCACTCATGGAACCAAAAACCACTTGTGACCTTAAAGCTGTACAATATATAGTGACTCCTATACAATATGTAGTGAGCAGATTTCAAAGATATAGTCAATGAGGGAGCGAGTGTAATAAAGCAAGTTCAAAGGAAGATGTGAGAAACCAATATGGAAGAAAGAACATCAGAATAAGATTGCAGATTAGGGGGAAAAAAACCCAAATAAACAACAAAACAAAACTGGTTAATGTCCTAAGGGCAATAAAACTGAAACCTTGGGGGATTTCTTTTCAACTATACAGCAATTCTTTGTAATTTATCAATGTTTTGCAAGTTAACACCTGTATTATTTCCTATTACAGCTACAACAAATTATCCTAAACCTGGTGGCATAAAACAACACGAATTGATTATCTTACAGTTCTGAAGGTCAGAATTCCAAAGTGGGTCTCACTGGGCTAAAATCAAGGTGTCAGCAGGGCTGCATTCTACTCGGAGACTCTAGATGAGAATGTGTTTCATCACCTTCGCCAGCTTCCAGAGACTGCCTGCGTTCCTTGGCTTGGGCCCCTGACATCTTTAAAGCCAGCTACTCTAACACCAACTCTCCTGCCTCCCTTTTCCACATTTAAGGATTCTTTTTTATTTGAGATGGAGTCTCGCTCTGTTGCCCAGGCTGGAGTGCAGTGGCACAATCTCAGCTCACTGCAAGCTCCGCCTCCCGGGTTCACGCCATTCTCTTGCCTCAGCCTTCCAAGTAGCTGGGACTACAGGCACCCGCCCCCATGCCTGGCTAATTTTTTGTATTTTTAGTAGAGACGGGGTTTCACCACATTAGCCAGGATGGTCTCGATCTCCTGACCTCGTGATCCGCCCGCCTCGGCCTCCCAAAGTGTTGGGATTACAGGCGTAAGCCACTGCCCCCAGCCACATTTAAGGATTCTTGTGATTACATAGGGCCTATTGAAATAAGCCAGAATAATCTCTTTATTCTAAGGATACCTGATTAGCAAACCTAATTCCAACTGCAACATTCATTTCCCTTTGCCATGTAACCTACATAGTCACAGTTTCTAGGGATTAGGACATGGATGTCTTTGGCGTGCTGTCATTCTACATGCCACATGATCTAATGTGGTCTGGGCCCTAATAAATGGCAGATATATAAAGTTACATTTCCCTAGAGCAAACCCATCTATATAACTTTCTGGAGTGATGGATACTGGTCTTTTCTGTGCTGTTTAATAGGGTACCCAGTAGCTGCATGTGGTTACTGAATACAGTACTTGAAATGTAGCTAAGGAAACTAGGGAACTGAATTTTTTATTTAAATTATTAAAAATTAAATGTACATAGCCACATGTGGCTGGTGGCTACCATATAGACAGGGCAGCCCTAGAGCGTCAGATAACTCTGTAATGGGTTTATTAGACAGTGCTGGAAGATAACATTGACAAGTTATCTGAGTGGGGAGGTTCGCTTGAGGCCAGGACTTTGAAACCAGCCTGGGCAATATTGGGAGATCCTGTCTGTACAAAACATTAAAAAATTAGCCAGGCCTGGTGGCACAGTCCTGTAGTCCTAGCTACTCTGGAGGCCAAGATGGGAGGATTGCTTGAGCCCAGAAGTTTGAGGCTGCAGTGAGCCATGATTGTACTAGGGCACTCCAGCCTGGATGACAGAGTGAGACCCTGTTTCTAAAAGAAAAGAAACGGCTCACAGTATTTTTTTTTCTTTTTTGCATTGTTTCCAAGTTTTGGAAAATTTTGCTTAATACATGCAAGTAAAATAAATAGTGGCTCCAGCAGATTTATATCCAAAAAAAAGTGAAGCCTGGTTTCTTTGCCAAATAACTGTAGGTTCTTTCTTTTTACCTTCCTTAGGTCTCCTGGCTCATGGGTATCTGAGTTACACAGTGTAGGTTTCATCTGTACTTTTGTTGTCATAGAGCACATTCATTGGCTCTTCCTTAATCAAACATATGCAAGTATCAGTTTGAGATGGACCCTGTGGTAAGAGATGAGTAAAACACAATCCCTGTCATCAGCCAGTGGCTCATCTAGAAAGAAAGGATGCACATGCAGACAAATCGATTGTGTGTTATGTAAGAACCAGACACAATAGGGGCATAAAGGAGAGAGAGTCACTTCTACCCCAAAACTATCCATTAGCCTCAGCAAGGTTTATGGGTAGAGTGGGTTGAATAGCATCCCCCCAAATTCATGTCTACCTGGAACCTCAGAAGTGGCCTTATTTGGAAATAAAGTCTTTGCAAGTATAATTGATTAAGCTAAGATGAGGTCTTACTGGATTAAGGTGGGCCCTAAATCCAATGACTGGTGTTTTTTTGTTTTTTTTTTTTTTTGAGACAGGCCTCCCTATTGTCGCCCAGGCTGGAGTGCAATGGCACGATCCCAGCTCACTGCAACCTCCGCCTCCCAGGTTCAAGCAATTCTCCTGCCTCAGCCTCCTGAGTACCTGGGACTACAGGTGCCTGCCACCACGCCTGGCTAATTTTTGTATTTTTAGTAGAGACAGGGTTTCACTATGTTGGCTAGGCTGGTCTCAAACTCCTGACCTCATGATCTGCCCACCTCGGCCTCCCAAATTGCTGGGATTACAGGTGTGAGCCACCACGTCTGGCCCAATGACTAGTGTTTTTATGAGAAAGGAGAGGATTTGGATACAGACACACTGGGAAGAAGGCAATGAGATGATGGAGGCAGAGGTTGGGGTGATGCAGCCATAAGGAACAGCAAGAGCTGCCCGAAGAGGCGAGAAAGGATTCTTCCTGAGAACCGTGGCCCTGCCAGCACCTTGACTTTGGATTTCTAGCCTCCAGAACTGTGAGAGAATACATACTGAAGCCACCCAGCTTGTGATAAATTGTTGCAGCAACCCTAGGAAACTGACCACTGGAAAGGTGCTGGTAGGTCACAGAATTGAGGGCAGAGCTGAAGAATGGGGCGCAGGAACGAGGACACTTCTGAGGAGCTCAGCAGCAGAAGCTTGTGGACTCAACGTGGCCATCCAGGCGACCTGCTACAGTGGCCCTTTAGCTTGTGTAGCTTGCGCAAGAGCCTATCTCTCAGGAGAGACTCTAACCCAGCTTATCTCATTCCTTTCCCAGCAGCTTGTTTGGAACACATGGAGTGGAGGATGGATAATTTCCCAAAGGAAGAGACAGCAGTCAAATAAAAACAACAGGTGACCAATTTACAGAAGACAGTAAAGTCCCTTTTGGAAGAAGAAACTGTCCTGTTGAATGCAACTCTTTTACATAGTGACAGTGGGTGGTTACAGATGTTGAGAAATATTATCTTGGCAGAATGGTTTGGAACAAGACCAATAGCTAGCCAGTAAAATCATCTAAATGTGAAGTTACAGGAGCACAGGGGAGCCTGTCCTGTGTGGCTCGGCAAAGGAAGGAACACTATTGCTTTGTACTCGGTGGCATCTTAACACTGACTTTCAGGGTTGTGTGGCGGGACTGAGAAAATTCCATTATTTTCTGTCTCCAACTATTTCTGCCTAATTTTTTGACTTCCTTTTGACATCTTACAAATTAGAAAGCTTATCTTTTTGCTATTTGCCTACTCAAATCTATGAGACAGATAAAGTGTTAATTTTCACTGTTCTGGGATGGAACCGGGAGCAGTCTGTTTTTCTTTACAAAAGAGAAAACCTACTCAGAGAACTCAGGCTCAGATGGCAAGAGTACAAATGTCTCCTGTGCTCCGAGGCCCAGGGAGTAAGAAATAGGAGGTTCCATGAAGCCCATGATGAGCATTAAGGGTTATGCTTCCTCACCCTTACAGGCATCAGGCTGCTGCTGATGTTGGGAAGCTGGTAGAATGGAATTGTTTAGACAGAGAGAAGGGGCACAGCAGGTGTGAAAATAAGGGCAGGAACCAGGTACTTGTCCTGTTGCCCTAGACTTCCTCAAACATTCTGACATTTGGCCGTTGTGTCCTGTCCATTTGTAGGGCCAGCTGAGTAGCTCTGACTTTGCCAAGAGTGGCTGGGCATTCTAGTACAGGTTACATGCTGGGCTTTCTGGGAAAGCAGAAGTTATACTCTGTGCATGTGTGAGAATTGGATGGATGGGGGTGGTATGTGTCTTAGTTGGTTTGGGCTGCTATAACACAAATACCATAAACTGGGTGGCTTATAAACAGAAATGTTTTGCTCATAGACAGAAATGTTTTGCTCAGAACCCAGTTCTGGAGGCTGAGAAGTCCAAGATCCAGCTGCTAGCAGATTCAGTATTTGATAAGGGCCTCCTCTCTGGTTCACAGATGGTGTCTTCTTGCAGTGTTCTCATGTAGTGGAGGAGGTTAACTCGCTGTAGGGGGTCTTTTTTTTATAAGGGCACTAATCCCATTCATGAAAGTGGAGTCCTCATGACCTAATCACTTCCCAATGGCCCCACTTCTTTTTTTTTTTTTTTTTTTGAGACGGAGTCTCGCTCTGTCGCCCAGGCTGGAGTGCAGTGGCGGGATCTCGGCTCACTGCAAGCTCCGCCTCCCGGGTTCACGCCATTCTCCTGCCTCAGCCTCCCAAGTAGCTGGGACTACAGGCGCCCGCCACTACGCCCGGCTAATTTTTTGTATTTTTAGTAGAGACGGGGTTTCACCGTGTTAGCCGGGATGGTCTCGATCTCCTGACCTCGTGATCCGCCCGCCTCGGCCTCCCAAAGTGCTGGGATTACAGGCGTGAGCCACCGCGCCCGGCCGGCCCCACTTCTTAATACCACCACCTTTTAGGTTTAAGTTTGAATGTATGAATTCTGGGGTGACATAAACATTCAGGCCATAGCAGTATGAGAGTAAGTCTTTGCTTTACCTTTTTTTAAAACATTCGAGCCATGTTAATGTATTACTTATTTAAACATTTTAGTCTGTTTCATATTTTAATGATGTTTATTGAGCCCAAAGAACTGGTTTCAAATATATGGCTTCAACTGTATCTTTTTAAAAAAGTATTTTATTAACATCCATGCCATCCAGATTTTAGTGCATCAACTCACAGAAATAATTTTTATTCAAGCCCCTCTATGTTTAGTGCTTTGTAGTTTTGAACCATGACAAATAGAAAATAAATGCCCAGTAACTATCCTTAGCTCTAACTGACAAGATTCTAAAAAA
Source organism: Homo sapiens (assembly GCF_000001405.40). Lineage (NCBI taxonomy): Eukaryota > Metazoa > Chordata > Mammalia > Primates > Hominidae > Homo > Homo sapiens. Next base: position 200,795,558 of record NC_000002.12, on the reverse strand, counting down.
AAGAAATACAATTTACCATCATTTAAAATGATACACATGATAAGACAAACTTCTCACATTCTTATTAGATTAAGGATTTTATTTTCAAAAGAGCTAAAAAAAAGTAAAAAAAATACTTTCAACTTATTTCACCCCAGCCACTCCCACTAAGGTTCTCAGCTCTTAATGTTCCTGTGTCTTGCGTAATTTTTGTCCTGCCCATGACCCTTCTGCTCCTGCCTCCTCCTCTTTGTGCTCCTGTGCTGCTTTATCTCTTGGGCTCCTGTGGTGTAGGGAAGCCTCCAATGTCCGCAGATGGGCCTGTGGACAGCTATGCCCCAGCCTCTCATGACAACGTGCCCATGGCTTTAAGGACCTTCGGCCTCCTCCGGGCTGTATTGTATGCCTTATTGCCTACCTTCTCTCACCCAACACCCAGCGTTCTCAGCTCTGCCTCTCCTCCTTCGGCCACTGCAGGGGTCACTGCAGACCATGCCTTGGGGAGCCTGATCGTGTGAAATCTGGCTAGTAGAAAATCAGCTTGCCCCTGACTTTCTGGTCAAATAGGGCCTAATTTGTACGCTGGTTCCTCTCTCTGAAGGCCTCTAAACTCAGATGAATGTAATTTGGTGGATCCCATATATCTTATTTCTTTTTTTCTTTTGTTTTTCCTTCTCAAAGTTATTGGTAGAGAGGATCTTGCATATTTTAAACCACAATGTAGGGGGTAATTACAATTTATAATTCTTTTGCTTTATGTTCTCACTTCAATCTATGGGAAACTGAAATATGCAATATTTCTTAAACTCTGATACCAGATTGGATGTTTTTCAACAACAGCAACAACAACACAGAGGGGTTGGGGGCAAGATATTGAAAATGTTTTTATATTGCTTTTTCCCCTCCTCCAAATCCAAAAGAATGTTAATCAGTTGAATAGTAGATGTGCATGAGGGAAATACCACTCCTTTGCTGTCAAATGCACGTACATAGACTTATGGTCAATCCATGGCAAAACAAAACCTGCAGAACTCTCTTGTGGCTACTGAATCAAATACACCCCTGGGAAAAGTCATCATATATTTATCTACCAAGAAGTGTCTTTCATTCTATAATCATAACCTGTATTACCAGCCCATTTAGATTGGATGGACACAGAAAGGAAAAGTTTGCTTTTACAGCAACATTTACGTGATCTTTTCAGAAACAAATCAGCACTAAACTTGCTTACTGTGGATACAGCAGTGCTTTTCTGGTGGCCTCTAGGCTGGAAAGTCTAAGTGAAATGCTTTGCAAATAATGATTCATTGGGTTAACATAATCAAAGTTGGATAACGTTTCTAAATTTTGTGTCTATTTTTTTCTACAACAGTATAAGAATATAAGTTTGGAACCCAGTTAGGATTAACAAGCCATCTTTTTACTTGTGAAAAACTGAAACACCTGGAAAAAAAAAAGACAAGACAATAATTATGAAACAAAGTGTGCAAATCTCTCAACTTTATATATAGGGAGAAGAACAATAAATGATTGACAATTGGGTTGATAAGATTTACAGCTATGAATAAGTACGTTTGGGTAGTTACCATTCTCCTCTGGGCTCCGTGTCTTCATTTATAAAATAAGAAGCTGGATGACATCAGAAGTTTTTGAATATTTTTAGCAGAGGTTTAAAATGTCATGGGGAACATACTCACATGTGTATGTTTTTAGTGTGGTATAAATTTGATTTATAAGATCAGTGTTGAACACTTCCTTATAAAGCAAATATATAAGAGCCAATTATGTTACTTTGAAGAATGTAAAAATTTGAAATTGCAGGTAAAGGATAACAATTACAGACTCAGAATGCAATTTATATCTGCATCTTGTGTTGATTCATGGCATGGATAACATTCTGACACACAGAAGTAATTATAAATGGTAAAGTGACAAGAGGCTTTTTTTTGCTTTTTAAATTTGTCTTGCAATTTGAGGACGGTCTTTTAAAAAATTCTTTACTTTTTAATTTTAATTAAAAAAAATAGAGACAGGGTCTTGCTATGTCGCCCAGGCTGGTCTTGAACTCCTGGGCTGAAGTGATCCTCCCATTCTGGCCTCCTGAAGTTCTGGGATTACAGGCATAAGCCACCATGCATAGCAGAGGATGGTCTTTATTTTAACTTCTGTACAGACTGGGCACAGTGACTCACACCTGTAATCCTAGCACTTTGGGAGGCCTAGGCGGTCCAATTACTTGAGGTCAGGAGTTTGAGACCAGGCTGGCCAACATGGCAATGCTCTGTCTCTACAAAAAAATAAGCTGGGTGTGGTGGTGTGTGCCTGTAGTCCCAGCTACTTGGGAGGCTGAGACACGAGAATTGCTTGAACCTGGGAGGCGGAGGTTGCAGTGAGCCGAGATCGGACTACTGCACTCTAGCCTGGGTGACAGAGCGAGACCATGTCCCACCCCCGACCCAAAAAAAAAAAAGTCTGTACAAAAACTTGACAATCCCATTCATTCACTGGTGGTGTCTAGTTAGTTAAAATTTGGCATTTTATCTGAATGTGTGTGTGTCTTTGTGTGTGTGTAACTATATTGAGTACTATGTGTCAGGCACGATGCCATGTATTTTATATGCCTTGTTGTACATAAGAATTAGAGTGGATTTGCCATCATGTTCACATTTAACTTTAATACTTAGAAAGAGAAAGAAGGATAGAAAGAGAGAATAATTAAAGAGCTTAGATAATTCTGCCCTACATTTGTGTGTGTGTGTTTCTGAGATAGGGTTTCACTCCGTTGCCCAGGCTGGAGTCCAGTGGCACAATTTTGGCTCACTGCAACCTCCATCTTCTGGACTCAAGCAATCCTCCTACCTCAGCCTCCAAGCCTCCAAGTAGCTGGGACTACAGGCATGTGTCACCATGCCAGGTGGTGTACAGACGGGGTTTCACCATGTTGCCCAGGCTGGTCTTGAACTCCTGAACTCAAGCCATCCACCTGCCTTGGCCTCCCAAAGTGCTGGGATTACAGGCATGAGCCACCATGCCTGGCTTGTTGGTGAATGTTTTAAAATGACTATCTTACAATAATGTAAGATGTAATTTTAAGTGTTGCTTATTTTGATTTGTGTTGTAAAGGAGAAGCAAATTCTCATCGGTTATTTAGTCTGATTTAGTAAAAACATCAATACAAGTTGTTCTCATATGACAAAGCACAATGGAATTAAATGTATATTATATGTGTTAATACCTGTGGGTGTTTTTAAACAGTTACATTGGAAAATTAGATTTTAATGAAAAAATTTTATTTTATTTTATCTGAATTTATGCCATAGTTCTCTCTCTTCCCCAGTGTTTTCAGTTATTGCCCAGTAAGTGTGCAGAAAGTAGAAGTTTAATTTTGTAACAAAAAAACCATGTTTTTTCTTATCAGCATATATTTCCCAAGGAGTTTCTGTGGCCACTCTCCAAAGCCTTCAGTGCTCTGTGTGTAGTGTTAAGCAGCAGCACAAAATTGTAGCAGTTGAACTCAATAAATACAAAGAGATAACTCTTCCAAATAGTGCTAGTTAATTATAAATGGAGTAATCAGTGGATTTCAGTTTGTTTTTTTGCATTCCAGTTGTGATTCTTAAAAGAATCAGGGAGCAGGCTTTTTAAATATTTTAATCCAGTGTATTTTCATATTTTATTTTAAAATTAAAAAAACTATCATGTTGGTTAAAACACCCTGGCCTTTCTTTGTCAGTTCCCAGAACCATGCATATTTAGTGTTAAAGGACTTAAATATTGGATAAGATATATTGACTTTAAAATGAAGCATGATTTAAGCACTTGTGCAATTCTTGATTTCTATAGAATGAAGTTTGAAAGCCTGGATTGGCTGATATTTTTTCCCCCACTTTGAATAATTATCTTTTAGCTTATTGATCTTACCTTTTAGGGAATGATAGCAGTGTTATGCTATAGGGATAGACCAAGGTTTAAATGTCTCAGGGTCATCTCTTGGGATCTAAGAAACAAAGCAAATTAAACACTTAATATACCATAACACTATTTATTTCAACAGGAGCATTACATCAAGTCTTTGGGTTTAAAACATTTTTTGGATGAGAGGAGGCTGGATGTTCCTGGCTCCTGGGGCATGGGACTGTGTCATTCCCTTCAATTGACAACTGTGAAAAGAAGGTGGGTTTGTGTTGTCCTCTCCTCTGTTTTACCTAATGTTGCTAAATAAGACGGCACTTCAGATTTTTTTTTTTTTTGGAGATGGAGTCTTGCTCTGTCACCTAGGCTGGAGCGCAGTGGTATGATCTCAGCTCACTGCAACCTCCTCTTCCCAGGTTCAAGTGATTCTCGTGCCTCAGTCTCCTGAGTAGCTGGGATTACAGGTGTGTGCCTCCACGCCTGGCTCATTTTTGTATTTAGTAGATACAGGGTTTCACCATGTAGGCCAGGTTGGTCTGGAACTCCTGGCCTCAAGTGATCCACCTGCCTTGGCCTCCCAAAGTGCTGGGATTACAGGCATGAGCCACTGCGCCTGGCTTAGTAAGAGGGCATTTCGGTGAGTTACCTATCTTCTTTGCTTCCCAGATATGAATCCCAAAGAGAATTACACATCCCATGAATTCATTTGGGAGTAGGGATGTGGCTAGGCTGGCAGGTGTGTACACTGGAGCCCACACACCTGGACTTCTTTACAGCGATATGATAACAGCCCTGTGTGCACCTTTAGTCAAATGGTTTGTGTGATATTGTGTTCTTGCTGGTCAAACCCAAGCCTCTTTTCACTCTCTTGGGCTACAAGCTCCGAGAATTATTCATCCTTTTTCGTGGTCCTCAATGCCTGTCTCCTCTTTGGGGAATTCTTCCCCTTAGGTTCAAGCCCAAAGCAGAACACACATCTCTCCTCTCCCCTGCTACGTTTTTGTTTGAAGTGTTGGCTTTTAGTTACAAATGTGTTAAAAAGCAAAGCAAGCTTTTCCCCAATGATGGAAAGCTATGAAGGTTCCAAAAAGCTTTCTCCCCCCTCCTAATATGTATTTATTTCACAAAAATACAAAAAGAAGCCAAATAATTCACCCACCAGTCTACCATTCAGGACATTTTCCTAAATTCTATTCTTACTTTTTGCCCTCTGTATTGAAATGTAAACGAAGGGTTTGCCTTCCCAAAGGGCCTTCCCTATTCTCTTCTTAGCTGTCCCTGTGGGAGCTTCTTGGCTCTCTTCTTTAGAATGAGCCTGTTCTGCAAGGTCTGGGCTGGACACAGGGCAAAATTCCTCAGTTTAGCTGTGGCAGATTTGGGTCTACTATTCTGCTAAAGTTATGGAATTTTTAGTCTCTCTTTTTTTTTTTTTTTTTTTAAAGACAGGGTCCTGCTCTATCACCCAGGCTGGAGTGCAGTGGCACAATCAAGCTCACTGCAGCCTCAAATTCCTGGGCTCAGGCGATCCTCCAACCTTAGCCTCCTGAGTAGCTGGGACTATAGGCATGCGCTACCATGCCTGGCTAATTTTTTTGGGTTTTGGTAGAGACACAAATATACATTCAATAACAGTATCAGAGACTCTCTCTTTAGGAGTAAGAATGGCTACTCTGTGAAATGTCATCAAGCATTGCAGGGAAATAATTCAGTTCCTGCATCCTGGGACAAACGTATTCAATGTGGAACCAGTTTCACAGCCAATAAAACCTCTTCTAAGACAGCATGAGAGGCTAGAAGAATGTGGTTAAGAATGAGTACATGCCTGTCTGAGTGTGTGCGTGCATGTGTGTCTGTGTGCGTACATGCATGTCTGTGTGAGTACATGCATGCATGTATGTGTGTGTGTCTCATGGGAACAGGTCAATAGGTTGAGCATTCTGAGGAAGACACCATGGGAGACTCTACTCTCAGTCTGTCCTGAGCCATGCAGTCTGATCTATGTTCCATCTCAAGGAATCCAGGTGACTGAAGCATGTCCGTGCTGGTCTAAGGCCCTGCCAATTATCTGTCTCGCTGTGTTGCCCAGGCTGATCTTGAACTTCTGATCTCAAGTGATCCTCCTGCCTCAGCCTTCCAAAGTGCTGGGGTTACAGGCAAGAGCCTCTGTGCCTGGCCACTTCTAGCGAATCTTTAAACCTAAGGGTGGTCTTAGGGATCCCTGACTCAATCATCTTCACCATCATCATCATCAATATGTATTGACCATTTACTATGTGCAACAACTGCCAACTGCTTTAGTATTATCTTATTCAATTCTCACAACAATCCTGTAAAGTAACTAGAGTTATTCTCTCCACTACCCCACCTCTCCCTCATTTTATAGATAAGAAAACTGAGTGATCAGAGAACTTAAATAAAGCATCAAAGGTAGAGCTGGGGCTGGGTCCTGTGCCTCATGCCTGTAATCCCTGCACTTTGGGAGGCTGAGGTGGGCAGATCGCTTGAGCTCAGGAGTTTGACACCAGCCTGGGCAACATGGTGAAACCTTGTCTCTACAAAAAATACAAAAACTAGCTGGGTATGGTGGTGTGCACCTGTAGTCCCAGCTACTCGGGAGGCCGAGGTGGGAGGATCACTTTAACCTGGGAGGCGGTGGTTGCAGTGAGCCGAGATTGTGCCACTGCACTCCAGCCTGGGTGACAGAGCAAGACTCCATCTCAAAAAAAAAGTAGAGCTGGAATTGAAACCCAGATTCACTCTACTCAGGGCCTGTCTCAAGCACTAAGCTAAAATAGTTCATTGTAACTCTTCTCCTTGGCAGGATGAGATGGCTCTCTTTTCTCCTGTTTTATATTCTGCATCTCTTATTTCCTCCCTTAAACTGAGGAATGCCTCCAGCTTTTGCCTCTTCCCTTTTAGGTGTTCTCCCTATCTCTCCCTTTCCTCTGCTCCTACAAACCTAAGGAGGAAGAGATCACATAGGAGAGTTTTTAGATACAAAAATATACATTCAATAACAGTATCAGAGACTCTCCCTTCAGGAGTAAGAATGGCTACTCTGTGAAATGTCACCAAGCATTGCAGGGAAATGATTCAGTTCCTGCATCCTGGGACAAACATATTCAATGTGGAATCAGTTTCACAGCCAATAAAACCTCTTCCAAGACAGCATGAGAGGCTAGAAGAATGTGGTTAAGAATGAGTACATGCCTGTCTGAGTGTGCGTGTGCATGTGTGTCTGTGTGCGTACATGCGTGTCTGTGTGAGTACATGCATGCATGTATGTGTATGTGTCTCATGGGAACAGGTCAATAGGTTGAGCATTCTGAGGAAGACACCATGGGAGACTCTACTCTCAGTCTGTCCTGAGCCGTGCAGTCTGCTCTGTGTTCCATCTCAAGGAATCCAGGTGACCGAAGCATGTCCGTGCTGGTCTAAGGCCCTACCAATTATCTGTAGCTGAGATTATAGCTGAACAGGCTGGAGATTTCATGTTTTCACATGTTGTGGTAAATGAGCCCCAAGAAATAGAATACAGTCTTGTAGGGCTGGTAGATGTCTCCCCCAGCTCAGAGAAATCCAGGGCTGTGTATAGAGTATGGGGTTGAGCAGGCTTCATCTTGAACGGCTAGTGTTTGGGAGTGAACTGCCCGAGAGGAGTGGGTAAACCAGGCGTCTGGCAGCATGCAAAATGTTCACGTGCCTCTCCTCCTTCAGCAGGGAGGAAGGGCTCCAGATACTGAACTAAACAGGTGGCGCTTTTAATGCTGCCAGTTCTCACTGAGTCTGGGCATCTAGAAATGCAAAAGAAGCAGGGAGGGAAAATGAGACGTGGGGATGTGAGAGACGCAGTGCTGTAAAGGAGGGGAGTCCGTGGATGGAGACTGTATTAGGGTTTGCGGCGTAGGAAGAAGGTGAAGGCCGTTAGAAACTAGCCATTGGTCAGTCTCATAGAATAGCAGATTCTATGAAGGACAGGCATGGCCATTTGGAACTGAGGACTGATCTAAGAATGAAGGACTTTTCCCACTAGGGTACGATAAGATCATGCGTCAGCCTAACGCAGGACATGAGCCATTTGTTATGATTGCAAAGATTTCTTATGAGTCAGCGTGTTCCAGGCTGCCCCTTCAGAAGTGGGGTAAGCTGAAACCTGCTTATAAACCTGTTTCCAAGCTGAGGTGTCTGATTTTAACTTCCAGGAGATGGAAACTGAAGCTGTTAATTGGCTCTACATGGCCTCCCACTATGGCAGCCCACATAGACCACATTTGGTGATTACTCAATAAATAACGTTTTGCTGTTGGTGATATTAAGATAACATGTAAAAAATGTCTGCCTATTCCACATTCTCCAAGGCAGTATTTTTCTAATTTTTGAGGGTATGGAACCCTTCATGTCTCTGAATCCTAAATATATATTTTTTTTAAATGAAATCACTGTTTCTAAGGAGAAGTCCTCATATGAAAGTGTTAAATATGTATATCTTTAAAGGAAGTTTACTTTTTTCCCCTTGTGGAATTTAAGATGACTGTACAAAACACATTTTCCAGGAAATACATATTTTTCTTTCTCCCATCACCGAAAAGGAAATTACATAGAGATGATGTTTCTGGCCACGCCTAGTTGAGCCGGACTGACCTGCTGGGCTCAGAGTAGAAACCAGCAACACTGTCCTCACCAGAAATTAACCACCTGAGAAACAGCCATGCAAAAATGGCAGCCAGCATTAGGCTGTGATTAAGGTTAAACAAACCCAAACATGTTAAAAAAAAAAAAAAAACCTTTTGACATAGTAAATGCTCATTCATACAGTATGATTTTTTTGGTAACAAACATGCCTTAGGCTTCTTACCAATGCCTGCCTTTTTTGAAGCTAATTTACCCATGAAAATGAAGCTGCTAGTTAGAAGAGTTGTTGTTTATTCTGGCCTCAGCAGGTCAACTTGATTTAATGTGGAAACACTTTTCAAGCCTTTTGGGAGAGGCATATTTTGAAGAAGGTCATTAACAGTTTATGGGTTTTTGGTGATGACCTTAACACTAATATTTACAGAGTGACTCATATTTACACAGTATTTTTACATGCATTATTTTATTTAATTCCGAGGGAAAAGTACTGAGTGTTTTACCATCATTTCTATTTAAGAAATAGATCTAGTCGGGCTGTTATTTACCTTATGGCTATAAGGAGGTTATTAAAAGAGGAGGTCTTGAACTTTTCAATACTCATGCTCTAGTATACAGACACTCTGACTCCCTGACCTTCTTATTCATTAGAACAAATTGTGTTTTGACAAGGGCATTCAAAGGCCCAATGCAAAGACTGTTAATATATATGTTTCTTATTCTTTCTCTCTTTCTATATACACATTTGCATAGTACAGCATTGTGTACCAGTGTGAATCATTATATATTTCAATTAAAAACCATGTTGTAATTTGATCAAATGTATTAAAAATGTAAATTCTGGCTGGCACGGTGGTTCATGCCTGTAATCTCAGCACTTTGGGAAGCTGAGGCAGGTGGATCACGAAGTCAAGAGTTTGAGACATAACCAACATGGTGAAACCCTGTCTCTACTGAAAATACAAAGATTAGCCGGGCGTGGTGGCGTGCACCTGTAATCCCAGCTACTCAGGAGGCTGACGCAGGAGAATCGCTTGAATCCTGGAGGCGGAGGCTGCAGTGAGCCAAAACTGCACCACTGCACTCCAGCCTGGGAAACAGAGACTCTGTCTCAAAAAAAAAAAGAGTAAATTCTGATATGGGGTCAGATTTGTTCTAAGATGCTTTAGAAATTGGTCTGTGTGAGCAGCCAGGCTATAAGAACTTCAGGAGGCCTGCTGTGGCTTCTAAGGGGATGAATTAATTATAGTCACTAAAGATCTAAAGAAGTAGACCTGAAGTGTGATAAAGCATATGATAAAGACTAGGAAAGTTGCTGATTGGAAGAAGGACTATCCAGGTTTCACTCGCTGATGTGAAAATAAATGGTGTGGCCACAAATTCTATTTTATCTCTCAGCCATGGAGAACAACAATTGTAAGATTTTTCTACCAGAGAGGCAAATCAGACACTTTTCTACCAGAGGGGCAAATCAGACACAAAAGGGCCACTTTTGAGGGCTGCTTAGTCCCAAGTGGCTTTGATTCTTCTGAAGCTGCAGGGCCTTTGCATGAGCTGTTCTTGGCCTGGACTGTATCATTGCCAGCTTTATACTTGGTCCCTTGCTTCATTCAGGCTTTGGCTCAAATGTGAACACTCTCAGAGGGAACTTCCCCAAGAAACTATAATCAAATAATCTCTCCATCACATTCTAGCTCCCTTCTCTTCAATTTTCCTTCACAGTATTCAATACTGCTTGCAATTATATTGTGCGTTTGTTTACTTGCTTACTGTCTGGCTTCCCCCACAGAATGTAAGCTCTATGCCGGCAGAGATTGCCTTGCTCACCACTATTTTTTTAGTTCCCCAGCAGTGCCTGGCACATGGAAGGTACTCAATAAATATGTTAGATAAATGAACAATTGCATGACGAGTAACCAAAGTGGGATCCCATCTATGACCCCTCTGACTTCAAGAAAAGAGCGAGACTAAGTCAGAAAGGTTTTATTCTGTGGGATGTAGTAGTATACCCCAGGGTCAGCCAAGCACTTATAATTCACAGTCACTGTCTTCCTTCCCTGCTAGACTATAAATGCCTTGAGAGCAGGGACCTTATATTCCTGGGACCTCAAACTATGCAGAAAGGAAGGGATCAAATGAATTTGTTGAATTTGATTAAAGCTGAGTAGGAGTTAACAAGTTGAACAGAAGAAGATGGTTCCAAGGAGAAGGAAGAGCATGGCAGAGGCCCTAAAGCAGGAGTGAGCGTCTCTGTCCTTAACATGAGGAATGACAGAAGAAGACAAGTGTGGCTGGGTGGGGTCATGGGTGGCTGGAGAGGTGGGTGGGGTTGGCCATGCTGGACTCTGAAGGTTTGTAGGCTCAAGAAGGCAAGTTAAGAAGTTTTCTGTCTCCTATGAGCAAAGGGAAGCTTTTTGCCAATGTGTGTGCTGGTGTGGCATGGTCTGCTTTGCCACACCACAAGCTTCTGGCTGCAGGGGGTGTAGAGAGATCAGCCAGGAGGCAGCTTTGATCCAGGGTGGAGAGATGGTAGGTAGCTTCAGGGTCACCAGAAACTAAACTCCACCAAGGTAGGGGGTCTCTGTTTCATTCACTACTGTAGCCCCAGAATTGTTCTGTAGAACAATGCCTGGCACACATTAGATGCTCAACATCTGTTTGTGGGATGAATGAATAATATAGTGGTTAAGGATGGAGAAAATGGACTGGGTCAAGAAATTGTTGGGGGTGAAAATGAACAGGACATGGTGAAGGACTAGCTACTGAGTATGAGGGAGAGAAATGCCAGGATGGCTCCTGGGTTTCTTGTTTATGTTTCTGTATAGATAGATGAGTATTGCCATTTCCTGCAACAGGTAATAGTAGAAGAATCTAAATTTTGTGTGTTTCTTGGCCTCTGTTAAACTAAGACCCAGGACTTCCTCCTCTCTGCACTCCTTGGGAGGTCCCAATCAAGGCTGGCTTCTAACCAGCCCCTTCTCTCTGTTGGTGAACAGTTGAGGAGACAGGGTCTGGAGGCTCGAACAAACTAACTGAAGTCTTCTCATGTATTTGGAGAGGGCTTTCTTTTCATTGTTTCAAATACATGTGAGGTCAGTGCAATGGTTAGGAATATTGTAGGTAATTATCAGTATGAAGGATAAATGATTATGGCCAGTCACGGTGGCTCATGCCTGTAATCCCAGCACTGTGGAAGGCTGAGGTGGGCGAATCATGAGGACAGGAGTTCCAGGCCAGCCTGGCCAACATGGTGAAACCCCATCTCTACTAAAAATACCAAAATTAGCTGGGCATGGTGGTACACCCCTGTAATCCTAGCTACTTAGGAGGCTGAGGCAGGAGAATCACTTGAACCTGGGAGGTAGAGGGTGCAGTGAGCTGAGATTGCAACACTGCACTCCAGCCTGGGCAACAGAGCAAGACCCTGTCTCCAAAAGAAAAAAAAAAAGCATAAATGATCATTCTCCATATGGGGGCTTATTATTGAAAAGTTAAACATTCTGTCCTGCCCTCACCCCTCAAATTTATTCCAGTAGCTATAGACAAAGATTAAGAGTTGTAGGATAAATGAGTTTGGCCAGGTATTCTCTTTTTGTGTTTAAGCAACTATTTTTTGAGTGATGCTTCATGGGATACTTTTCCCATGAAATTCCCAATCCAGATTTTTCTGTGACTGAGGCTCAGCAGAGTCATTCCCAATTATACTGTTCAAATCTTTTCAAGACTTACGTCAGGGATATCCTGATTTTATTAAATGAGTTTACAAATAAGATATATTGTACATATAAACATATAAATTAAAGGATGGTTAAAAATGTACACACACACACACACACATGCACGCTCACACTCCAAAACATGGTTATAGTTAGTTCTGGTTGGTGGGATTATGGCTGATTTTAACTTCACCTTATTCTTTTCAGCATTTTCTAATTTTTCAGTAACGGACATATGTTACTTTTACAAAGACGAAATGCAATGTATGTTATTAAAAGGAGGTCTAAAATAGCAAACATAGGTTATAACATGAAGTGATATTTATAAACCATTTATCTACGAGTATTTTAGAAAATGCTAGGTTATTCTAACATTGAGCATTTGATTGATGGGCACAAATTAGTAGATGATTTATATCTGCAAAGATATGTTAGTCTTATCAAGGAACCATCAGACTTGAGAGAAAATATGGTTTCATCATATGGACCAGGTAGCTAAGAAGCTAAGTCCCAAATGGTAAATGAAATCAAAGTGTTTCACTTCTTACCATTGTATGTGACAGAGCTACTTTGCCAGACAACTGGACTATTCAAAACAGCCTGAAATCTTAGACATGAAGGAATTCATTTTCTAGGAGCCAGACCATTGGAAGACTGAAAACATTAACCTCAGGCAAGAAAGGAAGATTAGAAGTATATTTTTGTTTTTTGTGTTTTTTAGTTTTCTTAATCTGCCCCATTCCAGAAGAGGGTATTTATTATTGCAAAATGTGAATAAGAACATTTTTTAAAGGTCAGAAGTGCTTATGCTTTTGGGGTATGAGATGACACCATTCTACAGTGATCACGTCACCAGCAGAGTCAGGAACGGACAGATGACTGACCTCTAGGCCAAGATCCGCACAGAGGAGTTCCTGGAGTGGGTGGAGGGTGCTGGTTTCCCGGCCCTGCCCATCTGAGGAGGGCATCTGTCCAGAGGCAGGTGATTGTAATCATTGCTGTAGACAATGGAATCAGATGAGGGTCAGATCCATAGACTGGGAGAAGACTTGGAGGGAAATTACAGGGTGACTGGTATTATTGGAGTATAAGAAATATTGTTGAGTTAGATTTGAAGATGGAAATAGGAATAGGTTATGTAGGGGAAGGAAATTAATAATTATGACACTTCCTTTTAAGCAATATTTCTATAAGATCTTTTCACTCTATGGTTGGTTATTTTGAAGAGGTCAGTTAAGTATTTGGGCTTCTTTTAATATAGATTTGAAAATAGAAATTGCCTTTTAAGAAGTGGAGAATCAACTCTTTTCTCTCTGAGAGACCATATATTATAGTGAAGCCAGGCAGCCTGGGTTTGAATCTTGGCCCCCAAATGCTAGGTGTGTGATCTTGGGAAAGTTATTGCACCTATTTCCTCAATAGTAAAATGAAGAAAATACCAGCAGTTACCTGATAGAGTTGCTGTAATGACTAATACGTGTAAAATGTTTAGTTTGGTGCTCAGTCACGTAATGCTACCTGGTATTACTTAAATTAGGATGCTTAGGAAATTGGCAAAGGCGAGGCTCGATGACCTCTGGGAAGTTGCTTATCTGTAACCTTCAGCAGGTGGGATTTGCCATGTGTGTATCCCCATGGATAACTCCCTAGGCCTCCCTCTCCCGGGCTTGGAGGCATTGGTATGAAACAGAATGAAGGAGAAAGGCAGTAGCTTGCAATGGGATCACCCTACTTCTAAATGACAGGCAGTCTGTGTATACTCTCTGTATAGGGAACACAGAAAGTGACATTATCAAATATGGCTATATGACACATGGATTTCTGTATGTGTGTGTTTGTTTTTGTTGAAGGGCAGGATGGAGTTGGTAGGATAGAGGGAGGGAATACTTAACCACTGTTTGGAGAAATCAGTCAGTTCCTTTCCATTTAGCTATTAGTTTTTGCAGCATTTTTAATATATATACTTTTTATTTTTATTTTTTATTTTTTTGAGACGGAGTCTCACTCTTCGCCAGGCTGGAGTGCAGTGGCGTGATCTTGGCTCACTGCAATCTCTGCCTCCTGGGTTCAAGCGATTCTCCTGCCTCAGCCTCCTGAGTAGCTGGGACTACAGGTGCGTGCCACCATGCCTGGCTAATATTTTGTATTTTTAGTAGAGACGGGGTTTCACCGAGTTAGCCAGGTGGTCTCGATCTCCCGACCTCGTGATCCGCCCACCTTGGCCTCCCAAAGTACTGGGATTACTTGTGTGAGCCACCGTGCCTGGCTGCAGCATGATATTAATAAATTATCATACTTCAGGGTTGCTAAGATGATCAAATTAACACTTGGGAAATACTTTTTTAAAAGTTAAAATTACTACATGTATACAAGGTGTATTTGTGTGATTTGCTTTTTTCATTTCATAATTTGATTAGCTAGACACAGCTTAGGTTATACATTTACCCAAGAGGTCTAAGAAGCAGGAAATAGACAAATCACCTTTTAGGAAAATAAACAATTTCCTACCATTTCTGTGAATCGATCTGCACAGGCCATTCGAACCCATTCTGGCGTTGCTGGGCTCTTCACCGTGAAGTCCTCAGCTATGTCTCTTTCTCTTCGCACTGCGGCCACAGCGTCAGCAATGGCAAAGAACACAGATGACCCCAGGAACATCCCAGACTCCCCGAGGCCCTGTAAGAAGGCACATTGGTGTAAGAAACTTCCATACTACACTACAAGTTTCTAGAGGGTAGGGGCCAGGTCTCGTTCACCATTGTGTCCCCAACCCCTGCACAGTGTTTTGTACACAAAATCTTCTCAATAAATGTTTGTTGGCTGACTTACTGACTGAATCAGAAGCTTGAGTAGTCTTAAAAATCCCAGCATAGGCTGGGCTTGGTGGCTCACGCCTGTAATCCTAGCACTTTGGGAGGCCGAGGCGGATGGATCATGAGGTCAAGAGATCAAGACCATCCTGCCCAACATGGTGAAACCCCGTCTCTACTAAAAATACAAAAATTAGCTGGGCGTGGTGGTGCGCGTCTGTAGTCCTAGCTATTTGGGAGACTGAGGCAGAAGAATTGCTTGAACCCGGGAGTTGGAGGTTGCAGTGAGCCAAGATAATGCCATTGCACTCCAGTTGGGTGACAGAGCAAGATTACATCTCAAAAAAAAAAAAAGCAAAGACAAAGAAAAAAAGTCCCAGCATAATCTGAATTTCCCAGATCTTGAATCCCGTCTGGGTTAAATTTTGTTCCCTAGGAAAGGTATGTATGTGTGTATGTGTGTGTGTATGAGTGTCTTTGCGTGGTAATGGGAAAGTACCCTATTTAGTAAAACACATTCAATGGATTGAACTAGCCAGTTTTATCAGCAGAGAGAAAAATGCCTTTTTTAACTTCAGGGTCAGGATAGGCAGGGTACTCTAGAAGAAAGAGTACAGACTTTGATACCAGATGAAAGGTTGTAAACCCATCATCTGCAAGGAACAGGCAGGTATTGTCAATGAGTGATGCAGGCAGATGAAGGACAATAAGGAGCAGTGGAAAGTAAGGTGAGGAAGAGCACCCCCATGTCCTGTCTATAAGGGCAGCTGTTCTTTGGTTGTAGTTAGTTGTTGCCTTTCCAAGAATGCAGCCAAAATTACCAGATCATCCATTTTCTCAAGAGAATTTAGATATCTGTATTTTAAAGTAAAATTCCCTGACTTGTAAAAACACTGTGTAGGCCAAAGAAAAGTACATCTTCAGGCTAGATTTAGCCAGTAGACCACCAATTTGTGACCCTTAAGTTAGTGAGACTGAGTCTGAATCCTGGCCCTTACTCCCCATGTTTCTCTGGGTAAGTGAGATAATCTCCTCTGTTCCTTTGTCAGTGAAGTGTGGGCAGTGATGCCAACTTTATTGGGTGTTGCAAGGATCAGGAAACGCAAAAGCACCTAGCACAGCTCCCGGTGCCTGGTAGCTCTCTGTTGTTTCTACATAGTACCCTCCATGTGGGACCTGCAAACCCATGATTTTCCTGAGTGTCTGCTTGTGAGTGGCTGTCTGCAACTACAAGGACTCAAGAGTCCTTTCTGCCCTGTGTTACTCTTGGTGGCTTAAAAGCTGCTCTCTGTGGGCTCTTAGCTCCCTTTTGCCTTTTCCCCTTAGAGTGATTTCCAGTTCGATGAGAATCCAAAGGCCCCATTGATTGTCCTTCCTTTCAGGTTTGCCCTGACCTCATCACTATAGGTCTAGAGGAAGTTCCTGGTGTTCCTGGGCTGACAGTGGGATCCAGTTTGGACATGATGAAATTTCTACAGATGGAGTTGGATACTTTTTTTTTTTTTTTGGAGGATGGGTACTAGCAAGAAGTCTCCCAAAAGATCTTATTTATTGATTACCCAGGCTGGTCTTGAATTCCTGGGCTCAAGCAATCCCCTGCTTCAGCCTCCTGAGTAGCTGGAGCTATAGATGTGCACCACCATGGCCAGGAAATATTTTAATATCTTAAGAGGAGTCAAGAAACTTTAACAATACATCTCAACCCTAGATGAAGTTCTTACTCTGAGGGTGGTTTTCACGTAATCTGCATAGAGCAAGGCAAACAAATAATGATCTTTATTTTAATTTGCAGTTTCATTACTTTAGCAATTATTAAGGGTTGATGTCTTTGCTTTCTGATGCTAGTAACATTTTGTGCCAGATAATTCTTTGTAATGGGGTCGGGGGCTGCCTTGTACAAAATCACTTCCCCCACTTCCCCCACTCCCAGTTGAGAACCACTGTTCTAGATGCATTTCTGGGTATGGTGAGGACCCTGAGCCCCTCAGAGGTGAGTGATTTGCCTAAGACCATGGGGAGGGGATAGGGCTGTGGCAGGAACGCAGGTCTTCTGCGACCTCAGTCCAGGGTTCTGTCCATGCTGCCACTGCTAGGATTTCAGTCGCATTGCGCCTCCAATCCTGTTTAATATTATAGTCTTCAGGGTCTTAAGTAAAAGTGTTATTCTATTAAGAAGTCAAAGCTTTTTGGCGAGTTTTAGAGTTTTCAGTGAAAGAGGAAATTATTAAAATTCTTGGCTCACGATTGCCATGGGTGAGTCATCTCCAAATTCTAGCAGTCTATAATGATTTGTTCCTGATAACAGTTAACATTGATTTACTATTTTGTCCACCTGCTTTCATCTGTCCTGTGCTACCCGATCCATGACACCGTGCAGTGGTAGGTTTGGATGCTTACCTTAGACGAATAGATGGTTAGTGGGGTTTGTGATGATGGCAGCAAGGAGACATTGAACTCCTCTGGGACATCAGTGATGGTTGGAATTTTGTACTCATCTGGGCTCCGAGAGTACAGGACACCTTCTGGGGAATATTTCAGTTCTTCAGTGGTATAAAGCCCCATTCCCTGAATAAACAAACCTTCAATCTGGAGGGGGACAATTTCAAGCTTTGTGACATTGTGTCATTTTTAGAAGGCCTTTACCTACCCTGAAATGACTCCCAGGAAGGGGCATCTGCCCAGATGGGCCAGCACCTACCTGCCCAATATCAATGGCTGGATTTAGGCTGCAACATGCATCCATGATGATGTCCGTTCTGATTTTCTGCCCAAAATAAAAATTACCTCACCATAAAAATTTGAATTAAAAGTATCATTTTCAGGTATACTCAAATGATCTCCAGTTTTTCCAGAACTCCTGCTGGCTAATTAACACTGCATTGAACCCTGTCAACATTAGAGCTGTTAAGATGCCTGCTGAACTCTTCAAATTTAGTGCCAGGACTGTCCATGACCCTGGAAGATCTTGTACATTCATGGTTTTGACTCCTCTTAAGTGACTCCAAAGTCCATGACATGCTAGTGTGTCTGAGTGAGTCACTTGGTAAATAATTGTTGTGCCTGGTTGTTCATCTGATTCTCAACCTGAATTTGTTGTTGGAATATAATTTATGAGCTCATGTAGTCCTCATGATAATCTGTGGCAGGTGGTACTATTGCCATTTTACTGTGAAAATCCTAGAGCCATACTGGCATGTATGAGTTTGTGGATTTGCAAGATCTTGGAAGGTATTCATGGCAAATGTTGAGACCACCTTTGATTTGCTAATCTACTTCCTTCTCTGAGAAGCATCACATGAATCTGGCCCTTGTTTTGGCACTGGGCATGGGCCTGCAGGTTATTAAGGAGCCACTAAAAGCCCCTAAGTGCCTGTGGCCTATCTCCGGAGTGTCTCAGGGCTTCCCTTCTGCCCCCCATTTCCCAGTGCTTGCTCTGACAAGATCATCATTCTCTGTTTGGGCTCAATACCTGGGCTCCTACTTTCTATCTAGCCTTTTGGACTTGGCAATTCTCTTTTGACTCAAACCTTGGCCTCTTGGACAACCTACTCTGGGCATTGGGACCAGCCTTCATCTATCCTCAACCTGGATAGGGAGGGAGATTGGACACACCTCAGAGTGGGCCTTCAGTTTACTTCTACCTTGAAACCTGGTGTGTTTTGCACTATAAGTGCTGGACAGTGGAAAGAGATGGCTGTGCACTAACACTGAGTTGATGGATGATTTAGTTCACCAACCACAAATGGCCAGCTGCAACAGGCCTGTCACTGAATTTCTCTGATTTCTCTTTAGTTAAAAGAAGTTTTGCCTCTTTAAGAAATAAACTATTTTAAGGGATCAAAGTGATACTGAAATTATTGAACCTTAAACTGTAAATGTAAACTGAAAGGCACAGAAAAGACCACATTTTGACTTTTCTAGCATCATAAATTCTGGAAGATCCTCATAAGTTTCATATCTTTAGGGATTTATTCCAAGGCCCTTGGGTAAAATTGCATCCTTTATAATGCAAGTTGTTAATTTTGGGTTAAGTATGATTCCCTGTCTCCAATGTGTGGTTTCTTGGCTGTTCAATTAAATAGAAAATGTAACAATTATTTTAATACCTCTCTTCCCCCAAAATCTGTTCCAGTAATACTTTTTGGATAATTGACTTTGGAGAAACAGCACATTGCTATGTGCTTTCAAAATGTTTGCTCAAGACTATTTACTAAGTTAGTTATTCCTTCAGATTAGAAAATGTGTTTTTTCTTTATAAATAGAAGCTTTTTTGGGGGAGAAATCTTGGAAAGTGATTTTGTTGTCTAAATGAAATAAGAAATTTAATACATTTTAGACTGTCATCAGCAATTCATTTTTGACTACTATATTGTCTTTTTAAGTGGAAATTCAGGATAAGGCTAGATCTCTGGACCCTCCCATGGAATTGAAAGAATCTTGTTCTTGTTATAAGAGAATTACATAATGGAATTGGGCTATTTACTATACAACACACTTTTGTTGTTTTGATTTGCCAAGAGGAAAGTTAGACTTGACTTACCTTGTGAGCACCTGTCAGGCAGTCAATTTCAACCTCAGAACAGGCAGCTCTGCAGACATAGTAAGGAAATGGGTCCCCCACCCCCTTCTCCCAGTCCATGAAGGCCTTGTAGCCCCTGACGGAAGAAATAAAGCCTTTTAGCTTGAGCTGGGGAGATAGAATGTTGATTTATTTTAAAAGTTACCAAGGTTTTATGGTAGTGTTTCGTTTTCTTTTTTTGCCAGGGAGGGCACAAATACAGTCTCCCATTATCATAAATTATGCAGTTGAGTTTCCTACATTTGGGGAAATCACAGGGGTCAGCATTTCTGGAGTAAAATAGGTAAGATAAGCCTCACTCTAGGAAAACCACCTTCAGAATCACAGTATCTCCCCTGCCAGGTAAGTACAGCATTTCATTTGATTTATGTTCATTTCAATTGCCTTTTAAACTCATTTAAAGAGGACATTCCTTGTGCCACAGTTAGGATGTCAAAAAGAGGGAGAAGCCAATAGATTGTTTGGGACCGGACCTCACAGTGTGCCTGTATCTTGACCACAAAGGATTTGAGCTTTAGCCTGCCTGCCCACTGAGAACCTCAGTTGAATTTTATCAGTAGTCCCCCTGGGACCACTCTTCCCAAAGGGACCCCATGGATAGTGCTAACCAAACTCACAGGGAGCTGATGGTAATTCAGGGTTGGTAAAAAAGGACTGGTAATTCAATGCATTAATTTATAATAGAAGATATATTCAGATAGAGGGCTGGTTTGCTCTCTTCTTAGGTAACTGAACTTAGGAATTTAGAACTCATTAGGTACAAGGCTCTAGGCTGGGCTGTTACCTCCTTATTTCCTCATTCTTCATGAGGATTTGCTTTACTGTTCTCTGTGTGTGTGTGTGTGTGTGTATCTATTGTTTGGTGGTTTGTTTCATTAGACTGTAAAACTAATGTCACATGCTTTTTGAATTTGACAATGACTGGTGATTATCATCCACCCATTCTCCCTTGTCTAGTACGGAGCTTCAAAATAGACAGGTTTTATGGTAAAAGGAGGGAGATTTGTAAAATTGAGATGCAAGTCATTTCTAATGATAATATATTTTTACTATTCATGATAAAGAATAGTAAATAATGATTAGATATTGTAAGTAATGATTAAATAAATAGTAAATAATGATTATAAGGATTAGCTGTTGTAAGTCAAGCATCTAATTTTTTTCCCCAATAAGGGTGTTTTATTGTTTAATTTTTTTTTTGGACATAACTGAAAGGCCTATGTGAAATCATAGAATTTTGGGCCTAGAAGGGACCTCAGCAATCATACAATAAAAATGTATTTTACAAATGAGGGACCTGCGGCCCAGAGTTGAGGCAGCATAGATAGTCAAGAAAGTGACCACGTTCTCTGGACGCAGCACCAGCACTGTGGTGACGGCACAATCAACACGAAAGCTTCAGCATTTCCATTGTAATCGCACTCATTCAAACAAAGTTATCTTCAGTAGGGAATTTCCCCTGTAGAGGGCATGCACACTTTGATTTTACCTGTCCTCAGGTAAAATCAAATTATTTTAATAGTAAAAAACACACCTCTGGGTGGAGATTTAAGATACTAATGAGACATGTGATGTATGAACACGCATGTACAGCTGCACATGTGCACCCAGAAGACCATCCAGAACGTGCTTACTAGTAACACCTCTTCCCACCAATATGAATAATCATGTAAGATCCCCATAAAGGGAGCGTCCGCAATACCAGTTTTTGCTGTCTCATCCTTACGGACAGCCTGCCCTGAATTCTCTCTCAGGGTGTACTGTCTACTCTGCACCTCATTTTCAAAATATTCTTTTTTTTTTTTTGCAATAAATTACTCTATGCTGCACATCTTTTGCTGTGTGTCTCTTTTTGTTGTTGTTGTTGTTTTGCTTTGCTGTGTCTCTTGTTTAAATTCTTTTAAACTAAGACGACAAGAACCAAAGTATTACAACAGCCATCAACAGTGATTGAGTTACCTCTTATTTTCTTAGCTACGTCAAGATATTATTGTGATGTTTACCTGAAGTATCCAGTGGCTGAGAGACTGATTCTTTGTTCAAATGCAGCTTCTATCTGCAGAATGGGCATATTTAGTTAAAGCGAAACAAATATACCATCTGCTAGGTGAAAACAGAAATGTCCAATCTAAAATTGACATCTCATAATTGTTGCTGGTGCTTTGCTACCAATAATAGAACTCGTCATCATATTATTTTTCCTTAATTGGCACACTAACAATTTCCTTCTGATTGAGTTTAGAAGTCTGGATTGAACAAACATAAAATAGAATCCTGCTGCACATCCATGAGATAGGGACTCAGTGCACAAGGTATTTGGACTTCATTTCTAAATGTTAGAACTTTACAGTAAGCGTGTGTGTAAATGTGAAATAATTGCTCCAATGAAAAAAGTCACAGGATATTGTAAAGTTGGATTAACTTAGTCATCTCCTTTGAGCCATATTCAAGAGCAAATAGGCCTTTTAGTTTTCCTCCTAACCTACCCAAAACATCGTGCTTGCATGTGTGTGTGTGTATGTGTGTGTGTGTGGCTTAGGAAGGCTCATTCTTTTCCTCTTATTTCTTACTTGAGCAGAGTGTATTCTTCATACACTTCTATTTCTCCTTCTAGTGATTGCTGTTTCCTGTGTGCTTTCTCCATACACACCTGGTATACATCCTGGAGTAGCCTTCTCAACCTTTAGAGATCCTGCCTATTTGCAGAAATCCATTCAACTGGGGAAGAAACAGGGGGCATGCTCCATCACTGTGACACTTAGAGGAACTGTCTCTGTGTGTGATGGCTGTGCATGCTGTGGTGCTGTCTGAGTACTGGTTTACATTGTTTTCTCATTTCAAAGGGAGTGGAACACTTACCCAGTCTTCCCATTTACCTTCCGGATGTTTCTTAATGATGGGCTCAAGGCGTTTCAGAAGGATCTGACAAGCATTCTTGAAGTAGTAAAGAATGGAATCCACATTAGAGAAGAGCCCAGTGGTTCTGGTGGTTACCATTTGTGTGAACAAATGTTCACTGATTAGGTCAGCAAGTGCTATGGAGTGCGTGATCCTGAAAAATCGGTAACACAACTCCTGCCCTTGATAACAGTATCAGTTACTGGAGGTTATTTTTTCCCCTTCTTGGCTCACTTCCTGTGAAAATATGGGTTCAGCTGAATTTCTACTCTCAGAACCTCTTTCTTAGAATATTCAGGTTCTTAACTTCTCTCTCTCTCTCTCTTTTCTTTTGGTTTGTTTTTTTGAGACAGGGTCTCACTCTGTCAACCAGGCTGGAGTGCAGTGGCACCATCTTGGCTCACTGCAACTTCAACATCTGGGCTCAAGCAATCTTTCCACCTCAGTCTCTTGAGTAACTGGGACTCCAGGCACTCACCACCAAGCCTGGCTGATTTTTGTCTTCTTTGTAGAGATAGAGTTTCACCATGTTGACCAGGATGGTCTTGAACTCCTGAGCTCGAGCCATCTGCCTACTTCAGCCTCCCAAAGTGCTAGGATTACAGGCATGAGCCACTGTGCCTGGCCTTTAGCATTTTTTTCCTACATCTTTTGTATATTTGTATATTTCTTTTTTTTTTTTTTTGAGATGGAGTCTTGCTCTGTCGCCAGGCTGGAGTGTAGTGGCACGATCTCAGCTCATTGCAACCTGGGTTCAAGTGATTCCCCTGCCTCAGCCTCCCAAGTAGCTGGGACTACAGGCGCGCAGTACCATGCCTGGCTAATTTTTTGTATTTTAGTAGAGGCGAGGTTTCACCATGTTGGGCAGGATGGTCTCGATTTCCTGACCTCGTGATCTGCCCACCTTGACCTTCCAAAGTGCTGGGATTACGGCGTGAGCCACTGCACCCGACCATTTCTTTTGTATTTTATGGCTATTAAAATAAATGGAATAAACATCCTATTTTCATTAAAATTTGTGCTTTCCAGTCTGTAACAATGACATGCCAGAATCCCCCTGTGTCTGATCTCTCCCTCCATCTGTTCATTCGACCACCATCAAACTACTACAACAAAGTCCTTGGCTTTGGGTATGAAATGAGAAAACAATTAAATTTACTTTATAATGACCTAGACCACAAATTTTCTGATCTTTAACAGAAACCTAAAACTTAATACTCTAGAAGATGGATTGACACTTATTTTGGGCTGACAACTCCCATACACTCTGAGCTGTTCCTCTCTTGTGTTTGACCCTACTCCAAATTAGATCTCATGCATTTGAGGTTTCTTACACATTTGTTCTGAGCAAAAAAGAGTGTTTGCTTTTTGATTCCTTAAGAGGTATCACCACAAAATTAGGACTGATTTGAAAGGGGTTCCTGTTGGTGGTATCATTGCAGCATTCTGGGAAAATATGGCTCACCACAATATCCCAGTGGAAAAGTGAACAGTTTGCAACAGAAACATGACAAATAGATATATTTCAAAAGTACATGCAATCAGATATTTGAATTAAGGAATATGAAGTCATGATTCTATTCTGAGACAGTGAAAATTTAGCAATTTAAAAAAATTCAGTTAAAAAAATAAGTACAAAGAAAAGCTCTAAGTACTCGGTAGAATACCACTGAAGACAATGCTTCTATTGCACCCTGTCTCCTTGGCTGGGGTCTGCCTGCCTATCTGCCTGCAAGCACTTGTTTATGCTGGAGGAAACTTGCACAGCTCTGCATTACTTGGTAGCCAAATTTCTTCTTGCTGTGTCTCCTAGGAACAGAGACTGCCTGTTCACCAAAATCCATTCTCTCCTTCTTCCATAGCAGCTGGACATACGGTTTCCCACTATTCTACATTTCCCAACCTCCGTTGCAGTTAGACATAGCCCGAAACTGGTTCTGCTAATGGACTGTGTGTGGAAATGACTTGCATCACTTCCAGATCTGGCTCAGAGTCTTCCACACCGGCTCCTCCATGCTCACTGGAATGATGACACCCAGGGCAACTTGGCACACCACATGTTGAAGATGGTGGAGCCTCCATCAATTTGGGTGCTCGAATGACCAAACAATGCTCGGGACTGATATGTGTACAAGAAAGGGACTTTTACTGTGTTTGAGCCTTTACATTTTGGGTCTGTCATCTCAATTTAGCCTACTCCAAATACACTCTCCCAACATTTTAATTACCTCAGACTATGTGTAGTGACACAGATGACTTCTCTGAAGTCAACTATTGTACCTGTATCTAGTCATAAAAACCAGGGATGTGGGAGAGGCACACCAAGGAGAGACAGGAAGACTCACCTGCACAGCTCTGCCGTTGACATCTGCACCGATAGACGCTGCTGTAGCAATTGTATTGGGCACTGTTGCTGTGCTCGTTTCACAGATGTGCATATAGGACATGGGTATTTTTAGCTCATGGCTGGCCACCTATGAGAAACATAAATATTTTCAAGTCCAGCAAGGACTTCTATGAAGATTTGAATCATTATTTTTCTTAATAAAAATTATTTGTTATTACATCCATGGTACCCTTTTAAGACTAAAATAATGTACTTTATAAGCATCAAAACTACTTTTTTTGTAAGGCCTCATGCTCATTTTTACAGCGTTTTCTTGGTAATATTCCACAGTGGTTCTTTTCAAATTGAGTCCGTTTAGAATGTTAAGAATTTCCTTTTTTCTAAGTTTTAGATGTGTAGGAAGTAGGCCAAATTGAGATTTTCAGGCACTTATTTGGTTCAGTGGCAGGAAGAAAAAGAGGGATGGAGGGAGAGAGAGAGAGAGAGGAAGAGAGAGAGAGAGAGAAAGAGGGGAGACTGAGATGAGACTGGCTCAGAATTTGGTCTGAAATCTTTCGATATCAGTATCAGATGAACTTGGAATGACCCTGAGGACCTTTTTCTTGCTCTTATCCTCCCCCTCTGTTTTCTATTTGTTTTCCCTTGCTTATATTCCTCCAGTATTTGCTGTTCATTTTTTCTGGTTCTTAAAAATAATTTTTAAAAGATTATTATTATTATTTTAGAGATGGGGTCTCACTGTGTTGTCCAGGCTGATCTTGAACTCCTGGACTCAAGTGATCCTCCTGCTTCAGCCTCCTGAGTAGCTGGGACTAC
This sequence comes from Homo sapiens, assembly GCF_000001405.40. NCBI lineage: Eukaryota > Metazoa > Chordata > Mammalia > Primates > Hominidae > Homo > Homo sapiens. The sequence continues at coordinate 200,769,872 of NC_000002.12, read as the reverse complement.
AGGTGCATGCCACTGCACCTGGCTTCTTTTCTGCTCTTTTCCTTCCAGTTTCTCTAGCAAACACATGTGGAGATGAAGATATTTAATCAAGAAATGACAAGGAAAGAGATGAAAAAGAAGAAAGGGAAAGGAAAAAACATTATTTTGGCTTCTCTTGTCTTTTTGTGTTTGCAAAAAACACCTTCTCATGATATCCCGTTCTCAAATGCTAATCTTCTGACTAATGTCATTCAATATGAAGTTTCTCCAGAAAGAAGCAAAATGAAAAAAAGGGATGACTTTGTTGTTTCTGGGTGGTGAAAATCCAAAGGGAATTTGTTGGTTCATATAACTGGGCAGGATAGATGGAGCTAGTGTGAAGTACATGTGTATCTAGGGGCTTTGTGGTCTCGTCAGGGTCTCCTCTCAGCCTCTCACATTTGCTTTTCTTTCTATGATGGCCGGTTCCATCCATGGCACAGAACTGCCTGTGGCAGCCCCTGCCCTATAGTATAGTACCTAAACAGCCACAGGGGAAAGATGGCTCCTTTCTCCCAGCATCTACACGTCAGTCCCAGGAAAGGCTCTGAGTGGCCTTGCTTGAATCATGTGTCCTTTCCCAGAGTCAGTGGGATTCCGGAACCCTGACTGACCAGAGGCGGGTCTTGTGCCTATATCTGCAGCAGGCGTGGGAGTAAGGATGGGGATGGAGCTGAAAGGTACCCAAATTGAGGAGTCTTTCAGGAATATATGGCATGTGAGAGGTACAGTACTCCAAATGAGCTAAGGGGCTGGATAGTCAAAAGCTACAGATGTGCGCTATAGAAATCTAATGCGCTATAGAAATCTAATACATTTGTCACAGGGTTATTTAAAGAATTATTCTTGTTTTTCTCCTGAGATTATATTCGTACTAATTGGTGTGTATGTATGTGTGTTAAATATCTTATAAAAATTGTAGGATGATGGCAGTTGATGAAATACTTGTTCTTACTTGTCAAAATAAAACATTAGCAACCTAATATTGTTGTCTAAAATGTAAACATTAAAACTAGCTGAGAAACTCCTGCTCCTGGTTGCCTGCTTGGATCTCCCACCACAGGGCTCCATGGGTTTCTTAGTGGCGTTTTCACTAATGATCACCCCATCCATGAACCCTGGCCAAGCTCCAGGACTGTCTGCATACACGTGGGATTTCTGCCACCTCAGCCATTCTACATTCTATTTGATATGTAAGAAGCCGTCCAACTAAATAGTCAAGATCTCAGTGTTTGAATACAGGGAGTCAACATTTACCCTAATAGATGAATCCTAACTTTCAACAATGTATATAGAGAATAATGGTTTAATTTTATTTATTTTACCTGTAGCATTTTGGTGTGAATACCTTGTCCCAGTTCATTGCTTCCATGTGTGACCAACACAGACCCATCTGTGTAGATATGAACCAGTGCAGCTGCCTAGTAAAAGAATCCGGAAGGCATAGCTCAGTGCAAGTTAGCATTTGGTGAGGTTCAATATAAAACACAAGGTAGTGAAACACCAGTCTTAGGGAGTGGAGGGGGTCAGAGAAGCAAACTTTCCTGGTGGGATGCTGAAGCTTAGTTCTGTTTTGTGCAAAAAGTCGCTTGTAAAGAACATTCCTCCTGGTTTTCATAGGAGCCCCTTTGGATACCTCAGGAGTTGAGAGCGTTGGTTCCAATTGTTTGAAAGTCACTCTCATGCTTAAAATCACTGGCTGACCATTAAGCTAGTTATTTAAATGTTTTAGGTACTTGCACATAGTGTGTACCAAGTGTGCTCAGCTCCAGATACATAAAGATGAACAAGACATGGCTCTTCTTCAAGCTGCTCACAATGTGGTGGAAAGGCAGGCTGGAGATCAAGTCACTGTAGTGTAGGATGATCAGTGAGATAATGAGAGTGGCATAGGGGGCCCTGGGAGACCTGGGAGGACAGGTGCAACTCCTGTGCTGCTCAGGGATGACAAGTGACAACAGAACAGAATCACAGACCGAAGAAGGCTTTGCCATGGGCAAGGTGGGCAAACCCCCCACAGCCTGTAAGGGAAAGCTCGGCTCCTTATTCCACTAGGAGGTCCTGTCGGATTTGGTCTCTTGTACAGTCCCTGTCGCCCCCTGCCTTGCCTCTGAGTCTGGCCCCACTGCAGCTCCTTTCTGGCCTGTGCTCCTTGCTTCTGTCCAATCTCTTGTCCTGGCCGGCTTCTCCTCCTGTTCCTTACCTGTCTGCACAGCCTGCAGGGCCACGCCCTGCAGTCTATGTTCTGTTAAAACTTCCTCACTTGGCTGGATGCGGCGACTCACGCCTGTACTCATCCCCATCTGGGAAGGATCAATCACCTCCTTCTTTGTACTTCTCCTTACAGGAATACTGGGTTGAAGAATGTCCCTCCCCTGCCCCCTAAAATTCATGTCTGTCTGAAACCTCAACATGGAACTTTATGTAGTCTTTGCAGATGCAACTACTTAAGATAAAATCATACTGGATTGTGCGGGCCCTAAACTCAATGACTGGTGTCCTTGTAAGAGGGCCATGGAAGATGGAGGCAGCAGCGACTGGAGTTATGTTGCCACAAGCCAGGTAATACCAGGAGCCACCAGAAGCTGGAAAAGCAAGGGAAGATCCTTCCCTGAAGCCTTCAGAGGCAGCACGGCCCTGCTGACCCCTTGAGTTTGAACTTCAGGCCTCCAGAATTGTGAGAGAATAAATTTGTTGTTTTTGAATCACCCAGTTTGTGGTACTTTGTAAGAGCAGCCACAGGTAAGGAATCCTGGAGGTAAGAGGCTCTTCTCTGAGTGTTGCCATGGAGAGACACCTGGTCTTAACTCATCTTTGTGTCCCGTAAATACCTCTGAGCAGGTCCTGGCCTTGAGTGGTAGCTCATGCCTGTAATCCCAGCACTTTGGGAGGCCAAGGCGGGTGGATCAGCTGGGGTCAGGAGTTCAAGACCAGCCTGACCAACATGGTGAAACCCCGACTCTACTAAAAAAGCAAAAATTAGCCAGGCGTGGTGGCAGGTGCCTGTAATCCCAGCTACTTGGGAGCCTGAGGCAGGAGAATTGCTTGAACCTGGGAGGCGGAGGTTACAGTGAGCAGAAATTGTGCCATTGTACTCCAGCCTCCAGCCTGGGTGACAAGAGCAAAACTCTGTCTAAAAAAAAAAAAAAAAAATCACAGGGACACTACATCAATGTTTGATAAACTGGACAAAGGGAAAGGTGGTATTTTTTTCTTTCCAGGAGAAGGAGGAACGAAGGCTTCAGCCCATTTGTGTCTCGAGATGCCTGGAGGCCCAGGGTTGGCTCAGAGGGGCTTGGGAGCATCAAGGCTTGTAGCTGCTAATAATAGGATTTACTCACCATGGGTCTTTTGACTCCCACTGAGGACAGAGCTCTCACTGCCAATTTAGAGGGTAGGTGTTCCAGCTTTGTGAGTCATCAGCTGACCTGGAATAACACCCTTCTATTCCTAGCCAGGTGATTCTAGGGTGCCTCAATTTAGAACTCTGTGGAGCAGCTGGAGGATATTCAAATGGAGACTTAAAATCATTGCTTGATTTGAAGGTTTTCTTTGTGATGAGATGAGATGTTTGTTCCCATGGATGATGGTAGAGCGTAGGCTGTGGTTTAGATGCGGTGTGGCCGTACAGGTGAAGGGAAGTGTGTTATAATAAAAAGTAAATATTTGATCTTTGCCCCTGGTTCTTGGTTCAGAGTTCGTAAAGCCTTGGAATTTACTGTTTTATTCTCCTAATGAGACGACTCATGAGGAGGGCTTAGGTAGCTTTAGGATGGGGGCTTGGAGGCGGTGTGCATTGGTCTTTCAGTCCTCCTCCCCATCTTCTTGGGAGGGGGGCTAGAGATTGAGTTCAATCATTAATGGCCAATGCTGTAATCAATCATGCCTGTATAGTGGAACCTCCATAAAAACCCCAAATGATGCAGTCTGGGGGCTCCTGGGTTGGTGAACATGTGGAGGTGCTGGGAGGGTGTGTGCCTGGAGAGGTCAGGGAAGCTCTGTCCCCTTCCCATCCCTTGCCCCAGGCAGCTCTTCCATCTGGCTGTTCCTGAGTCATATCCTTCACAGTAAACTGGTAATAATCATAAGTAAAGTGCTTTCCTGAGTTCCATGAGTCATTCTAGCAAATTATCAAACCTGAATGGGGGTAGTGAAAACCTCCAAATTAGTAGTCGGCCAGGCAGGAGTGTGAGTAGCTAGGGCCCTCCATTTGAAGCTGGTGTCTGAAATAGGGGCGGTCTTGTGGGACTCAGCCCTTGATCTGTGGAGTCTGCACTAACTCTGGTAGTTAGTGTGAGAACAGAATGGTTGGACACCCACTTGGTGTTGGAGTTGGTTTGGAAAAGACAATATTTGGCATCAGAGAGGAAACCACACAGGCAGCTCTCAAGTTTCTCTGATGTCACAGCCTTTGATTGCATCTAGCTTGCAGACATGACAGTTAACCTTCTTGTGCCTGTTTATAGAAGGGGCATGCTGGGCCTGAACATGTGACCCAGAGGTTCAGGGGGTCTCATCCTACCCACCAGAGGAGGAGGAGCCCTGAGAGGTGTGTCTGAGCTGTCCTGGGAGGGGCCTAGTGATGCTCTGGATGACATCCACAGTGTTCCAGGAACCCAGCCAAGTGCTGCTCTACATTCACTATCTTACTGAGTCCTCATCAATCTTAAGACAGAGTTATTGTTATTACTATTATTGTTATTATCACTGGGAAAGCTGAGGCTCAGAGATGTTGAATAATTTAATGTTGCACAGCTGGTCAATACAGAGCCGAGGATTTCTCAGGTCTTCCTGACTTCAGTTGATTAGGGATTTGTTTCCCAAGAAGGAAACAAATACTGCACTGTATTAAAAATGCTTGCAGATAGGGGTGCTGCTCTGGACAGTTCTGTATATTTCTCTTAGGTGTTGGCAGGGAGGAGCTCAATGCTCTAAGAAATGAGATATTTTTCAAAGTCCACAAAAGCTGATTGGGCCAGGAGTGTGTCTAGCATGAAGGTTATTTATCCTATATGCAAGTCTTACCTGATGGTAGCTTGTTGCAGCAAAGCCAACTGAAAACTTCATGGGAATAATAGCAATGCCTTTCTTCTTCCAATAATTCTTCTTATTGAACTCTTCGACTTGCATTCTTCTGCTGTGAAAGGAAGACTTGTCTAGACACTCATTCCAACATCTTATCAGGGTCTCAGGGTTGAATGCTTGTTTGTAGATGGTTTTATCTACATATCTGTAGATATGTTTATCTACATATCTGTAGATATGTTTATCTACATATCTGTAGATATGTTTTGTACATATTTTTCTCTCTAATCTGAAACAGGTGGGAAATTCAGTAGTTATGGTAAGGCAGAAACTGATGGCCAAATAGAGACTTGAAAAACCTCTCCACGAAAGCACAAGCTGTAGAGAAGGGAAGACAGGGTCTGTTTTTTCTTTGAATGGTACATGCTTTTGCAAAAATAGTAGAGGTTATTTTTACCTCTTCATCAATGCACCAGTTAGGGTCTCTCCTTACTAGAAGTGGAAGGTAGCAGGTGGAGACTATTCCATGAAAGGCAGTGGGATGTAGGGGCCTAGGGAGGTAGATTTTTCTTTTCTTTTTATTCTACAAGGTTCAGAGGATGGAGCAGAGCTGGTGGGCAGTACACTAAAGCAAGGATTCATTGTCATAACTGAAGATTTGTCCTGCCAGGGAGGAATAGCATTGCAAATAATAGCAGATCCCCTCTAAGTCTTTTAATTGCCTTTGGAATGTATGGGTAAATCTTTTAAGCAGTTTCTTTGGGCCTCGTGTGGTGGCTGACACCTGTAATCCTAGCACTTTGGGAGACCGAGGCAGGAGGATCACTTAAGCTCAGGAGTTCAAGACCAGCCTGGGCAACGTAGTGAGACCTCATCTCTAAAAGAAAGAAAGAAAAAAAAAAACGGCTTATTTGAATAAGGTGTGTTTTATGTTATATGTCCTGGAAACTTGCAACACTTGACAAAGGAGAGCCTGCTGAGATTTGCCTAGAAGTTTTTTTTAAATCATCTCCATTTTATTCTAATCACAGTAAAAGAATTATTATTATTGGCAACAACGTTGGAATAATACTATCCAGTTTATAAAACAAATATTGTAATGAATGTTAAATTATTTGATTCTTGCAGGAACTCTGTGAGGTGAGTCATTTATAGATAAGGAAACTGAACTACACAGACATTGACACTCTTGCTCATGCTGTTCTACTTGCCTAGATCACCTTTCCAACATCTGTGCCAATTATTCTTCAAGGCCTATCTCAAGTGCCATCTTCTCCAGAAAGTCCTTCCTGGTTCCCCTCTCCCCATGCCAACGTGATGCCTTCCTTCTCTGGTACCCGTGGAACACTGTACGTGACTTCTCTTAGGATAACTACTGCCTTCCTTGTACAAAATATTAGGTGTTCTCTTGTTTGTAGGAAGTACCCCGACAATCACAAACCTGGAATTCCTGTTGAATTTAGGGACAAAGCAGTTCTAGGGACAATACATAGGAGAGTTCTTGCTGGAGTAGGGGGTCTATATTGGGGAAACAGGGGACAGAAATGGAAAAGGTAGGGTGGGCTCTGATTGGAATGTGTGGGGAGTGGAAGCAAGTTATTGACCATGATCTCAATTCCAGAAGCTGCCTCCCTCTAGTCCAGCATACTGTACATCCTGTGCACCTTCTGGTCTATTGTGAAAAACAGTATTTTCAGAGGGTGTTCTTCTGGCAGTATTTCTTAAAAGTTTTCAAGTGCACCAGTAATTCCACTTCTGTAAATTTATCCTAAAGATAAATAAGGCAAACATATACCTGGGTACATATGTACCAAGATGTTTATTGTAACATCATTTTAATGGCCAAAAATGGTAACAGCCAGAATGTATATTAATAGTGGAGTGGTTAAATAAGTTATGGTACGTGCACATTACATAGTACTATTCAGTCATGAAAAAGAATGAAGCAGACCATTCTACTGACATAGAAAGATGGCCATGGCATACTGTCCTGTAGGAGAAGGAAGGGGCAGAGTAATATGTATGCTATGGTCCCATTCTGGTAAATAACCATACGTGTGCACATATATGTTATATGTCAATGTTTAGGTATGTGTGTATGAATACAAATGGGTGGCCAAAGATAGAAAAAGGGGTAGAACAATAAACATGGAATTGTTAACAATGATTACCCTTGACCAAGAGGGATGGGGGTGGAAAAAGGGGCATTCCCTTTTTTTGATTACTTCGGTGTGGTTTGAATTTTAAGTAGAGTAATTATTTTGGTACAAATGAAAAAAAAGAGATGTTTGCGTAAGTAAGGAAGGAGGAAGATAGGGTGAGGTGAGTTTTTTTAGGTAGCTTTTAATTCACTTTGAATTCTGAGCCAGGGCTAATTCATGTGGTTCTTCTAGTGTGTTTCCTTGGGTCAAAGAAGCTGGGTTTCCCAGTCTGGTTCATCAGCAACTTTGGTTATGGCCTTTGTTGCAACCTTACCTTTTCTGGTGGAAGGCCACATTTGGCTGCCACAGCTGTGATGCAAGATTCTGTTACTAGGGCTCCTTGTGGGAAGCCAAATCCACGAAAGGCCGTATTGGATGGTAAATTTGTCATGCATGCACGGCCCTGGAACCTGAACAGGTTGCGAATTTTATATGCATTTTCCAGCTTTAGTATTAGAAATTCTGTTACCTAAAAAGGGATATTCACATTTATCATCACTTTTTTTTTCTTTTCTCTGAAAGTCAAGTACAGAGTCAAACGGCTTGTAGAATTTAACTACATTAGGAAATAAACTTCATAAAGAGTCATCTAGAAATTTGGCATTCTACTCATGGTCAAGCACGTTGCTGCTTTCTGGTGTACGTACCAGCTCAGAGTCATCCAGCGTGCATCCTCCGTTAATGTAGCACTCAATGTCTAGAGCTTTGATCCGCCCGTTGTTCATGAATCCTACCTGTCACCAAATGATAGTTATTTACTGAGATGTTCAAAATTTGCATGCCAATTGTGAGACATAGCCCAGTTCCCCCACAGGGCAGGACAGAGGCCAGACTCAGCTCCCTGTTTGCTTTATGGTGTACCATGCCTTGCTTGACTGATGGAGACTTCTTCTGAGCTGAATTTTGCTGAGCTCTTTCCTTCCAACATGTGATTTTCTGGCTTCACAGTCAGCATGGGATTCTAAAGACTTTGCTTGTCTCCTGGACTATAATTGCCACCCTCTTCATCCTTATTCTTGGAAGATTCCCCTTCATTTTTTTACTGACTTTCTTTCTAATTTAGTGTGTGGTTTCCTCCCTGGTGAAAAAGTCTCTGGAATTCCAGAATGTGTTGGAATGAATCACAGTGTATCCTGTTATGGGAAAGCCTCTGAAGCTGAGGTCCCTGAATGGATGCATGGGGACTGCTCTCATTTCACTAGGTGGTGAAGATGTTTGTATATGCTTACCTGACCTAACAAACCTGAGCTCGTGCTGTTGTTACTGTTTGGGAAGAGCTTAAGGCAGCTTGCATTCTTTCAGTGTTGCCACTCCCCTCCACCCATCCAGACCATTTTGTCTATACAGTCCACATTAAAAAGAAAAGAAAAATCCCCACTCCCTACTGTAGTTCTACCAAACGAGGATTGATCCAGGTCCCTTTGCCTTTCTGAAAGCAGGGATAAATACAACTGAAGGATCCACACGACTATATATATAACTATAGGGTTAACATTAGACTTTGACTGAAGTTTACCTTTGACTTTCATGAAGAAAGGACTGCTAAGCAAAATAGTACTATAAATAAGGTAGCAGAATCCTTAAACTATTTCATATAAACTTTTCAAAAATTTGGAAGAAACTATTTAAACATAAACACATGTTATCCTAATTTACAAATAGTTCTGAATAACCAAGCAAAACTTTGTTAGCTGTGTCTGAAGGATTATATATGTGTGTGTGTATATATATATATATGTGTGTATATATATATATATATGTATATATGAAGTGAAATTGTTTATATATATTATATTGGAATTGAAATTGTTTCTTAAAAAATAAAATAAAACTTGGACTTTTTTTTTGAGACAGAGTCTTGCTCTCTCGCCCAGGCTATAGTGCAGTGGTACAATCTTGGCTCACTGCAACCTCTGCCTCTTGGGTTCAAGCCATTCTCCTTCCTCAGCCTCCCAAGTATCTGAGACTACAGGTGCATGCCACCACGCCCAGTTATTTTTTTGTATTTTTAATAGAGATGGGGTTTCACTATGTTGGCCAGGCTGGTCTCGAACTCCTGACCTTAGGGGATCCACCCGCCTCAGCTTCCGAAAGTGCTGGGATTACAGGTGTGAGCCACCACACCCAGCCAAAATATAAAATAAAACTTGGATTTTTCAAAAAATCTATTTCCCTCTTTTATACTTTATATTACTATAATTACCAAAATATTAACAGTCTAGAATCTTCTTAACAAGTATTAGTACTAAAAGAATCTCATAACTTTGATAAGAGCACAGCCATCACCACAACAGCAACTGCTCCAATCTTAGCAGTGTGTCTCTACATTGCTCTCGGTCCTAGAAGACAATAATAGCTGTGACTATTAATATCTGTGCATTTGAAAGCAAATAAACAGTTGAATCGGCCAACTATTAGAGAGGATCTCCCTCTCTAATTATAAAAATTATTAATGCCAATGGAAGAAATAAAATTGTTCTGTGCTATAGAAAACTGTGGCTTTAGTAATACAGGGAAGATAATCTAAGACAATGACAAAATCAGATAGGAAATCTAACTATGTATATGCTACAAGCAATTCCCACGTAAAGTATGTTCGATACGACTTAGATTACATTAGAATGATCCTAACAGCTCAATGACAAATTTGAAAAGTAGTATTGTAAGCTCGAGGCCAGCAAGTATTTTTAAGATGTTTATATTATAGTTATATAAAAATGCAGTAAATGCAGTCTGAAACAATTTTAAATTCACTACTTACTGTATTATTTTTTCCTACATGCAAAGAGCTTTTGTGACAGTATCATAGCCACTTGGTAAAAACACTTCTAAAAAATGATTTTGCAGTTAAAATGGTCAATGGTCAAATTGTCTCCAAACATTTCTACTGAAAAATATTTGTATAGTCAAGAAGGTTTGGCATAGCAATGTTTGTACCTTCTATCAGTGTTTGTCTGTTTGTTTTTGAGGAACCACTAATGTAAATCCTTATTCCTTCAAGGAGTGTTTTGATCATTATTTGAAATTGTATTTTTATCATTAAACTTCTTCACAATTATTTACTAGAATTATTAAAAGTTCCTCATAAAATGTTATGAATATTCAAATACACAGCATCCTCATTTAATATTTTAGGTGCTAAGTTTGTTTTTAGAATTTAGCAAAATCAAAATGATAGAAAAGAACAAAGCCATTCAGATAAAATCAGATTATCTATTTATTTATTTATTTATTTATTTATTTATTTATTTATTTATGTCTGAGACAGGGTCTCACTCTGTCGCCCAGGCTGGAGTGCAGTGGTGCAATCTTGGCTCACTATAGCCTCCACCTCCTGGGCTCAAGGGATCCACACACCTCAGCCTCCCAAGTAGCTGGGAGTACAGGCATGTGGCACCATACCCAGCTAATTTTTGTATTTTTTTTAGAGATAGGGTCTCCCCATGTTGCCCAGGCTGGTTTTGGAACTCCTGGGCTCAAGCTATTTGCCCGCCTTGGCCTCCCAAAGTGGTAGGATTACAGGTGTGAGCCACAGTGCCTAGCCAAAATGAGATATTTTAATAATTAATCTTTAATACTCACTTTATATTTTCCAAATAATGGATGCCTTCCTCCAGTTATTAGCATATCATCTTCACGATCAAGGATGAGACGAATGGGGTGACCAGTTCTAAAGAAAATAAATCTTAGGTTCTCCACCCATCCCATCCATCCATCCATCCATCTTCTCGTTCACCTATCTACTCATATTTATCCATCCCCTCATTTAACTATCTGCCCACCCATCAATGTATCTGCCTATTATCCATCCATCCACTATCCATTCTCCCACTCTTTATTCAACCATCCATCCATTCATTTATCCCATATAAATGTATTAATATCATACAATATGCTAGACACTAACGTGAATTATTAATATATGACTAAATCTTCATTGTCTCTGTGGTCTATAACTCAATGGTTGGAGATCTTGTTAAAAGTATTAATGTCACATTCGGTTAAGTTGAATTCTATAGCTTCAAGTTTGACCTTCACCCAGATCCAGATATTTGCATTATCTCCACCACTATTTACAAAAGAGAAAGAATGTGAACAGATAAATGCAAACTTAACAACCCTACTGGGAAAACAAGGCCAAACACTCATCCTAGGATGTCTGGGTTAGCGTCTCCATTCTCATCCGTGAAGGCTATGCTGGCCAAGTTGGGCTCTCATTCAGGGAGGAGCCTCAGCTTTTCTCCATCTCCAGAGCAGAGGCTTCTAGACTTTGGAGTGCTGAAGAATCCTCTGGCACGCTGGTGAAAATGCATATTCCTGGGCCTTTGTACTAGGATTTGGATTCAGTGGGTCAGGGAGGGGCTTTAGAATGCATTTTTCTGAGTGATATTGATTCAGGTGTCTTCAGGCAAATGTTGAAAATCACTATTCTAGTGCAGGGTTTCCTGGTGTTCCCTAATTGTGAGGACAATCTGGAACATCAGGGAAATGCAGTTTCCAGGTCCATCCCCTGCTAATTCTGATTCAGTGGTGCTGGGATGGGGAGGCAGGACTTTCTTTTTTGAGACGGGGTCTTGCTCTGCCACTCAGGCTGGAGTGCAGTGGTATGAACACGGCTCACTGCAGCCTGATCTCCTGGGCTCAAGCAATCCTCCTGCCTTAGCCTCCTGAGTAGCTGGGACCACAGGCACGTGCTACTGTGCTCAGCTATTTTTATTTTATTCTATTTTAAATCTTTGTAGAGATGAGGATTTCACCATGTTTCCCAGGCTCATCTTGAACTCCTGGGCTCAGGTGATTTTCCTGCCTCAGCCTCCCAAAGTGCTGAGATTATAGGCATGAGCCACCATGCCCAGCTGAGGCAGGAATTTCTATGACATCAGGCAACTCTTACTTACTATTAGGTTTGGGAACATTACTCTGGGGATCATTTAATGCATGGCCCTTGGGTACCAAGGTAGAGTTGTATCTTAAGGCACTGGTTGCCACACTTGGCTGCACAGTGGAACCACTGAGGAAGTTTTAAAATATACGGATGCCTGGGTCAGTATGGGGCAGCCTGGGCACTGGTATTTAAATGCTGCCCAGATGATTCTAACGTGCAGTCGTGTTTGAGAAGTCTTAAAGCCACAACGCCTGGGGGGAATTCAATGAACTGATTATCTTGTGCTGAATCCCCAGTGGGTGTGAGTGGAGTGGATTTAATTATGGAAAGAATTGGAGATGGGATTCAGATCCTGCTTTTTCCCACTTCTCACTGAGGACTGAGACATATGTCTGAGTGTTTCAGGACCTAGCTCTGAACTACAAGAGTTGTCAAATGAAGCAGGGCCTGTAAACTTTGCATGCCCTCTGGGGCTCTGACAGAATACTTAGCCACAGAAAATGAACCATTAACAGAAAAAGCAGCACCAACTAAATACAAATCTGAGGCATGAACAGCAAAGGAGTGAGCCTTCCGCTGAGGTCAGCCTGGGAGCTGTCTTTGAGGATGAGTCATCTGTCCATTGAGCAGACTCTGAGGACGCAGCCCTTCCCAGGTGCAGGGAGGCAGAGGATGAAGAGCCTTTCTTTCCTTACCTCACCCTGTTCTTGGTCTGAGAGCAGGAAAGAAGAGTCAGGGAGCAGCCTCCCCTAGCACTCCACTTGGGCAGGGTGACTTGCCCCACCCCTCAACGGCTCACTTTCCCTGAAGCTCAGGAGGTATTCAGCTAATAGTACCACTGCTCCTTTCAATAGCATGTCAGCTATTCAAAGTCCTGTGTACATTTGACTTTTGCAATAACTCTAAAAGTGTGGGAGGGTAGGTATGATTATTTACATTTTTTAAAGAAACAGACAGGAGGCTGAATTGCCCAAGGACACACACATGGTTATGATGGCAGCCCAGATGACTGTCAGCCACTGATTTGCCCTCAGCTCTGTGCATTTGATGCCATTCTGTATCCCTAAGCATCCCCAACCATACTTACTTGATAGCACCCACAGCTGCAATAGCCCCGAATACAGCTGGCTTTCCTACCTTCCCTCCAAAACCTCCACCCACTCGTTTTACATGACAGGTGATCCTGTTGATGGGGATGTTTAAAGTAGAGGACACTGTTTTCTGTAAAAGTGAGATAACAAGAAGGTTTATAAGAGTGAAATGGAAAAGAAGCTTTTTGTTTCTTGAAACAGCATCCCAGCAGAATTCATTCACATCTACCATTGGTAAAAAAAATGGAGATAGTCTGAATCTGTCTGGTGGGGCTCTGTTTAGCTCGTAAACACCGTTGGTCCGCACAGAGCAGCCCTTCTAGCAGAAAAATGGTATTTTCCAGAAGGAAAACTGTCAGAGCCCTGGATTCCTGTGAGAAGCTGGGTTCCTAGTCTAAAGTCCCAAGGAGATGAAAGCCGGCGAACTCCTGACAACCTACCAAGGAGATGATGTGTTTGCAGCTAAACCTAGAGCACTTTGTGACTGGGGAAATGAAAATGTACTATAAAGTGATGTGTTGACTCCAAAGGTTATCTGTGATGATTATTTTAGAGAAAAATCAAGTACAGAAATAGTTTAGTGATGCCATCTCATCACAGAGCTCATCTAAGCATGATGCAAATGAACGTACTCTTGAAACCTAAAATTACTGTGACTATTTTTTTATTTACTTGAAAAGACCAAAAAAAAAAAAAAAGGTTCTGAGGTCTTGGCTGCATTATTGATGTCTGATGTCTAATGCTTGGATTCCAGGTTTCTGCAGGTAAAATGGCCAGTGATTGTGAGGCTGTGGGATCGACTGTGATCATGGAATTAGGAAGGTGGGGACGTGGGTATTATCCTGGACCTCACCTGCACGTGGGCTGGGTCCTGTGTGGACACATAAATGTCCAGTTCTTTGTCCTCTGTCTTTGGAATAACAAGCACTCTTTGTGTTTCCATGTAAAAATGTTCCTGTCCTCCAACATGGACCTCTCCTGTTAAGCATAAGCACAGAACAACTCCTAAGGTGTGTGCTGGTGGGAAGCCACCGTCTTGGAGAGCCACCGTCTTGGAGAATTCAAAAGCCAGTAAGATGTGGACTGGCTGGCCTGGATTTTTTTTTTTTTTGAGGTGGAGTCTCGCTCTGTCACCCATGCTGGAGTGTAGCAGCGCGATCTCGGCTCACTGCAACCTCCGCCCCCCAGGCTCAAGCGATTCTCCTGCCTCAGCCTCCCAAGTAGCTGGGATTACAGCTCCTGCCACCATGACTGGCTAATTTTTGTATTTTTAGCAGAGATGGGGTTTCACCATGTTGGCCAAGTTGGTCTCGAACTCCTGACCTCAGGTGATTCACCTGCCTCGGCCTCCCAAAGTGCTGGGATTACAGGTGTGAGTCACCGTGCCCTGCCTGGCTGGCCTGGATTTATCCTGACGAAGGAACCAGGCATTTGTCCTGTGGCAATCTGTTTCAGAGACAATAGTTCTGGATCACAAATTAAAAGTGCCAAGTTTTGTTCCTTACTCTGCCCAAACCAAAATCTTAGAGATTTTCTTTTATTTATGCTATTGCTCCCTACCCACCAACGCCAAAACTGCACATACACACACACACACACACACACACACACACACACAATTTGAAAGGAAGAGATGTAAGAGAAATTTGGCAAAGCACCAAGACTTTAGAGGCTGGACTTTCTGAGGGGAAATCATACACTTTTGATGGTTGCTTCAGAATAGAATCAGGCAGAGTCTATTAAGTATCCCTGGGAGCTCACCTTCAACAATTTGGTCGACTTTTTCAAAGGCCTCCTCAACGTTTCCTTTTTCAAGTTTTTTTTTCACGGCACAGGAATGAATTGTGTTTTATGGCATCCTAAATTGCAGAAAAACAAAAAAGCATAAAAGCCAGTTCTTCCGACTTTTCCTTCCACTGTTAGTTTTTTCTTAAAAGCCAGTATGCTCTGGAAAATCACTGTCTCCCGGGACAGATGAAAGGTGTCAAACAAGCAAGGGAGAATTAGAGCGGTAGGCTGGCTGCAGAGATGGGAAGTCCAAGGAAAGGTCTTCTAGATTTGCAGAGAAAACCAGCAAGAAGGATTAGCGAAACCTTCAGAAGGAAGCTACGTTCATAACTGAGGGCTGGGGACACTATGATGATCCCGGACGATGAATACTAATTTCTTATTTAAATGTGACTCTCCAGGGAACATGAGATAAGTCAAATGTGCATGATGGGTGAGGTTTGGGAATCTGCCTTTTTTTTTTCGTTTACCTTTTCCTTGAAGAAAAATGCTTGTGTTAGACTACTTAGGTAGCTCAGGTACAAGAACCTCTCACTCAGGGATCTGAAAAATACTGAGGCTGTCTTGAGAGGGAAGACACAAGTTATTACACATCTCTGGGGCAGAAAAGCCCAGTACACATTGTATTAGGTTGGTGCAATAGCAATTGTAGTTTTTGCTATAAAAGTTTGCAATTGCTTTTGCACCAACCTAATAGGAAGTTTGTTCCTTTCTTTGAGTATTTGGCATCATCTCATAAGGGCTTTTCTAGCTCTTTGTTCTATGTTTTTTTTTTCTTCCCCCTGACAATAACATGAACTGACTTACAAATAAAGACTGGTTCTGTGGACTGACCTACTGACAGCGGATCCTTGTTTAGCCTTTAGAACCAAGGTATTTTTTCATACTTCTGAATGACACCTGTCTCCTGCCTTCCTAGGCTCTGATGGCCTCAGATGCCATAGCCTTTCTTGCTGATGATGCTCCTGGGAGCAGCTAATATTGATGGAGAGCTTGCTTTGTGCTAAGCACTGTGCAATAACAGCGTATGTACTTGTATCCTTACGTTCATTCTGTTATGATCTCTGTTTCCTAGATGAGGAAACTGGGCTTAGAGAGGTTAAAAGAACTTTCTCAAAGTCACACTGTAAATAAGTGATAAAGGAAGTGTTCAAGCCCAGGCTAAGTTTTTAAAAACATACTATCTAATGATGAACACTTGATTTTTTCAAAGCAGCAGACAAGGAACAATATAGCTGAATTTTTTCATTTTCTGTTATACTAAGATCTCAGAAGCCATCCTGGTACATGTGAAAGTATGTTTATTGCCATACTGTAAATGTGTCATAAGACAGCATAATCTCTTTTTTTTTTTTTTTAGATGGAGTCTTGCTCTTTCACCCAGGCTGGAGTGCAGTGGTGTGATCTCGACTCACAGCAACTCCGCCTCCTGGGCTCAAGTGGTTCTCCTGCCTCGGCCTCCCCAGAGGCTGGGATTACAGGCATGCATCACCACACCTGGCTAATTTTCGTATTTTTAGTAGAGACGGGGTTTCACCATGTTGGCCAGGCTGATCTCAAACTCCTGACCTCAAGTGATCCACCTGCTTCAGCCTCCCAAGGTGCTGGGATTACAGGCATGAGCCACTATGCCCAACCAAGACAGTATAATATTGTTATAACATAGGCTATATTGGGTGAGTGCTAACCATGTGCCAGGTACTGTTCTAAGTGCTTTACACCTGTTAACTCATTTAATTTTATGACAAACTAATGAGATACGTATTATTACTACCTCCATTTTACAGATGAGGAAACCATGGCACAGAGAGGTTAAATAACTTGCCTAAGGTCACACAGCTAGTAAGTGGTGCAGCCACTATTCAAATCTGGCAGTTTGGTTCTAGGATCTGTGTTTGTAACCATGACCCTATGTTGCCTCTGATCTATAAAGTCATATAAATAAATGAATAGATGGATGAAGCACTATTGGTATTATATATATGACAATTTTATGACTTGTGGAGGATTTTGTTTTGATGACTCTGGACAGTCTTGTTCGGAGGGAACTCTAAATCCCTACCCATTCTGAATTCTAGAATAGTTCGTGGGTGTGTCCTCTGGGTGCCATTTCCCCCTTGAGGAAAGTGGGGTTAGAAGGGCAATTTCAAAAACCCTTATTAGGATCCTAGTTCAACCCAAGGAAGAGGAATGAGCCAAGAAAAATGGCCTGGATTCTTGCAAACTTGGCAAATGGGAATTTGGAACAAAGTTGATTTGGTTTAGGAAGATCAAGAAACTTTTTTTTAAAAAAACACTTTAAATATTGAGCAATTTGTACCATTTAGTTACATTTTAAAATGTCCCAATGGTTCATGAAAGCCTCTGGACACATTTGATGTTCTGTCACAAGCACACAAACAAGTAAGCTTTTCTCAAGTCATTGACTCTGAACCTGTCCCTCACTGAATCAGAACCTGAAAACCCCAGTCCACACCTGAATTGTCTGTCCTCACTCCGTTATCTTCCCCGAAATACCATTTGAATATCATTATCTAGACTCAGAAACGAGAGTGAAGTTTCTGTGGAATTCCACCATGAAAGTTCCACTGCATTTGGGCTCTACCTTGAAAACATTACTGTTCCCAGTATGCATCCTCACCTTCCTCCTCAAGTCATAGAGTCTCCGATCTGTAGTGGTTTTCTGGCCACCTGGAATAAAATCCACATTTCCCAGCTCCCCTTGCAGTTAGGTGTGGCATGCGACCATGTTCCAAACAAAGAGATGGAGGAAGGCATGTGCAATGTACATGCCTCCCTTTAAGGACTGGGAAGTGTCCTTAAAGGGAGGGGGCACACCCTTCTTCATCACCTTATTTTCTCAGCTGTCTGGAATGTGGATGTAACAGCTAGAGCTTCCGTGGCCATTGTGGACCAAATGTGCCCTCCAGGAAGCAATGCATGATGGAGTGACTAGATATAAGAAGGCTGGATCCTAAACACACAGAATGCCATAGAAGTCCTGGACTGCCCACTTCTAGACTTTTTGAATGTGAGAAACTTCTGTCTTTTCCACTCCTTGGAACCAAAGATAATTTCAGCTCATGCAAGTAATGTTTTCCAAAGAAAGTTGATTTTTCCAGAGCAAACCAGTGGCAAGGAAAAACAATTAGATCCTTCATTAAGATTTTTACAAAGGTACTTTTAATTCTACAACCGTAGGGAGAGACCGGCCAGCCCTGTTTACCTTGATCGTGAAGATTACAGGTTCCAGATCTTCATAGGTGAGCTTTATCTTTTCAGCTGCTCGTTTTGCCTGTACGTCTGTTTCTGCAACCACAGCACAGATGATCTGGCCCACACAGACTACCTGTGGAAAGTACACACATGAAGCAGATACAAAATTCTGGGTGGGAATAGGCTTAGTTCAACCTTAGCAGTGGCTGCTGTCTTAGATGTCGCTGTTTAGCAATAGTAACCACATTGGAGTCGCATTTGACTACATCTGCTTGGCTAAAAATTAAAAAAAATATATTTTTTGAGACAGAGTCTCGTTCTGTTGCCCAGGCTGGAGTGCAGTGGTGCCATCTTGGCTCACTGCAGCCTCTGCCTTCCAGGTTCAAATGATTCTCTTGCCTCATCCTCCTGAGTAGCTGGGATTACAGGTGCGTGCCACCACGCCCGGCTAATTTTTGTATTTTTAGTAGAGATGGGATTTCATCATGTTGGCCAGGCTGGTCTTGAACTCCTGGACTCAACTGATCCATCCACCTCAGCCTCCCAAAGTGCTGGGATTACAGGCGTGAGCCACCACGCTTGGCTAAAAAATATGTTTAATGAAAAAATAATTTAAATAATACAGACAGTTCCATTGGCCATGTAACTCAGTGAACGTAAGGCTCAGAGTGGATGTGAGGTTGGCCGTAACCTGAATCTACCATGTCTTCTGTCCAGCTTGGTTGACACATGTTGCCTTCATGACATTTTAGAGTTTAAAGATAAAGTTTTTGTATAGTGGGGCTCCTGTTGTGTACTGACTTGTGTTTCTAAAAATTCATATGGACTCAAGAGCACACAGTGGCAGAACTAGGACTTGTTGCTTTTCTGTAATACATTTCCTTTTACTATGTTATTTCCTGACTCCGGACTAGTAGGGCTGAATAAAGGCAGGGTAGACAGCTGCCAGAAGGCTCGGCGCTTCCACCTCCCAAAGGCAGGAAGAGCTGGGAGCTGAACAGCTGGCAGGAGGGGTACCTTGGTGATTGTCTACACAGAATCATCTAGAAGAGCATGTCCCAGACGTACCTTATCTACAGCCAGCAATTTGTCACCTTCAGCGCCATTGGTGCCTGGAATGTCTTCAGCTGTTATCACATCAACCACTTCGGGTAGTTCAAGGGCCTTGGACACATCAATTGATCTAAACAAGAGATATTTAAGAAGTAGAAATCACTCTGGGCAGGGTGGTGGAGGTCTGTAATCTCAGTACTTTGGGTGGTCAAGAAGGGAGAGATTGCTTGATGCCAGGAATTTGAGACCAGCCTGGGCAACATAGCAAGACTCTGTCTCAACAAAAAAAATTATAAAAATTAGCCAGGTGTGGTGGTGGCGCATGTCTGTAGTCCCAGCTACTCAGGAGGCTGAGGTGGGAGGATGGCTTGAGCCCAGGAGTTCAAGGCTGCAGTGAGCTATGATGGTGCCTCTGCCCCCAGCCTGGATGACAGAGCCAGACTCTGTCTCTAAATTAAAAAAAGAGGAAGTAGAAATCAGCAAGCTTTGAGGGCCCTAAATTTGAGGGAGGGATAGAACATGGTTGAAAATCGGAATATATGACAACAAATCCAGCTTAGGTCCTGACCAATCAGAACAGACCTGCCAAGGAGTAGGGTCCAAGAGACTCCTGCTGGGCCAGGAGACAACACTTTAGCTGTTGGGGGTTGGGAGGTGGAGAAGGGATAGTGTGGCCTTGGCAAGGGGCGTTCTTGAAGGTTGGGACAGGGGCCATTCATTCTTGGGCATGAAGTGGGTATTTCACCACCACCTCAATACCAGCTCTCTATCAGGGTTGTGCCTTTGAGTCATGTCTGAGGCTGTAGCAGGGAGCTGAGGTTTTGTGAGGTTAGGAGGGAAACAAAAGGCTTGTAACTGTGATTTTTCTTTCTTTTTTGAGACAGAGTCTTACTTTGCTGCCCAGGCTGGAGTGCAGTAGTTCGATCTTGGCTCACTGCAAACTCCACCTCCCAAGCTCAAGTGATTCTCCTGCCTCAGCCTCCTGAGTAGCTGGGATTGCAGGTGTGTGCCACCATGCCCAGCTAATTTTTGTGTTTTTAGTAGAGACAGGGTTTCACCATGTTGGCCAGGCTGGTCTTGAACTCCTGACCTCAGGTGATCTGCCCGCCTTGGCCTCCCAAAGTGTTGGGATTACAGATGTGAGCCACTGAGCCTAGCCAGTGATTTTTATTCTCTCTCCATGATGTTCATTTCTAGATGCTCTCCCTTCCTCCTGGAGCTGGCAACCTTTTCTTTATTCTTTCCATTTTAGGTCCTTTAAGTTCAGGACATGGCAGGAGCATGGGCGCATTCCTCTGAGGGGTCCCCAAGTGTGCTTTTAAAAGGCTCTTGAAAGCTCTTCGTTTACTTACATGATTTTTGCATGAGCCCTGCTACTGGTCACCAAAGCCATGAAAAGTTCTTTATCCACCATGGGAATGTCATCACAAAACATGGCTTCCCCAGTGGCATGTTTAAGAGCTGACAGGTGCATGATAGGGTGTCCAACTGGGTCTTGGAGAGGCTGGTGAGGATCCACACTCTACAGGGAAGACAAGAGTTGCCTCAGAAGCCTTTAATTTTCAGAAGTGGCCTGGCCTATCACCAACACTCCTGAGCTAGGATTGAGAAATCGGATGGTCACCCTCGGGTGACAAACACTGGAGTGGGCCAGATGATGAGTGTGACACATTGATGATGCCACTAGAACAGTGAATTGTTATTTCAGTTATGTGGCAATAAATGGCGAAGTAGGTGAAGGGGCACCCCAGCTTCTCCTTCTGGCATTTTCTTTTCCCTGGTGGTGTTCTCAGGGGTCTCGCTGTCCTGCCTCCTCACCTTTCCAATGATCAGTCTGTCCACGGGTACTGTCCTCATGATGATGGGGGGTAAAGTGATACAGTTCCCAAGGTGGGATGCCAAAATCCAAGCCCGAAGCCCAAGTATGGACTTGTTTGGGGCCTCTGGCACAGGGTTTGGGGGATGGCAACAGAGTCCCCCCAGATCCAGAATAAGGTGTCCTGGCTGCCCTTGGGAGTGGCACAAAAACATCACTAGGCTGTAAGGAGGTGGAGATAGTGTTTATTCTGGAGCTCCTCTCAGGGAAGCTCTGTGTGTGTGTGTGTGTGTGTGTGTGTGTGTGCATGTATGTGGAGGTGGGGTGGGAGAGGCGTTGTGCTGTAGCAAGAATCCATAATTTCTAAACTGTCCTGCCAGAACGGTGAGTTAAGTTACTCGCAGGGCATTTGTTTGCTGACTGGAGATTAAACATTTGCAATCAGAGCTGGGGGCTGAACCTTCTGGCTCGGTTGCTCTTCTGAGTAAATATCAAACAAATGCCCAGAGAATATCACTTTGAAGAGACTATAATGATTAGACTGTAGATTAGCTGGACGGTTCAGCCTTGAGCTCATCTAGCAGCAGCTTGGGCCTGACCTCAGATTCCAGCGTCTCCCTGACGCGGACTAAGCAAAGAGCCACGACTAGAATGTCAGACTTGAAACCACAGCTCTGAAAAGCTTGCTCGCTCAGCACAGCTCTAGTTTGCAGGTTTCAGTTAAATCAAACTCACTGACCTGGTACGTTTGGACTCCCTGGGGTATTGTGACTGGGAAATCTTCGAGAGCGCTTAGGAATTGGTCTGAAATTTCAGAATGATGACGGCTGTCCTGAAAGGTGATTCAAAACAATAAAGATAAGCTGGTTAGCTACAGTTAAACTGGGCTTTGGTTTACGTGAAACTGACTTGGCTAATGTATCCAGCATAGTGTGCATAACCAGGATCCATACTGCCTGCCCCGGCTTCATGTTTTATGAATGTTTCTTGTTCCCCTCCTCCCTCCACATAATGAGGACCTGGACTGACTGCTTGGAATCTGATCCTCAAGCCACCCTGAGGAGGCAGAGGCCTGCCAGAGAGTAGGGGTAGAGGCAGGAGGAGAAGCAAGGAAAATGGGCTAGATAAGCCATCCCAGAATAAGCAGGTATCCATTGCACACAAAAGGACTCAAAGCCAGATTGCTTTTCTCAGGAACTCAACTCTCCTGGGAGAGCGGTAGAGGTGGGGAGGGTGCTCTGGGTGTCACTGAAACTTGTCAAGTGTCTTGATTCAGAAATTAAATGGCAGCAAGGATTATCCTGGTGAGTGTGGTTGATGAGGGTCTTCATCTGAGTCTGTGAAAATCAGATACCTTAGAACAGCAGGCTCTTGGGGTGAGCTGTGGTTGGGGAACAGGGAATACAAGGTAGGGTGAGTTGTAATCATGGTCAGGGGAGGGGTGGAGAGAGAGAGAGAAGGAGAGAGAGAGAGAAAGAGAGAGAGATAATATATTTTGCTTTGCTTAGCTTATTCCAAAAGTTTACAATCAGAAGAATCTAGAAAGCTATTTAAACATTAGCATACACATCAGTTTTTGGTGTGTGTGTGTTTTTTTTTTTTTCATACAGGCTCTTGCTCTGTCGCCCAGGCTAGAGTGCAGTGGTACAAACATGGGTCACTGTGGCCCCGACCTCCCAAGCTTAAGAGATCCTTCCACCTCAGCCTCCAAGTAGCTGAGTCTACAGATATGTGCTACCACGGCCAGCTAATTTTTCTATTTCTTATAAAGATGGGGTTTCCCCATGTTCCCCAGACTGGTCTCCAACTACTGGGCCCAAGCCTCCCTTGGCCTCCCAAAGTGCTGGGATTACAGGTGTGAGCCACCATGCCTGGGCAGTTTTGGTTGTTTTGAAAAATAAAATATTATTTTATGTTTTAGATTGATCATAAAATTACAGAAGAGGCAAAATGAATCTCTAGTGCCAGCAAAGTGATTGGTGGTTGCCTGGGCCAGGGGCAAGATGGTGACACAAGGGGGCATAGGATACTCTTTGGGATAATGGAAAATTTGAGGTGGTAGCTACACAGATATACACATTTGTCAACATGCGCTGAATTTAAATAGGTACATTTTATGATGTGTAAATTACACTTCAATAAAGTTGATTTTAAAAGAAAAAACTGGCAGCAGGGACACCACAGTGTTTCAGTGTTCAGGGCACGCAGTCAACATTTGCGGACTGCAGAGAGTCTGGCGCCATGAGCCTCATGTAGCCCCTCAGGGCTGGATTCCAGGAGGAGGGCCGGCTGGGAACTGACGAGGCCTGACTCAGAGCAGGTGACAGGTAACAGCACAGGCTGTGCACGAGACAATTTGCCAAAGTGATGGGAAAGCTGTGAGCTTATGGGTGCAAGGAACACATAAGAGCCAGATGCTATGGGTCAAATTGTGTCTGTTCTAAATATCTGTGTTGAAGTCCCAGCACTCCAGCCCCAGTTCTTCAGAATGTGGCCTTATCCAAATAAGGCAGGGCCTTTACTGCAGAGGTAATCAAGTTAAAATGAGCTACTTAAGATGGGCCTAATCCCATATGACTGATGTCCTTGTGAGAAGGGGAAATTTGGACACACATGTACCCACAGAACTTCATATGAAGACAGATCAGGGTGATGCTTCTAGAAGCCAAGGAGTGCCCAAGATTGCCAGCAAACCAGCAGGAGCTAGGGGAAAGGCAGGGGGCAGAGTCCCCTGCACAGCACTCAGAGGGAACCAGGCCTGCTGACGCCTCCAGAACTGTGAAGGAACATGTTTCTATTGTTCAGGCCAGGCAGGCTGTGCTACTTTGTTTCAGCAGCCCCAGCCAGCGAATACACCAGAGCACCCACAGGCACAGAGACTAGCTTCACCAGCTTCTTCAGTTCCTGCAGAACCTCTAAGTAGAATTTGAAGAGGAAGCTGACGACTAGGGTCCTCATCCTCTTGAATTCCACCCGGCCACCCGGGGCTGAGCCTGGGAGCGAGACTTCATCCAGAAGCAGCCTGCAAGCCTCATCCAGCAACAGCTCATTCCAGCACCTGGGAGGGTTGAAGGCAGGAAGGAATTGGTTAGAGGGCAGTTTCTAGCATGGCATGATATGGGATAGTGACCTTTTAGAGACCCCAGAGTTTCCTTGGAAACTCAGAAATCACCTAATCAAGCTGCTTAGGGAAACCAAGGCCTGGGGAGGCTGCATCGAGTGGCCCAAGGGTCATGGCAGGGTGAGAATGGGACCTGCAACTTAAACATGAACATGTTCCACAGCCAGACATGCTAGAATCAAGAATTAAATAAGCAGTGCAGGCCGGGAATGACGGCTCACGCCTGTAATCCTAGCACTTTGGGAGGCCAAGGCAGCTGGATAGTTTGAGCCCAGTAGTTTGAAACCAGAATGGGCAACATGGTGAAACCCCATCTCTACTAAAAACACAAAAATTAGCTGGGTGTGGTGGCACACACCTGTAATTCCAGCTACTTGGGAGGCTGAGCACGAAAATCACTTTGAACCCAGGAGGTGGAGGGTGCAGTGAAGCCGAGATTGCACCGCTGCACTCCATCCTGGGTGCCAGAGTGAGACTTCATCTCAAAAACAACAACAACAAAACAGACCACTAGGGCCAATTCCATTGTGAACTGAACGGGACTCAGACTTGGAGACTGACTTCACTGAGGAAGTAATAGAGTGCACTTAACGGTGGGAGCATTAGGTGCTGCTTGGACACTGCCCAGGGTGGGTTTGCTAGACTTTTTTTTTTTTTTTGAAACACAGTCTTGCTCTGTCACCTAGGTTGGAGTATAGTGGCATGATCGCTACTCACTGCAGCCTCAACCTCCAGGGCTCAAGTGATCCTCTTGTCTCAGCCTCCTGAGGAGCTGGGACTACAGGTGCATGCTACCATGCCCAGCTAATTAAAAAAAAAAAAAAACATATATATATATAGTAGAGATAGGGTCTTGTTTTGTTGCCCAGGCTGGTTTTGAATTCCTAAGCTCAAGCAATCCTCCTGCCTTGGCCTCCCACATTGCTGGGATTATAGGCATAAGCCATGGCATCAGGATGGCTAGGCTGTCGATCTGTGTAAGAGAACGAGGGCAGATGGGAAAAAATCACCTGCTGGCTGAACTCAGGCCAGGTCACTTTTGTTGTATACCTCATCCAAAGACTGGCATCCAATTAATCAAAGTCAAATAAGGTTTAATTCATTTAGCAAAATGGCAGAAAGAACAGGCAGTGATTTTCATGTAATAGTTTCCATCTTCCCAGGGCTTTACTGATGCTTGCCAGAGACAGATCTCCACTTGTTTTATTTAACAGCAAGCTTCCCCCTCAGGGTGCGGGCTCTTGGCTTACCTCCCAAGGAGTTGCTAGCAGGATCTGTGTGCACTGATGGTGGCAGCCCCCACCCCTCCATAGGCGATGCTCAGGTCCTCAATGCTGTCTGTGCCTTCTTTGAGAAGGACTCGCATGCCGGCATTCACGTGGGGCAAGGCATTCTGCTGGCATTGAGCCTGTCGGAAGGCTGACACAAATTCCCACTGTGGAGACAAAAACCATTTGGGGTTATCTGATATGTCAAAACTAAGAACATGGTTTATGCTTCTTGTTGCCACTAATTAATCACTTAGACACAATCTAACAAGACACCAAGGACAGTTGGCACAATTAGAGGACACCTTGGCTGACTTCTCGTTCAAAGTGAGAACAGCGTCCTCCCCAAGGCCCACTCTCAAGGCCTCGGGCACCCTCAAGGAACAGGGACCACCGCGCACTCTCCCTTGGAGGCCAGGATGCCTCTGCACGGGATGCTGTGGGAACTCACGCCTGGACACCCGTCCATGTGCTGGCATTGCCAGGGGCCATTCCCTCCAGTTTTCAGACACCTTTTCCCCATGAGGTTGGAGGAGCCCTCCTAATGCAGGGGCTTTTAAAGGTGATTTGCTAAAAGTGCAAAGGAGACCCACCACATTGCTTGGCTTGTAGAAATGATTGCTTTTCCACTTGGCAAAGCACAGAAGGGAGCCGAGCAAAGCTTTCCAGCAGTGGCTAGGGAATCTTGTGTCAGGAGGAAGAGTCAAAGGTGATGGCTGTCCCAGCTGACCCCTTGGCACCATGACCTTTGGTGAGCCAAGGTGGGGTCCATGAAGACGGCCTGTGCCCCTTTGTGCATTTCCATCTGTGCCGCCACGAAGGGTGCACATGTTTGAGTGGGCTTGTTTTTCCGTCTGCTGCCTTTTCATGGATTTAAATGGGAACACATTTCAAAGTTTCCATTCCAAAGGAAAAACTAATGAAGATCACACATGGCTGAAAGCATAACTTATGACTCCCTCCATAACCAGGCTGCCCCCCGGCTTTTGATGCTATTAATTAATCACACAGACACAATCTAACAAGACACCTGGCACAGTCAGAGCTGTGCTGGTTGGAATGTAGGCATGGTTGTAGGAGGCAGGGGTGCCCCAAAGGAGCCCCCCACTGTTGATCTCTGCCTGGTCCCTCCCTGCTGCTGGGCCGGTGAGCTGATCTATTGCCTTGGCTGGAGCCGGGGCTGTGCTCCAGGTGGAGATGGCTGTGGCTGAGTTGGGAAAGCGGAGACCTTCAGCCAATGGTAACGACCAATGCCCCTGTAGAAGAATATTACTGCTACTGTAGCAGAAGGCCCCGGATGGGGAGTGGGCCATCCTCATCCTGGTGCCCCAGAGTCTTGGCTGCTCCTCTCTGGGACTTTGGGGGCTGAGCTAGGGGGTGTGTGTGTGTGTGTGTGTGTGTGTGTGTGTGTGTGTGTGTTGCATTGCCTCTCTCTGGGAAGACTATCCTCTTAGATTCAGGTACAGCTTTGGCAGAGGCACAGGGAGCAGGCAGTGAGGACAGAAGGTCAACTCCATAGCCGGCTGGGTGGCTACATCAGCCGCAGAGATTCTGAGTTAGCGAACAACTAGAGGCCCTCCTGCGCCCATGAACTATTGGCTAGAGTGGGGTGTGGGACAGCTGAGCCCTAGCCCCCATCTCCCTGTGGGTCAGTTAGAGACACTCCATTTGACAGCCCGAGAGCTTGAACTCATGGCCATGAGGGGTGTGGTGGTGTGACCACAGGCCCTCAGCATGCTCCACCCTGCAGCTAGAACAACAGCCCCACATCCACACCCGGAGCTGCCTGCTCTTGGCTGTCGGAGGGCCTTGGTGCTGGCCCAATCTGCAGTTGGACAGGAAACAGGTTTGCAGGGCAGAGTTATTTTCTTTCCATCTGTTTTTAGATTTCTAAAGATGACTGGACTCAGTTATGAAAAAGGAAAATCCACCCTCAAAAGCAACCAGCGGAATTCTGACCTTTTGAGAGTGCGGGATATGCACAGATTCCAAAATTTCCTCTGGCTTAAGGTCTGCACTTGCCAACCCAGCAAGAAAATGTTCATTTAGAGGAATCCGCCGCGTACCTTCTGTGGAAGAGAATTATATTTCTGCACAGTCACAACAAGGAGAGCAAGATTATTCTGTTCTTTTAAATGTCAGCAGTAGAGAAGGAAAGGCCAGCTTCCTCTACACAGAGCAAGGCTGAGGTCTGAGTCCACGGCAAAGTCACAGGGTCCCATCATGGGGTCCCAGGTGGTGGCACCGTAATGACATTACTATTTTCTCATCAGCATATATGCTATGTGAACTGGGGTCTCTTCTGCCTTGAAGGCTCACTGGGCCTGTGGTTAACTACATAGAACCTGTTCAGTGCTTATGATCACTTGTTAAGTCAACAACTTTAAGCCAACACACGGTTTGTTTGCACTTTTAACTATTCAGTTCAGTTCAAGCCACTGACTTTGCCTTGTGTTCTTCCTGCTGTTGTCAGCTCTTGAGACAGACACTTACACCTTTAAAACAAAGTGAAAAATTCTGAAACCTCCTTCTAGCCCAGTTGCCCCCTCTTGGGGACCACAACTGTGCCCTCTGGCCCACAGGAGTGCAGTGAGGAGATCAAACTATGGCCTGGGGACTGTGACATGCGTTTGATCCCTGGCACAGTGAGCGCTGTGCTGGTTGGAATGTAGGTATGCTTGTGAGGAAGCAGGGTGCCCCAAAGGAGGCTCCCACGGTTGATCTCTGCCTGGCCCCTCCCTGTTGCTGGGCCAGCGAGCTGATCTACTGCCTTTGCTGGAGCCAGGGCTGTGCTCTGGGTGGAGATGGCTCTAGCTGAGCTGGGAAAGCAGACCTTCAGCCAATGGTAATGACCAACGCCCCAGCACAGCCTGGCATGTAGTTGCATCCAGTCAAGGTGGTATTAGTATCTGGGGGGCAGTTGGGGGCAGTGTGAGTGTGCAGGGTGCTTGGGGAGATGAAAGGGAGGTTTAGCGGGCAGCCACCGCAAGGGAACGTTCCTCTCAGCTAGCAATTAAAATCAATCACTGCCTACCCCTTCCCAGGGGCCCACCACAGCCTGTGTGGATGTCCACTGTGTGTCCACACCAGCCTTGTAGCTTCTTACACAGCAACTGGGGGGTAGGGAGGCAACTTTGAGGGCACTGTGTGGGGGCCTCGGACTGTGTGTTGGCGGAGGGAGCCCATGATGAGAATGGGGGAGCAGGAGCAGTCCCTTGGCCCACAGGGAGAGTGCGCACTGCAACCTCACCCTCAGCTTAGCCTCTGCACATCACCTCTGGTGTTTACTGGTCAAGCAAGACACGTGGGCGAACATGTGAGCTAACTGAGTGTGTGGTCCCAGGTTGTGTGCGTGTGTGGTGTCAGAAGGAAACACCAGCTGCCTTTTGGATCAGTGCACCTTCCCTCATGAGCTGGGCTCCCCATGGTGAATTGAGAACTAGAGACTTGGGCTCTGACTTAAAGCAATTCCTTAAAAGAATAAGTAGAAAAGACAAAAGATCTCTAGGTGCTGTTCAGAGTGTTTGGAGGCAGCTTACCTGCTGAAATCAGATTGAGGGTAGCATTGCCCACAGCAAGAATTGGATTCAGGTCCGAATAGCAATGCCGGCTTCTCACATGCCCCCCTAAGGACTAAGGAGAGAGAGTTACAGCGCAGTCATTCCATCTCTCAGCTTCTCTACCCCGAAGGCACCTGCTGATGGTCCTCTTAGTGGCCATGAAAGGGTCAAGAGGAATCTAAGTCAGTTCAGTCTTTCTCTCTTTTGCAGAGGGTGTGGGTTCAGCTTGTCAGGGAGGGCCCCTCCCACTGGCTTCTTTGGATGGGAAGAGGACTCGAGGGTGCCTAGCACTTACCTAACACCAGTGTGTTCCACGCGCTGTCTAACCCCTGACACAACAACCCAGTGAGGTGGGTGTCGTTATCCCTATTTTACAGATGAAGACACTGAAGTACAGAGCAATTATGAAACTTGACCAATGTCCCCAGCTAGGAAGGGGCAGGCCTGGGATTCAGATTCAAGCAGGGAGGCTCAGCGGGAGTGAGCCACCCCACTCAGCCCTGGCAACAGTGAAGATGGCCATGGTGTTGGCTGCAGAGGTGCCATCTTGCCTTGGTGCAAAGGGTCTCAGCCTCATCTCCTGTGGGCTTCTGAAATGGCCAGACTTCACATGGGCTGTGTCAGTGTTCTGAGGCATCCACACAGTTGGACAGAGAATTGCCTTTTCACTCTTTTTTGGGAGCCCTCACTCAGATCTGATGGAGCCTGTAGCATTTCAGAACTTGGGAGGGAAATGACTGGCCATTGAACTCAAGATTCTCCTCCCAGCATAGGGAAGGAATCTACGGTGACCTCCTGGTTGCTGCGGTCTGGACTGGAACACAGGTGAGGACAGGGAATCCCCATTCCTTTATGAGCAGTTCCATTTTACATTTTTTTTTGTTTCCCCTGAGCTGAAATCTGGCTCCCTGGATCCTCATCTGTCAGTTACTCTTCTACTCTCTGCTCATATGTAATAACACATCAGACCTCAGGAGTCTAGACATAGTCCAAGGCAGCTCTCATGTTCCCTTTGCCTGTCCTCCCACCCCTAGTCCTCTTTTTGGGGTGGTTTCCAACCCCTCATTCTCCTGCCACCTTCTCCTCACCAGTGTACCTCGTCAGAGTTCCTGACTGGAGAGAGAACATTTTGAAATCACTTGAGAGCTGTTTTAAAGGAAACATGCCCTCCCTGGTTTTCCATATCCCAAAGATTTCTGCTATACAATTGAGGGTATGCAGGGGAAGGAGCATATGTGTTTCAAAAACCTAACTGTTTCTCTTTTCCTTTCTTTTGAGATCAAAATCAACCAGATCTTCAAGTATGCCTCCCAGATCTGACCATCTTTCTCCAGCTGTGTTTTGAACAGCCCAGAGTAGAGAAGGCTACCCTCCTTGTTTTAGATACTCTATTTTGTTAATGCAGCCTAAGACTAAACTAAGTTCTTGGACAAGCTTATCATGAAACTAGCAAAACCATAGCATCCTTTTCTCACCTGTGATGCTGCTTAGCCACTCTTTTGAGCTTGACTTATCGCTCTTCCTCTTCTTCTTTTTTTTTTTTTTTTTTTTTTTTTGAGATAAAGTCTTGCTCTGTTGCCCAGACTGGAGTGCAGTGCCATGATCTCTGCTCACTGCAACCTCTACCTCCTGGGTTCAAGCAATCCTCCCACCTCAGCCTCCCAAGTAGTTGGAATTACAGACGTGCACCACCATGCCCAGCTATTTTTTGTATTTTTAGTAGAGACAGGTTTCACCATGTTGGCCAGGCTGGTCTCGAGCTCCTGACTTCAAGAGATCCACCCGCCTTGGTCTCCCAAAGTGCTGGGATTACAGGTGTGAGCCACTGCTCCCGGCCTATAGTTGTTTCTTAAATATTTTTATTAAATAATGCTTATTAATTTTAAACATTTACTGCGCCTGTTGCTTCAATCTGCTGAGACCTTTTTGCATACTGATTCTGCCAACGCATATCTCAACATTTCAGTGAGGTTCAGAAATAGGTGCGGTGTGCCCAGTGGTTGAAACCAGGGAACATACCGCCATATTCCGGATCTGCTGGCCTGCCAGACTCCTCAGGTGCTTCAGGAGGGCTCAGTACGTCTGTGTTTTCTCCTCTGGGAGCTCAGCTACCCTCTCAGCCAAGATGTCCTGCATCTGGGCCAGGCTGCAGCCAGCGCCTATTGTCAGTCCTGGAAAGCAACTTGTTTTTACTGGTGACATAAGAGGAGCAGCTGAATTGTAATCATGGCACCAGGACCTCAGTGTTTGGCCAGTGCAGTGAGTATCCACATTGGCTCACAGAGAGTCGCTGGGAACTCAAAAACAGCACAGATGCCCCACTCCCAGATCAATTCAATTAGAATCTCTGCTGCCTTTTTTTTTTTTTTTTTTTTTGAGACAGAGTCTTACTTATTGCCCAGGCTGGAGTGCAGTGGTGCAATCTTGGCTCACTGCAACCTCCATCTCCCAGGTTTAAGCAATTCTCATGCCACAGCCTCCCAAGTAGCTGGGATTACAGGCACCTGCCATAGCCCTGGCTAATTTTTTTTTTTTTTAGACAGAGTTTCGCTCTTGTTGCCCAGACTGGAGTGCAATGGCGTGATCTTGGCTCACCTCAACCTCCGCCTCCCAGGTTCAAGCGATTCTCCTTCCTCAGCCTCCTAAGTAGCTGGGATTACAGGCATGCGCCACCATGTCTGGCTAATTTTGTATTTTTAGTAAAGACGGGGTTTCTCCATATTGGTCAGGCTGATCTCGAACTCCTGACCTCAGGTGATCCTCCCACCTCGGCCTCCCAAAGTGCTGGGATTACAGGCGTGAGCCACCTGCGCAGCCTAATTTTGTATTTTTAATAGAGACGGTGTTTCACCATGTTGGCTAGGCTGGTCTCGAACTCCTGACCTCAAGTGATCTTCCTGCCTTGGCCTCCCAAAGTGCTGAGATTACAGGCGTGAGCCACTGCGCCCAGCCTGGATCTCTGCAGATTTTTAAAAGGCTTCAAGGTGTTTTTACACAGCCAGAGTGAGATCTCCTGGGCTGGTCCACATTCTTCTTTTGACAGACACAAGGAAATAGAGGCTAGAGAGAAGGAATGACAGCAAAAACTTGCAGGTGGCAGACCTTACCAGAATTTTCCATGACCTCCTCCTGACTGATTGTGGTGAAGCTATGCAAAGTTGCTTTGTGATTAAGGGGGATAAATCGAATGGCATTACAATAAGGCAAAGGTCATTCAATTCCCCAGGTTGTTGTCTAAAATCTGTAATGCTTGGATTTCAGGTTTTGCACCCGATACTCAAAATCTTCAACAATCAGTTTTGTGAGGGGCACTGGTCAATTGGCCCATGTAAGGAGCTGCCCCAGCCATTTATGTTGAGCGTTACTGGGTATGAGGAAGTTGGGGGCTCCTGGGAAGGGTCCAGGGAAGTAATGGGAGAGCATCTAGCGATCGAAGTAATGCTATTTGCTAACTGGCAAGGAAATAATTCAAAATTTCAACCAACTTTGGAGCCATAAGTTGTGAGTATTGGCAGGATATTAGCATGAGCTTCAGGGTTTTTCTTCAGTAAGGATGAAAGGGTTCAAATCAGTCTTAAAAAGTGAAGTAGTCACCCAAACCCCCAGGAGATGAGTTAGGCAGCCTTTTAAAATTAATCCTTCACACCCGGGGTTTGCAGAATGAAACACTAACGTAGAGTGACTTGACATTACTAGCTGGGCTGGTTCTAATTGCAGTTAGTCTGTTTTTATCAGGTTGGGCTTTGATTTATCTCTTGTTGACTAATCTTTGAGAATATTTCACCCTCCTACATAGCTGTATTTTATCAATATTAAGAATGTACTTGGCATGACACCTCCCCCACCTTGCCAGCATACTCATGCAACACCCCGCTGCCTCAGTAATCTCAGCTAATTTAGTTGATAAGGGAACCATGAGCTGCTCCTTGTTATCCTTATGCTAAACAAATCTAAACTATCCCTCCCCGCTGGAATGTCTCAGCCTGGAGTTCTCACCCTGTTTCTGTTTTAGCGTCTCCTAAAATGTACTCTGTAACAGGGGATCTAATTTCATCCCAGACCCATCAGTGATGGTCTGTTGCTTCCTTATCACAGGTTTCAGTGGAGCCTGTTTTTTAACTTCTGGAAGGTCCTGGCCTGCCTTATCGTTGCAGGAGTACTAGGAAAATCAAGCTTTTTTTTTTTTTTTTTTTTTTTTCAGTCATACAATTCCTTCTCCCTAAGGAGAAGACCCAGAGCCTTATTAGTGGAGGAGAAACCAGAAACAAAAAAACATAATTATTATTAAGGTCAGAAGCATCACATAGACCAGCATCACCACCTCTTATTTGACACAGAGGGAAAAGGGCAGTTCAACCCCAGTGGGGATTGAAGTATCCCTGTCTGCTCTATTGCCTGAATCCTCATAAGAGTTCAAACACAGTTTGAAGCCAAATAACTCCATTTCCATTGCACACATCACCATGTCACCTCATGCTAGGCACGACACACCTTCTGCCAGGCTATACTGAGAACATTCTACTTAATGTGGTTCTATTCATATTTTATTCCATCTCTGGTCACAAAATCTAGGTTTCTTCCAATGCAAGTGAAAAGAACTTCAACTTTGATTCTCAGAAAGGGCATTTCAGTGGAACTCTATGCTTTTCAGAGTTCATGGGTCTATGAGGTAAACATGCAATGACTTTCTGGAGCACTCACTATACTAAAGATTTTGAGAAAACAAATGTATACTGAGCCAAACATGTAGGTCATATGATTGAGCATGCAAACCTTAAACAAATGTTTAAGTCAAAATTACAGCTGTGCAAAAATGTATTTCCTGGGTGTGCTGGTGGGGAACACATCTGGCTCCAGTACATCCCACCCCTGCCAGTGTCCTTCACTCATCTGGGACTTAGGAAAAGTTCGAGAATCGTGGAAACTTTCCTGCAAGCCACTAGAGGGTACTCATGCTTTAATTTTAAGAGCCCTAAAGGAAGGCGCATTGTTTGTTTTAGCTCTGCTTTGCAGAGACCAAACTGAGCAGTTAACTCACATAGCTAATTGGACAGGCTGTGGGGTGGACCTGAGGGGTAGAATGGCAGTAACAAAAAGAGTGTTGGCCAGGCGCAGTGGCTCACGCCTGTAATCCCAGCACTTTGGGAGGCTGAGGCGGGTGGATCACGAGGTCAAGAGATCGAGACCATCCTGGCCAACATGGTGAAACCCTGTCTCTACTAAAAATACAAAAATTAGCTGGGCGTGGTGGCGCACACCTGTAGTCCCAGCTACTCGGGAGGCTGACGCAGGAGAATTGCTTGAATCTGGGAGGTGGAGGTTGCAGTGAGCTGAGATTGCACCACTGCACTCCAGCCTGGCGACAGAGCGAGAGTCTGTCTCAAAAAATAATAATAATAATAAAAAATAAACAGAAAGTTTAATGAGGAACAATATATTTACATAGTTTCAAAGTATCTCCCCACAGAATATTTATTAACTACAGAAGGAGAAAAACCACCTCACTGTGGAGAGTCCTGGTAGACACCATCTTAACCAAGTGGGACATGTTGAAGTCATGTGTCACCTGGCAGGATGCCATGAGGGGAACACAGAGTCACTTTTGTAATATTCTGACAAAGACTCATAACATCGATCTAACCACGACAAAACAATAGACAAACTCAAAATGGGAGACATTGGACAAGATAACTGGCCAAACTCTTCCGAAGTGTCAAAGTCATGATGTCAAAGAGAGAGGGGAGACCTGATTCCTGCTCCAGGACACCTCAGAGACAGGACAACTAAATGAAAAGTGAGATTCTGTATTGAATATTTTTGCTATAAAATACTTGATTGGGACAACTGGCGAATCTTGAATGGAGTCTGATAATTAGATAGTAGTTGTGAACTGCTGTTAATTTCTGGATTCTGATGGGTATATTGTATAGTGTGTAGGACTAAACTCTTAAGTGTTCAGGGGTTTGGGGCATTAGGTCAGCAATTTACTCTCAAATGATTCAGGGTAAAAAAAATTCTTTGTACTGTACATGCAAATTTTCTGTAAACTTGTCATTGTTTCAAAAGCTAAAAATGAGTTAAAATTTTTGTGATCAATTCTGGTAAAGAGAAGATTAAGAACTGGCTAAATAATGTTCTTCAGGTATGACAAGTGTTGTTATAAGGAAGGTCTTTTTCATCTGCTGAGAAACTTAATAGATTCATGTTAGACATACGTATTTAATTCAATTTCACTTATTTCCTAAACAAGCCTTACATGAGTCTATTTATAGAAAGCATTCATATTAAATACAAATACAATAGTCAAATCATTAAAATAAGTGTAAAAGATGAGAGTCAAGAAATGAGATGAAATGAATAATAAGAGAGTAGGAATTTATATATGATAAAAACTGGCCAGGTGCGGTGGCTCATGCCTGTAATCCTAACATTTTGGGAGGCCGAGGTGGGTGGATTGCCTGAGCTCAGAAGTTCGAGACCAGCCTGGGCAACACGGTGAAACCCCGCCTCTACTAAAATACAAAATAAATTAAATGGGGGTGGCGGCAGGCGCCTGTAGTCCCAGCTACTCGGGAGGCTGAGGCAGGAGAATTGTTTGAACCTGGGAGCCAGAGGTTGCAGTGAGCCAAGATCGCACCACTGCACTCCAGCCTGGGCGACAGAGCTAGACTCTGTCTCTGCAAACAACAAGAACAACAACAACAACAACAAAAGCCAAAACTAAATGAAGCATAAAATTTAACTTTGAGTTTCCTGGTTGCCAAGGCAAAGATATAAAAAGTTACCAAGTGCTTATTTTGCAATAAGCCCTGGCTGGGTCCTAAGTCTAGCCACTGAGCCTCTGCTGCATCTGAGTCTCTTTCTCCCTCACTGTCCTTCCCTCACCATCTGCCATAGCCTCTCAAGCTCACAGTTCTTTGTCTCTGTTGCTGGTGGCCTGGCTTTTTCTTCCAGCTGCTTGTCTCTGGTGGCATTCTATACTTGTGTGCCAGGATAGCTTTCCATTTTTGCCTAGTGCTGTGAGGAAATTGCCCTTTTCTTAGTAAAAATAAAGTTC
The DNA here is from genome assembly GCF_000001405.40 of Homo sapiens. Taxonomy (NCBI): domain Eukaryota; kingdom Metazoa; phylum Chordata; class Mammalia; order Primates; family Hominidae; genus Homo; species Homo sapiens. Next base: position 200,733,773 of record NC_000002.12, on the reverse strand, counting down.
AGAACCTCAGAGTTGGCACTGGGTGGTCCATACGGCCTTGGCTTTCACCCAAGACTCACTTCCTTTGGGATCTATGTCTGATCCTACCATTGACACATTGGTCTAACGGGGCACTGTTTCCCTCTCTTTTTCTTATACTGGACGGAGGACTCTTGGGTTGATTCTCTGTAGACCGACTGATCAGAGTAAGAATGTTCATATAAGAATTGGATAAATGACAGGAGGAAACAAAAGGACAAGAAAAAGAGACAATTTCATTGATCTTTACAACTCAGCTTACTTCTCTTCAATTGTTGAACCAATAAATGGGTTCTTCCTGGTTCCTGGTCTACCTTCTCATGATGGTTACTATTATTTATACCCACTGGCCAGGGGTGCCTGTGACTTCCATGGTTGACCTGTGAGACCAACAGAATCTGAGCTCCCTCAGTTCTAGTTTCCTAAATTCACGTCCTTCCTCTGGGTTACTGAAACTAGGCATGGCCTCCCCATTCAAGAAGATCCAACCTACCTTCAGATGTGAGCTTTGTATTTATAGATGCCATCAGGATACTAGACCGCCCTCCCAATAAGCCTAGGCGATGTGCCCACATATGCTCAATATGGTAAAAGGATGGTTAGTTTCTTGTCACTTCCAGTGAGATCTCCCTGTTCCTTATTTGGACAAATTCTCATGTCTGATGGGGTACCTTGCTCAACTTCCCATGCTATTTGTATGGGGCTGTTTTGGTCATCCCTGGTTTGACTCACAGCTTTTATAACCAATCCCCCATTAGACAAGAGAAGAGGGTCACAAGAGGCAGGATATAAGGCAAGATTTCTGGAGAGCAAGAAATATTAGAAAGCCCAAAGTGCTGCATCCTATTAGACACTAAGACTGAAAGGCATAAGCACTAAATCCATGCTGGGAAGCACTAAAAGCTTTGCAAAAATCCCTCTATCTTGATCTGTTCTCACTATTCACAGGATCATTTAATATCAACCTATAAACCTGTGGCAGGTTTATGTGTACTAAGGCATTGCAGGAAGGAAATTATGGGACTCATCTCAAAATTGTCTGCCTTCCTGTTCTGATAATATAACATTTCTCTTTCTAATGAAAACCTTTCAATAAAAAAATAAAATTGATAATAATAGACAATATTAAAAATATAAACAACTGAGCACACCTTTTCAAAGTTCCTTTTCCATTCTAAAGGGGAATAATTTTAGGACAGTATTAGATACCTCTTACCTAAAATATCCAGTGGCAGACAAACTAGTGCTTTGAGCAAAAGCTTCATTAGCCTGCAAAAAAGAATATGATGAAAGGAAAAATACACAGCTGGACAAAAGCAAAACATGGGAAAATAACCATTTTCTAGATGTCATAGTTTTCCTTATTGTTGGGAATGTTATTTTCCTGAGTGAACAAGCAGAGTGCCCAAGTGGGTTCTCTGCCCAGGATGATTGCTAAGGATGCCCAGGATAATTGCTAAGTCACTGCTTTGGTGGATCTATTTAAAGAGCAAAGGAAAAAGCGATGAAGGTAAACATCTGTGGTGGAAGTTTAAATTCAGGGTTCCCAAACAAAGTCTAACCAAGGATCTCCATCCTCCTGTCTCCATATATGGGGAAACAGTCTGGGTGGAGCTTCGGCTTGGTTGGAATATGTATATATTTTTAAGTTTCAGAGAAACTAAGAGATAAAGGAGGCAAGTTTGGTAATCCCTCAAGTTACTGCTACCGCATCCCATCCATCGCCGCTCCCTGAGGGCTTCCCACAAAACTTCAAAATCACCAGGAGACTTTCTAACAGCACTAATTAAATACTCAGGGGCCTTGCAGAACTTCTGCTGCCTCAATTTTTAAAAATCTGGGTCATGTTTTAAAATGAAGTCTTTATTCTGAAAGAAGAACAAGAACTACCACCCAAAGACTATCCAGTTTTCCCCAGGAATGTTTGAAATGCAGGTATGGAAAATAGCAAGCATTTGTAGCTTTAACTAAAGATGTTTTTCAAAATGTAATCCAATATAACAGCTTCTCCTGCAAGAACTTCCTTTAAATGTATTGCTTTTTTCTCTGCAAATTTCCAAAAGTGAACTTTAGATGATGTAGGCTCTATCTTCCTTAGCGAATAACCAGACACACACTAAGTGGTATTTAAATATGAATGGCTTTAACACTGTTACTGAGCTATTTCTCCAGGTGTGAGTAAATAGCCAGATGAACCAGAGATTTCTGTTTCGTAAGATCTGGTTGCAAGGTGAATGACTGATTTATATCTGTCCCTTATGAACTCAGCTTACTAATCTTTAATTTCTGGACCAATATATGAATGCCTTTCTTCCTAGCTCCTAGTCACCTCCTTATGATGGAGATACTATCCATTTTATATCCAAAAGCCAGGAGTGCTACTTAAAGCGTGGTTCAGCAGTGCCAGCGTTACCTGGGAGGCTGACAGAAATGCAGACTCTGAGGCCCCACTCAGACCTACAGAATAAGAATCTGCATTTTAACTGATGCCCAGGTGATCTGCCTGCTCACTGATGACTGGGGAGGGGATGCCCTAGGTTGTACAGGACAGGAGGAGGAAGTGGCAGGGATGCAGCCTACCTGGGAACAGGTGCTTCCACTCAGTGGCCCCACAGGAGCTCTGCAGGCTTCAGCCACACCTGATACTCACCCACTTCTCCCAGGTGCCACTAGTACTCCATCTGATAATAGGTTCAAGGCATTCCACGAGGGTCCGGCAGGTATTCTGCAGGTGGAAAAGGACAGAAGACTGGCAGATAATTAAATGGGGAAACATTTCAAACTCAACTGTGTTTCTCACCCTGCAACAATCACCATCCTTCCTGCATCCTGCAGATACCTTCCATGTGGCTTGTCTCCACCTCTGGACAAGGGGCTGACTCTGGTTTTCCCTGTGGAACCAGTGCCAAGGTGGGGCTTTTTCACCCAGGAGGTAAAAGTGGAGGCTAGAGGGAGGACAGACAGAATGCAAGATCCATTTGCCCAGTTCAACCAAAATGGCTCTGTTTCTATGTGTTTTACGTGTTGAGGTTCCACTTAGGATTTGCTGCATACTTAGCAAGGCTATGAAAACCCCTGTCCAGGCAGTGAACACAAGAACACAGGCACAGAGAAAGGCAGCGTGGTGTGTAGAGATATGTGAGTTTTAGAGTCAGACATCCCTGTGATTGAATAGCTCTGCTTCTTCTCAGTATGTGGATGACTTATACTCTCCATGCCGTGGGGATCTTGTCTGTGACCTGGAGATACCAGAACCAGGTGACCACATAGCCTGCTTTGCCCAGGACAATCCCTGTTTACACTGGTTGTCTTTGTATTAATGCCAATGGCTCCCTTTGCTCTCCAAAGTATTTTTGTTTGAATTATATGGGCAGTAATACCTACTTTGAAGGGTTGTTTTAAATACATTCATGTGTGGCATAATGATGTTTTAGTCAACAGTGGACCACATATATGACAGTGGTCCCAAAAGATTATAATGGAGCTGAAAAATTCCTATTGCCTAGTGACATCATAGCTGTCATAGTGTTGTGGCATAATTACTTTATTTTTTAATTTAACTTTATTTTTTCGAGACAAGGTCTGGCTCTGTTGCCCAAGCTAGAGGTCAGTGGCATGATCTTGGCTCACTGAAACCTCCACCTCCCAGGCTCAGGTGATCCTCCTAACTCAGCCTCCCAAGCAGCTGGAACTACAGGTGTATGCCACCATGCCTGGCTAATTTTCATATTTTCTTCTGTAGAGACAGGGTTTCCCCTTGTTGCTGAAACTGGTCTTGAACTCCTGGACTCAAGTGATCAGCCTGCATCAGCCTCCCAGAGTGCTGGGATTACAGGTGTAAGCCACCACACCAGACCTAAATATTTTTAAAATAAATGTAGTGTAGCCTAAGTGTGCAGTGTTTATAAAGTCTAGACTAGTGTACTAGGTCTTCACATCCACTCACTACTTACTGACCCAGCCAGAGCAACTTTTAGTCTTATACAGGTGTACCATTTTTTATCTTTTATACCAGGTTTTTACTGTACCTTTTCTATGTTTAGATATATTTGGGTACATAAATACTTACCGTTATGTTATCATTGCCTACAGCATTCAGTGTAGTAATATGCTGCACAGGTTTAGAGCCTAGGAACAATAGGCTAGACCATATAGCCTAAGTGTGTGGTAGGCCATACCATCTAGATTTATGAAAATGTACTCTATGATGTCCCTACAATGGCAAAATCGCCTAAAGATGTATTTCTCAGATCATATCCCTGTTGTTAAGTGAGGCATGACCCATACAGCACTTGGTATTGTCTTCATTACTTTACTCTAGGGGCAGGTACTCATTAAAGCTTTGTGAGAGACTTGCTTGGAACCTGGGTCACTGAGTAACCAGCATTGAATGAGTTACTCTTGGCTTTGGTCTTCAAGTTCAGCTGACCAAACCAGGGATATCTCCACTTGTCCCCTCTCAAAATGAGATGTTGCGCTTGCCCTTCTCCAGATACCAGGACATTTGGCTCAGTAAGGCTTCTGCCCTCTGTTCTTCCAAGAGGGCAGCCTGGGGAGATCTCTGTTCTCAAGTAAGGAGGTCTTGGGTCCCAGTGTGGGTCTGCATTCTAGAGGGGGGACCCCGACCCTATCATGGGTGCCCTTTTCATAGAGTAAGCATGAGAAAGTGGACTTGATTGGGGAATGAACAAGTTGTCTGGCACCAGGAAGTCTGGATTTGGGGTGCAATTGGCACTCAAATATATGTATAATTAATACACAGGAGTTGTCTGGGAATGCTGCCACCCCTCACTGAACTGTGGAGCCCATGAAAAGTTACAGCTGCTCCAGTCAAGGGTGAGGAGTCACTGGTTCCCTGGGAAGCTGAGTTTTGGTGAAGCCCCTCCCACTAGAGAAGGGAGGTGAAGCCCTCTTCCCAAGTTCCAGCTGGCTTATTTCCAGATAATTCAGAATGAGCTCCTAGGGACGCTGTGGGTAATTCTAGTCATTGCATCACAAAGCCCAAAGGTGTGATGCAATGTCTGGGAGGTGTGTGCAGTCTGGGAGTATTTTATAAAGTCCAATTCTGGCTGATGGCAAAACTGAAACAACCTCTTTCACCTGTGTCATTTTGGTGTTAATACCTTGTCCCAATTCAGCTCTGCCATGACCAACTAATACAGACCCATCTGTGTAGATATGAACTAGAGCAGCAGCCTGGAAATAAAATTAGAAATCTGTTCTTTCTGCCATCTGTATGTGAATTTTTGACAGTAAGGCAGTCACAAATGAAGTAGCAAAAGCCACAAAATAAAGCTACAGTTTCACTGGTACAGGACCAATGGTTTCATCCAAAGGTGTGTGCCACCTGAGAATAGCTAAGGTGCTGTGCCATGAAATCTGTGAAACAAAGAAAAGCCTAAACGAGTCCCTTACTGTTGAAATGTGGTCATCAGCTGTTGCAGCGGCCTCTCGCCATTTTCAGTGGCATTAACTGGTTAGACTTTGAAGGCCCGCTGGCATTGTCCTCCTTTCTGAGTCTCTCCTAGTGTAAGGTTGAATTCAATAAGGACAGTGCCTCTCTCTGCAGTTCCAACTCTGCAAAGCAGTAGCAAATTGGCCTAAATTGTTAACAACTAGTAGAATTTGGAGCTTGTTTTCGTTGGAGCGGACCCGCTTTGCCCTTAGTTGTCATTTGGGGAGGAACACTCTGTCCTCGTGAATTCTTTCTCCTTGTTCCTCTGAACATATTATTCTCAATTGCTTCTGGGGAGTAAAAATCTTGCAAAGAATTATCGAATAAAATACAGCAAAATATAAAAAACAAAATCTCATTTGTCCATAATCTTATTGCTCTCACACCCTTGGTTATTATAAGAAAAGTTGAATAGTGCTAATATAAGGCCCCAGTCTGTCACCTGCAATTCTGAATTTCAAAAACCCTGAGCACCTATTTGGTGGAGAAACTTCTCCTGATCTCATCCAATGAGAGATTCATAGTCTTTAAAAAATCTTACTTGGTTTAAGTAATCATACACTTCACTGCAGAAATATTACTATGCTTGAATGTGGCATGTTGCCCCAGACTCTGCTGAGGACTTTAATAAATAGTATAGAGGTCGTATGATCTTCTAAAATCAGAAACATTTAGAATCCCAAATTATATCTGGCCTCAAAGATTTCATAGGGGGAAAAATGAACATGGTGTATACTTAAAAAAAATCAAACATTTTAGAAAGGTACACGATGGAGAATGAAAGTACCCCTGCCCACTGGTCTGCCCTGTCCCATCCTAAAAGTAACTGGTCATCAAAAAAAAAGGCTTTAAATAAATAAAAGAACAGTCTTTCAATTCTGAAAATTGCATTGTCTCTTAAATGCTTAATTTATTCTCAAAGTGTTCTTTCCTGATGATTCTACAATATTCCACAGCTAGTGTCTACTATGGACTCACTGTGGATCTTGTGAAGTTTGGCATTTTCGTCCACCAGGTTAGAGATAAACATGTGCAAAATGCTTGATAAGACAATTCACAAGCAAGAATTTGATCCAAAGGAACTGATAAGATGCTGGAGAAATGTATGAAAAACTCTTCATACTACAGCAGGAAAAAAACTGTAGAACAATTTAACCCGTGGAATTATTGGAAGGAAAGAGGAACTGTCATTATACCCAAGAAAATCTCAGTTGGATATCCAAAGATGTTTTATCATCAGGTAATTTTCAGAAATGCTTGTAAGGCTGAAAAAAATTTACCAAGATCTATTGATACTAATTTTTAGAAAATAACTTAGTAATTCCAGAGGTTTTGCTGCTGGTTTAGCAATTTCATTTCTTTTTCTCTAGCAGCTATGGTGCTATTGGTTGATGAAGAATTACTGATAACAAAGAAAGTCCACAAGGAAAACTGATATTTAAAATACCACAGTTCTAATGTACAGATCATTTTGAGGACTGTCTTAAGTCACAATCCCATTTAACATCTCTTATCATGCTTCTGTGTGATCCTTAAGCATTACTTCTGGATGGCTTCCCTGACCTCCAATACCTACACTGCACCATCCACTCCTGATTCTTAACTCAGTACAGTTGCACTATGTTGAAATTGTTGATTTCCCTTTAGGGTTCCTCACTGCAGGCTGTAAACTACACCTGTCTTAGCCATTTCTTTATTCCTCTCTTTATTCCTCCTAGCATAATGTTTGGATGGAATGATGGATAGATGGATGGATGGAATGATGGATGGATGGGTGGATGGATGATGGATGGGTGAATGCATTGTTACATGAATGAGAAGGTGAAACAATTTCTGTGGGTATTGGGTCTTCCTCTGTAATTTCCTTGAAATTGCTCTACAACTTCTAGAAAAATAAGCTCAGATTGCTTGGTCCTTCCTACAAAACCACAGTGGAATTACAGAGAAGACATCAACATTTCTGCTCGTGATTTATTGTTGTTGTCTGTAGATTTCTCCCCACTCAAAAAAAAATACATATATATGTTTCCAGTTTTTCAGCTTCAGGAGGTCTGGGTGAGGCTCAGGAGTCTGCATTTTAACCAAGCATCTCCAAGGCTCTGATGCCGGTGTTCTGTGGCCACCGCTATAGAAATACCATCTTGCTCAGTGCTTTTCAAACCATTCCTTTGTGATTCACTAGTAAGGTGTGAAAATTCATTTAGGACCAGCATATTTAAAAGAATAAATAGAAGAGAAGGGAGGAGGAAAGGAAGGGAGAGGAAAGCAGTGCAGAGAAAGTGTCAGTGCATGACATGTAGCCAAATAAGTGTCATCCTGTGTAATTTCGTTCCTTTCTCCCCCTCTCTCCCTCTCTCTCTCTCTCTGTGTCTATCTCTCTCTCTCTCCCTCTCTCCCCTTCTCTCTCTTGTCTCTCTCTATCTCTCTGTGTGTGTGTGTGTGTGTATGTATGTTCATGCACATGTGCTGGGTCCCATCATAAGGTGCATTTTATGGGCCATGGTAAAACAATTTGAAAGCTGCCTAGGGCATCCCTTCCTGTTGGCAGGAACGGCATCTGGAAGCCAGGCGTTCCAGTGTTGGCCAGCTCCCACACAATGTGGAATCCCACCTTCCTATTGTATCTTCTTTTCTAGCTGTGCCTCCCATCAGAGCAGTGAATGGCTCTACTCCCTCTTTCCACAGCTTTTCAGAAATTTGAGGAGGGGCAGCATTCTGGGCAGGAGTGGGGGTCTGGGCTGCCTAATCAAGCATCAGAAAGGTGAAGATGGGGCTGCCGCCAGGGCTTGGTGTCAGGGGGCTCTGGTGTGGCAGCAGGAGCTGTCAAAGGGTGAGGGGGAGGGAGTGAAATCCAACATAGAGACCCCCAGCCTAGACATGCAGGGAGGGGACAGGAGTGAGATGGGAGGGGTGGGGGATTCCATCCTGAGTTGACCAGTCACTGTGTCTTGCATGTTTTAGGCATCCACGTATGCAGTCCTTCCTCTCTGTCAGGTGAGACTGGCCCACACTGCACATGAGCTCTTTTCTTCTTCAGACCAAGCACTCTGAGTTTTAATGACATGGTTCTCAATCCCCTCACTGCTCTGGCTGGCTCAATTGATACTCTCTGGTAGATTCTGTTAAAGGTCCCAGCACAGATGTTTTATCTGTTGAATGAAAGACCACTCCAAGGAAAGCAGGCTTATGTGACCCTCTTCCTGCTGGACCCTCTGACTCCTTTAGAGTGTGTTGGTTGTTGCACACTTCATTTCAGCATGTATTTATTGAGCACCTTTTATGTGCAAGATCTAGGAAAATAGAAATGCAAAGAAAGGAACCTTCCCACATAAGACACCAGTCATCTGGCAGAGCAGAATGAGATGTTCAAGGCTAGAAGGCTGCACCAGGCACCCGGGAGGCAGAGATGGATAGCACCTGGCACTTGGGAAGTACTCTGTAATTGTGGTGCTGACGGAACAAACTCAATTCTATAAGAAGCCAGGGCTGTGTTGGGGAGGTCTCCTAGAGAAGATGATATCTGAGCAGGGATTTGATTCTAATCAAACAGTGGAGTGAGAAATTGTCCATGCTTGTGAGTTAGAGTTGATAAAGCTCTGTATGAGAACAAAAGGTCTCTTATGAACTGAAACCCCTGGGGTTTAGTGCTGGAGCTTTGTGATCCTTATTTTAGGTTCTAAGCAGTATGTTCTGCTCCCTTCTAGATTCCAGGTTATATTCCACAGGGCTGAAGCTTTCAGAAAATCTTCTTCAGCGAAGTGGGAGCTTTCTATAGCTAGATTGAGACTATATAGGATGAATCAAGTTTGAACAAGCATCACTCCAAATCTTTAACATGTTTGTATTCTGGATGCCCCCAGAAATGGGGAGATCTTCAAATGCTGAGGCCTCTGCCCACACTTCTGTCTTGCTTTCGGCCTTTCAACCTCTACATAAATGTTCCCATATCTTCTATGGGCAGTGATTTGACAGTCACAAAGTGCAGTGCTAAAACTTAATAAAAAAGTACAGCAATCACATGTGGGTGAGCATAGGACTCCGCAGATATTTGAAACGGCAAGTTAGCGAATCACTGAATTTGTGCTGCATGTAGCGGCTTTCCTATTTGCTCACCTTATATGTCCCAGGTAGTGGGTGCCATCCTCCAGTTATCAACATGTTGTCCCCATGTTCTAGAATAAAATGGATTGGGCAGCCAGATCTGGGGAGAAAACAAAACCAGGATCACAGCTTTAAGTGATTTGAGATCTCAAGTTCAGGTTTGTGGGATGTTTCAGGGACAACTGTGATCCCCTTGACTACACAAGTAAGAGACAAAGAGTAGAACCACCCAGGAAAGAGCAGGAAGCCATGGATTTCTTACTTTTTCATAATAAACCAGGCAGCTAGGAAGCAATCTGTATGTTTAAGGAGCTCCTTTGCCATCACTCTGTTTTAGAAGTCAAGATAGAGCATTATTTGTGGTTATTTTTGTGCCTAACCCTCAGTTTCTGAGTGGTCATCCACAGCTATTCGTTGGATTTTCTCTGAGTAATTTGGGAATTTAAAACCCTCTGGAGTTTGTCATTTCTGTGATTCCTTCATTATTACCTTTAGTGGCCAGATTTTTCATTTATACAAATGGCCAGAAGATCCTCAGAAGGTTACACAGATCACACATAAAAAGCAAAAGCTTCATTCACCAAAAAATAAATTTCTTGTCATTTCCACCAATTTCCAGAAAAAAATATATTTCTTTATCTATTTGGGGGTACAGACTAGAGAAAATTCTATAAATGCCTTCAAAGCCCCAGCTGGAGAAATAAATTGGTATCGCTTTCCAAAATTTATTAATGACAGATTGCATTACAAAATGTAATTAAGATGGTCACACTGAGATCCTCATTATCCTCTGCTCAGCAGTCCCTAGAGTGCCACAGAGGGTCACCCAAGACTCCTCCCTCTTAGATATTAGCATTAGCACCTTATATAAATGAGTCGGCAGAAAATAAAGTCAGAGGGAGCTATGCACCATCCAGAGGGAAAAAATAAAAGTGATCCCGAGTTGGACAGGCAGGATCAGAAGTCCACATGACCTGAAGATAAGAAGAGGGGCTGGAGGGGAAGCAGGTGGGCCGGAGGGAAGCTGTGGTGATGTACAGCCTGCAGCAGCAAGACTCACTGCCAAATGACCAAAAGACTGAGCAGATGTTGACATTACCTGAATGTTCACAATTATAGGCTCCACGTCTTGGTACACAATCTTCACCACTTTTGTGGCCTGCTTGGCATGATCATGTTTGTCAGCAGCCACAGTGCAGAAAATCTGACCCACACAAATCACCTGCAGAAAACACAGACCAATTAACTGCCAGAAGGGAACAAAAATGTGCACCAGTGAGGCCCTTGTCAACCCAGTTGGAACACGCGTTGGGATGATGTGTGTACAGTTGACCTATAGCCTAGAGCGTGGGGCTGGGTTTGAATATGGCTCTGCCACTGCAGGCTATGTGGCCTCAGGCAATTGATTAAAACTATATAAGCCTCAATGTCTTCATCATAAAATTGAGATAACTGTGCCAACTTAACGGGGTTCTTAGTTCCCTTAAATTTGTTCTGAAATAAGGCTTATTGCAAGTAAATAATCTAAGGTCATTAGAAGGACTGCATATGGTGATGTGTATAAAGGCACCTGGAAAATAGTACCAGGGAATAGCAGCTACCATTATTATTAATATGATATAAGAATTTTAGGTGCTATTATCATAATACTTCACCCTGTGCGTATAATCTTTTTCTTTTTTAAAAAACCTTTTATTTTAGGTTTGAGGGTACAAGTGAAGGTTTGTTACATAGGTAAACATGTGTCATGGGAGTTTGTCATACAGATTATTTCATCACTCAGGTATTAAACCTAGTACCCGATAGTTATCTTTTCTGCTCCTCTCCCTCCTCCCACCCACAACCCTCAAGTAGACCCCAGTGTTTGTTCTTTCCTTCGTTGTATTCATAAGCTCTTATCATTTAGCTCCCACTTATAAGTGAGAACATGCGGTATTTGGTTTTCTGTTCCTGTGTTAGCTTGCTAAGGATAATGGCCTCCAGCTCCATCTGTGTTCTCACAAAAGACACGATCTCATTTTTTTTAAGGCTTGCTTAGTATTACATGGTGTATATGTACTACCTTTTATTTATGTAATCTATCATTGATGGGCATTTAGGTTGATTTCATGTCTTTGCTATTGTGGATAGTGCTGCAGTGAACAATCGCATGCATGTGTCTTTATGGTAGAATGATTTATATCCCTCTGGGTATAAGCCCAGCAATGGAATTGCTGGGTTGAATGGTAGTTCTGCTTTTAGCTCTTTGAGGAGTCGCCATACTGCCTTCCACAATGGTTGAACTAATTTACACTCCCACCAACAGTGTATAGGTGTTCCCTTTTCTCTGCAACCTTGCCAGCATCTGTTATTTTTTTACTTTTTAATAGTAGCCATTCTGACTGGTATGAGTTGGTATCTCATTGTGGTTTTAATTTGCATTTCTCTAATCATCAATGATATTGAGCTTTTTTCATATGCTTGTTGGCCACATGTATGTCTTCTTTTGAAAAGTATCTGTGTATGTCATTTGCCCATTTTTTTAAATGAGGTTGTTTATTTTTCTCTTGTAAATTTGTTTAAGTTCCTTACAGATGCTGGATATTAGACCTTTGTCAGTTGCATAGTTTGCCTATATCTTCTCCCATTTTGTAGGTTGTCTGTTTACTCTGTTGATAGTTTCTTTTGCTGTGCAGAAGCTCTTAAGTTTAATTAGATACCACTTGTCAATTTTTGCTTTTGTTATGATTGCTTTTGGTGTTTTTGTCATGAAATCTTTGCCTGTTCCTATGTCTGGGATGGTAGCGCCTAGGTTGTCTTCCAGGCTGCCTTTTTATAGTTTTGGGTTTTATATTTAAGTCTTTAATCCATCTTGAATTGATTTTTGTGTATGGTGTGAGGAAGGGGTCCAGTTTAAATCTTCTGCATATGACTAGCCAGTTATCCCAGCACTATTTATTGAAGGGAGTCTTGTCCTCATTTCTTTTTTTTTCCAGTTTTTGTTGAGGATCAGGTGATCATAGACGTGTGGCCTATTTCTGGGCTCTCTTTTCTGTTCCATTGGTCTATGTGCCTGTTTTTGTACCAGTACCATGCTGTTTTGGTTACTGTAGCCCTGTAATACAGCTTGAAGCTGGGTAATGTGATGTGTCCAGCTTTGTTCTTTTGGCTTAGGATTGCCTTGGCTATTCAGGCTCTTTTTTGATTCTATATGAATTTTAAAATAGTTTTTTTCCTAATTCTGTGAAGAATGTCATTGGTAGTTTGATAGGAATAGCATTGAATCTGTAAATTGCTTTGGGCAGTATAGCCATTTTAATGATATTGATTCTCCCTATCCATGAGCATGAGAAGTTTTTCTATTTGTTTGTGTCTTAATTTCTTTTTGTAATTCTCATTGTAAAGATCTTTCACCTCCCTGGTTAGCTGTTAGGTATTTTATTCTTTTTTCTGGCAATCTTAAATGGGATTGCCTTTCTGGCTCTTGGTCTGCCTGTTTTTGGTTTATAGGAATGCTGGTGGTTTTTGTACATTGATTTTATATCCTGAAACTTTGCTGAAGGTGTTTATCAGCTGAAGGAACTTTTGGGCCATGACTATGGGGTTTTCTAGATATACAATTATGTCATCTGCAAACAGAGATAGTTTAACTTCTTCTCTTCCTATTTGGATGCCCTTTATTTCTTTCTCTTGCCTGATTGCTCTGGCTAGGACTTCCAATACTATGTTGAATAGAAGTGGTGAGAGAGAGCATCCTTGTTTTGTGCCAGTTTTCAAGGGGGAATGCTTCCAGCTTTTGCCCATTTAGTATAATGTCGGCTGTGGGTTTGTCACAGATGGCTCCTATTATTTTGAGGTATATTCCTTCAATACTTAGTTTACTGAGAGAGTTTTTAACATGAAGTGGTGTTGAATTTTATCAAAAGCCTTTTCTGAATCTGTTGAGATAATCATTTGGTTTTTGTCTTTAGTTCTGTTTCTGTGATGAATTACATTTATTGATTTGCATATGTTGAACCTACCTTGCATACCAGGGATGAACCCTACTTGATCATGGTGGATTAGCTTTTTGGTGTGCTGCTGGATTCAGTTTGCAAGTATTTTGTTTGTTTGCAAGTATTTTGCAAGGATTTTTGCCTCAATGTTCATCAGGGATATTGGCTTTTCTTTTTTTGTTATGTCTCCATCAGGTTTTGGTATTAAGATAATGCTGGCCTCATAGAATGAGATGGGGAGGAGTCCCTCGCCTTCAATTTTTTGGAATAGTTTCTGTAAGAATGATACCAGCTCTTCTTTGTACATATGGTAGAATTAAGCTGTGAATCTGTAAGGTCTTGGGCTTTTTCTGGTTGATAGGCTATTTATTTTTGATTCAATGTTGGAGCTCATTATTGGTCTGTTCAGGGAATCAATTTCTTCCTGGTTCAGTCTTGGGAGGGTGTATGTGTTCTGGAACTTATCCATCTCTTCTAGATTTTCCAGTTCATGTGCATAGAGGTGTTCATAGTAGTTTCTGATGGTTGTTTTTATTTCTGTGGGGTCGGTGATAATATTCCCTCCAACTTTTCTAATTGTGTTTATTTTAATATTTTATCTTTTTTCTTTGTTAGTCTAGCTAGTGGTCTATCTTATTAATTTTTTCAAAAAGCCAACTCCTGGATTTGTTGATCTTTTGAATTTTTTTTTTCTGTGTCTTGATTTCCTTCAGTTCAGCTCTGATTTTGGTGATTTTTTGTCTTCCGCTAGCTTTGGGCTTTTTCTGATTTGTTCTTGCGTCTCTAATTCTTTCAGTCGTGATGTTAAGTTGTTAATTTGAGGTCTTTCTAACTTTTTGATGTGGACGTTTAGTGCTATGAATCTCCCTCTTCACTGCCTGATCTGTGTCCCAGAGATTTCTGGTATGCTGTATGTTTGTTCTCATTATTTTCAAAGAACTTTTTGATTTCTGCCTTAATTTCACTATTTACCCAAAAGTCATTCAGGAGTATACTGTTGAATTTCCATGTAATTGCACGGTTTTGAGTGATTTTCGTAGTCTTCATTTCTACTTTTATTGTGCTGTGGTCCAAGAGTGTTTTTGGTTGATTTTGGCTTTTTAACATTTGTTGAGGATTGTTTTATGTACAATTATGTGGTTGATTTTAGAGTATGTGCCATGTGGCAATGAGAAGAATGTATAATCTGTTGTTTTGGGGTGGAGAATTCTGAAAGGTCTATCAGATCCATTTGGTCCAATGTTGAGTTCAGCTCCTGAATATCTTTGTTAATTTTCTGCTTCAGTGATCTGTCTAATACTGTCAGTGGAGTGTTGAAGTCTCCTACTATTATTGTGTGGGAGTCTATGTCTCTTTGTAGGTCTCCAAGAACTTGCTTTATGAATCTGGGTGCTGGGTGCTCCTGTGTTAGGTGCACATATATTTAGGATAGTTAGGTCTTCTTGTTGAATTGAACCATTTACCATTATGTTATTCCCTTCTTTATCGTTTTTAATCTTTATTTGTCTGAAATCTGTTTTGTCTGAACTTAGTATTGCAATCCCTGCTTTTTTCTGTTTTCCATTTGCTTGGTAGATTTTCCTCCATCCCTTTATTTTGAGCCTGAGTATCGTTATGTGTGAGATGGGGTTCTTGAAGACAGCATACCATTGGGTTTTGCTTTTTTATTCAGCTCTTGTGCATATAGTCTTTCTTCTTCATTGCAATTGTTACCAGGAATATCCTGAACTGTTATGGCATCAACTACACCAGGCAATGCCAGGGCCTCAGAGGCGTCAGTGGAATGGGGGAGAGAAGAAACCCTACAGAGATGCCAAGTGTTGCACAGGATAATGTGGCCCTCTTCTAAGTGAATACGCAAACCCTAAGAACCCTGAATATTTCACATGAACGCCACCAGGAGTGCATGAAACCGTGCTAACACTGTGGAAAGTAGAGGACTTTGGTTTTACTGGATGCAGGTCAAAAAGGGGATTCTTTGTAGGGCATTTTGTTAGTCTCCCCTTCCAGGAGAGGTGTACCCTTGGGTTGTTTAATAAACCAAAGCTCAAATGTGACACTCTTAGGAGCTCAGGCTCCTCTGAAGATGAACGCTCAGAAAAAAGGTAGAGAGAATCATAGCTCTTTGGGATGTCACAAGCTAAGGAAGTTGTTCTTACCCCTTTACATTCTGAGATAATAGTGCTCAGCTCCTCAGATACCAGCTCCCTCTCTTGACAGGGGTTTATTTGTCTTTTATCCACTCCCAAGCCTGCAGTTGCCCTTCTGCTTTTTATTTTCTTTTATCAAGATATATGTTGAGATTGTTTTTTTGTGAAATATTTCAATGTATTGAGTTGGGTTAATTGCTAATAGATAATCCTTTGAGTGTCTGCTTTATTATTATTTTGAGATAGGATCTCACTCTGTTGCCCATGTTGGAGTGCGGTGGCATGATCTTGGCTCACTGCAGCCTTGACCACACAGGCTTAAGCGATCCTTCCACCTCAGCCTCCCACAGACGCAAGCCACTACACACGTCTAATTTTTTTTTTTTTTTGTATTTTTGTAGAGATAGGGTTTCACTATGTTTCCCAGGCTGGTCTAAAACCCCCTGGGCTCAAGAGATCTGCCCTCCTTGGCCTCCCAAAGTGCTTGGATTATAAGCGTGAGCCACTGCGTCTGGCTGGTAGGTATTACCAACCCTCAATTCTGTCCATATTTACTTATATGATTTTAGCATGTGGCCTGGTGCTGGTGACCACAGTCAGGAAGAACTCTTCTGCTAGGGCAGGCATGTCATCACAAAATACAGCCTCCCTCACAGCATGTTTAATATCCACCTGAGGCATGATGGGGCATCCCACTGGGGTCTTGGGAAGGGGGCTTCTGGGAATCTACACACTATTTTTAGAAAACAAAGTCAAACACAAAGCAAATCAATCAAGCAGGAGTGTTTATGAGTCGGAAGCATCCGCTAAGAAATGGGCGTGCCTTTCCCTGCTCTACGTGGTGCAGGCCTTTCCAAACTAGTCTGTGTTCAGCCTAAACTGGACTTTTCTTCCTCGTGGTTGATCTACCTGAAGCTAAAGAGGGTAGGTGTGATGAAGATGAGACAGGGCAGGGACTGGGGCATGAGTGAAGATGGATTTTGTGGCAGCTAGCATATGGGGAACTCTGCTTTTCTGAGAAAACCTGAATGTTTTATGAAACAGATCTTACTGAGAGGACACTTGAGGTAAAAGTTTCCCCTATTGGCAAGTGGAAGTCCATGTGCTCTGATTAACACCATCATAAAACTTAGGGGGCTGTGTAGCCAGCCTGTGTGAGATCCCCCTTCAGGCAGGAAGACTGCTGGCCAAGTGTCAGATGGGAAACTGGGAGATGTGAATTATAGCCCTAGTTCTGCCATAAGTAACTTGGGGCAGGAGGTTTTGTTTGCTTGTTTTAAGCACTTTGGGCATCAGTTTCTGAACCTACAAAATGAAGGTACAAGATTAAATTCATGCTTTTCAACACTTTTAACTTGTAAACTAAGATAAGAGAGTTTTCTACTGATCTGGGACTCTATGACTTTGGAGGTCTGGTGAGGATAATCTTTCTCTCCCTCCACTCAGGCAAATGGCGTTAACACATGAGTGAAGCTCTTTAAGGGATGTCAGTTCTTATATTCTGTGATGTCATGTAACCACAGTTACAGTGCCTACTCCTGTCCCTTGAAGATATCTCCCAGTGATCCTGGGGATGAACACCAGGCAGCTTTCCAAATAATAGGGTTTTGTTTTTTTTTTTTCTGCCATCTTGTAAACCTTCTTGGACCAACAACCAGCCCAGCTACAGCAGATCAGCAAGAGAATCAGGCTGTCTGGTTTGGAAAATAAATTTTGACACTGCTCTGTCCTCCCTGTCCTGGTAAGTCCTGGATGTTCAGCAGCAAGTTAGCCTGGGGTCCTGAGGGTCATGTGAATATGGCTATATGTCATGCATGCGACTGTAAGTCCTCCTTCCAGCCACCGTGGTCACCTGCAAAGTCCCTTCCCTCACATTTCCCTGAGGCTTCTTGCTTCCCTTTTGTTATATTTTTGCCCTTCAGGTCTATCTTTAGTTTTACCTTTTATGACATTTTATCAGCATAAAAACAGAGTTATCAATGGAAAATAAACATCTGAAAAAGGTCTAACTTCACTAATTAAAGTAATATAATTCAAATAATGAGAGATAATTTTTCTCTAATTTAGAGAAATTTGTCAAAGATTAGAGGATATGATAACCAGTGTTGCTAAGGCTGTGATGAAAGGGCTGCATTCATACCCAGTTGCTGAGAGTATGGATTGAAACCATCTTCCTAAAGGCCAGTTTTAAGAACCTAAAAAATAGACAGAAATTCCACTTTTAGGAATGTGTTCTAAGGAAATCATCGGAAATATCTGCAGATTTATGTTTTAGAGTATTTACAGAATATTATTTGTCCCCCCAAATGGGGATTGGTTAAATAAGTTATAGCACATCCATTTGAATAAAAAACAAACACATATCCATTAAAAATCCTGTTTTGAAAAATCTTTAGTGTCATAGGAAAATGTTTGTGATATACTATTATCTGAAAAAAAGAATGTAGGATTATATATATAAAATGTGATCTTGAAAAAAATGTGTTTTACACCAGTTAGAATGGCGATCATTAAAAAGTCAGGAAACAACAGGTGCTGGAGTGGATGTGGAGAAACAGGAACACTTTTACACTGTTGGTGGGACTGTAAACTAGTTCAACCATTGTGGAAGTCAGTGTGGCGATTCCTCAGGGATCTAGAACTAGAAATACCATTTGACCCAGCCATCCCATTACTGGGTATATACCCAAAGGATTATAAATCATGCTGCTATAAAGACACATGCACATGTATGTTTATTGCGGCACTATTTACAATAGCAAAGACTTGGAACCAACCCAAATGTCCAACAATGACAGACTGGATTAAGAAAATGTGGCACATATACACCATGGAATACTATGCAGCCATAAAAAAGGATGAGTTCATGTCCTTTGCAGGGAAGTGGATGAAACTGGAAACCATCATTCTCAGCAAACTATCGCAAGGACAAAAAACCAAACACCGCATGTTCTCACTCATAGGTGGGAATTGAACAATGAGAACACTTGGACACAGGAAGGGGAACATCACACACCAGGGACTTTTGTGGGGTGGGAGGAGGGGGGAGGGATAGCATTAGGAGCTATACCTAATGCTAAATGACGAGTTAATGGGTGCAGCACACCAACATGGCAGATGTATACATATGTAACAAACCTGCACATTGTGCACATGTACCCTAAAACTTAAAGTATAATAATAATAAAATAAAAAATGTGTTTTATGTATTCACATATTTATATACACCCTAATAATCCTTAAAATTACAAGGAAGTCTATTAAAATTATAATAGCATGTTAAGAAATATTATCCAAAACTTGGAAAAATAGACAAGATTCACTGAATGGCCTTTCAATGCATTTTGGAACACAGTCTAGCAAGTCCATTCCATGGTTATCTCATTCTCTAAGGGAATGTTCCTTTGTTGAACTTGTTTACTATTGATTGGGGGCTAGACTCTGTGAAGCTACATAAGAACATGTAGATTTTCTTTTCTAGTAAAGAATCAAATTATTTCTGTCCTGTAGGAAGGCAACCTCAAAGGTTACAGTTTTATTACCTGTAAGATATTAACCGGTTTTTTACCTAAACTAGCAACCTTCGTCATTGTGCTGGCATGCCTATATGCTCAGTCTCTCAAATTCACTTTCATCCAGTTTTATCATTTTGCTGGTTCCCTCATTGTCGAGTTAAATAAATCTTTGACATTTGCTTACTTAAGATTTGTATGAGAATCAAGTTTTTAATACAGTATTTAAAAAATACTTTGGCAATGGCCATATATAGCTGGTAGGTTTACAGGAGATTTTGATTTTCTTTTTATATTCTTCTGTATTTGTCGAATGTCCATTAAAGGACATGTTTTACTTTTATAAAAAGAAAGCACAAAAATGTCTGTATGTATATACACATGCATTCTATATTAATTTCTCAGGCTGTACTTTCCCTAACTCTATACCCAGTAACAGGCCAACCTCCCGAAGATGCATAAAGACACCTTTGCCGTTGACCAGGCAGACCCTGCATCCACAGGACATAGAGAGAAAGGTGCTCCCTGAACACTGATCTGGATAAGCATTGCTGGGTCAGTGCAGAGGCGTCCATTTCCCCAGTCTGCCGAGCTGGCCTAAAGCTGAGGACCTCTTAGTGGGAGCTGAGGACATGTGCCTGAAGAGGCAAGCCCTTGACTGATGGAAATTGGAGTCTGAGTTCCATGTGGGGGACTGGGAAGCACAGCAAGGTCTGAAATGGGAGACCCAGGGAAGGGCAGAGAGGACCAAAGGAGGAAGGGGGTCTACAGTGTGGGAAACAGCCTGGACGCAACAGCCGGGGGAGGAGGCCTGCTCTGGCCCCAGTGGCCCCTTGTAAGCAGGAAAGGCAGCTGGCTAGACCTCTTCTGTGTTATTCACTCTGATTTTATCCTTTATCTTCCCCTCCCAACCTCACCTCCTTTCTAACCCCAAAGCCATGCAGCTAATATGACTAAGATTGCTGGGCGTTTGCTTGGAAATGCAAATGAGAATTTCTGGTAGTTTCCTAGTTTCCTTGATCTCCTTTGTCAAGTTTATTGAGGGGAAAGGACTCTCGGTTAAAAAAAAAAAAAAAAGAAAATCCAGATTTTGAACACCAGCTCTCTTTAATGCCAACTTCCTGAGGAGCTGCCCAGCTCTGTAACAACCTGGAACAGAGGCGCCATCACAGACTTGGCTCTGACGGGCGGCACAGCAAGAAGCCTTGCTCGCGTGTGGGACGTGCCCGTTCTGGCCTGGAGAGAGGGCCCAGAGACACCACCTCGCCACCGCCACCTGATTACTCATTGTCACCAATGAGATGACAAGAACTGATGACGCATTTCCCTTTTGCTGCACTCTGACACCTCAGAGACCACAGCAGAGAAAAAGCTGCTTTTGTAAAACTGGAACATGAACTACGCGGACGCCCCAGAGGAGGTCTCTGCTGCCCTCTGTTGCTGGCTTCTTAGTAACCCTAACCATTTTTAAGAATACAGTATTTGGTTTCAGTAACTTTATTACATGAAAAGTATGCTCGGAGGAAAAAATGTGTCAAATTTAATCAGTCGTGGGTACTATCAACATTTTAAATTGTTGCCAATCTAATAGAGGAAAATGGTATCTCATTGCTGTTTTAATTTTCATTTTAAAAATTCTAAGTGAGGCTCAAAATAGTTTATTTTTCCAGTTTCCTGCCAGTGGGTATACTTTTCTTTTTTTGTTTTTTTAATCTTTTTTTATTGATTTAGAAAAGTTTTTGCTGTAAATGCGTTTCTTTTTATACTAATGCTTTTCTCTGTTATATAGTCAAATTTATCAGTCTTTTCTTTATAACTTCCGGCTTTCATGTTCCTTAGGCTATGGATTTTTTTAAATGCATGCATATATTTAGTATAGTTTTTAGTATTTAAAACTTTAATCAATCTGGAATTTATTTTTATTGTAAAGTGGGAAATAGAAGTACAGCTTTATGTTTCTTTGTTTTTAAAATGGCTTGCAAGTTGTACCAATATTCTTCCTTAAATGCTCCATTTTATGGCTTACTTGAAGTGCATTTTTGCTTCTAATGAGACCTGACTTTCTGGCCTATTTCAGGACTTTACATTGTTCTGTTGGTCTGTTTTTCTCCTCCTGTATCAGTACCTATAATGTGTAACTACTAGACATGTATTAATGTAATAGAATACATTTCAATATTATATAGGGCTAGTTTCCCCTCTTGACTATTCTTATTATACATTTTTTATCTTTCTAGATAAACTTTAAAATCAAGTTTTTAAAAGACACTGTTGATGTTTTGATTGGGAATGTGTTATATTTAATTTATAAGAGAAAATTGATACTGTTATATTTTGTGTCCTTGTAGCTAAGGCTTATGTCTTTCCCTTTTAAAATTTGTCTTTTTTTAAAGTTCACCAATAGATTTTAAAAGTTCTTTTCATGTTGGCCCTGCACATATTTTTGTTGATTTTATCCCTAGAGTTATTTTTTGGTTGTTACTATAAACGGGAACTGTTATTCCATTGTATTTTCTGATTATTGCTTGAATACAGCATTTCCACAGCTGATCCTTTCCTAAAAGCTGACACTATGACAGCAGTTGGAAATTAAAAAGGAAAGCCATGGCAAAAGACAGTCACAGCTCCACTTGGCTGTTCTGTTCTTTCAGAAAACGTAGTGACCTCGTATGAGTACATCCCCTGAGGTAGGGTCAAAAGAAAGTCTGTTAGGACACCTAAGAGTTTCTTGGAGATGTCAGGATATCCACCGGGGTTCTGAAGTAAAGATGCTGTCATTATTTTAATATAAATGATCAATTATGAAGATATAGTTGATTGGTATAAAACCATTTTTAAAATCTATATTGCTGCATAGTCTTCAGACTTTTATTTTCATTGCCGTGGGGAAGTTTGTATGAATTAGAGGAGCTCCATGGTTTTCATCCTATAAGGGACTTCAGAAAAATAGCATGAAAGCAAAACTGTGGTAGGGTCAACACACGGTGCTCCTTTATTTGGTTTGAGGTGTAAGTTAATAAATCACCTTCTGATAAGCTGCTGACAGAATTTATTTGCACCAACTGTAGTAGGGCCACCTCCTCCATATAGACACTGAAGTCCACAGTGGTGTTTGTGCCGTCTTTGAAAAGGACTGTCATTCCAGCATTCATAACCGCCAGGGCATTTTGCTGATGTGAGGCCTGTCGGAAAGCTGAAGCAGACTCTCACTGGAATACAACAAGAACGACTTTCTTTTTTCTTCTTCGAGACGGAGTCTCGTTCTGTTGCCCACGCTGGAGGCTGGAGTGCAGTGGCGTGATCTTGGCTCACTGCAACCTCCACCTCCCTGGTTCAAGCAAATTCTCCTGCCTCAGACTCCCCAGTCGCTGGGACTACAGGCATGTGCCACCACGCTCAGCTAATTTTTTGTATTTTTAGTAGAGATGAGGTTTCATCATGTTGGCCAGGCTGGTCTCGAACTCCTTACCTAAGGTGATCCGCCTGCCTCGGCCTCCCAAAATGCTGGGATTACAGGTGTGAGCCACCGCGCCCAGCTGACTTTTTGTTTTAATAAATTTCAAACCTACAGAAAAGTCTCAAGGATGGTACAATAAGTAATAATACCTATATACCCTTCACCTGGATTCACTGATCACCAGCAGTTAACATTATGCCACATACACTCACTCTTGCTGTAGCTAACCCCGGCTACCCCCATCAGATGGTTTTAGCTGAATCACGTAAGAGTTAATTATTGACATCATAACACTTCATCCTTAAATATTGCCTCATGTAACTCCTAAAATACAAGGGCTTTCTCCTACGTAACCTTACCATCATTGTCAGGATAATGAGACTTATTAATGAGTATTGAAACAATAGTGTTGTTTAACATACAGTTCATATTTGAATTTTTCCAATTACACAAATACTGCATTTACGATCTCCCCCATGGGAGCGGTGAAGATGTCATCTTCTTAGCTCTCTTGACTCCTTTACTCTAGGAAAGCTCTCCAGCCTTTTTTGTTGTTCATGACACTGACATTTTGGAGAGTCAGACTAGTTGTTTTGCAGCTTGCTGCTCAATTTGGGTTTATCTGATTCTTTTTTCATAAATTGATTTAGGTTAAACCTAGGGGGTGGCAAGAATGCTCAATGGGTGATAGGGGACAGGACCTGCTGCTTCGTTTTCTTCAACTTCCCACCCGCCCCCACTCCTGGCTGCAGACACCCTCCTGGAAACTCATGAACGTGTCATAGGCACCATTCTCACAATATCATCTGCCTTCTCATTTGGCAAATGTTTCTGAAGTCCTAGCATTCCTAAAATTAACCAGCACAGACTCTGCATATTGGGTTCTGTTGGTCAAGAGCAAGTTATCAGTAGTAAATCTTTGTTAATTTTATTCTTCTAATTTATTCCACCATGCCTCTAAATTATAGCTGGGGCAGGGGGACACCTAGCAATAGTTCTGGTTAATAGTGGCAATCGTCACTATTTATCTGTCCTTGGTGCTCATGTGCTACTCGGTAGAGTGTCAATCAATATCGAATTAGTGAATGATAGTGGGGGAAGGTGTCAACAAAATGAGTGTGCTGCTCTTCTCTTCTGGCAATAGCCATCGCTTTTCATTTATTGGTTGAACTGACCTGGAGCTGAAGAAGAGATTCAATAGTAACATCCACATTTGTTCAAGTTTTCGGTTGGCAAGCAGATATTGCCATTAAACAAAGAGCAAGTCAAAGCCACATTTTGCCCATCAATGAATACACGAACTGCTCATATTGGACCAGAATCTTAGTATGATCACAACTCATTTGGTTCCCTGTACATTTCTCTGAAGTTCTTATTAGTTTGAAGAAAACATTAATCTTGGGCAGTAAAGCCAAAATAAAATATTTTATAGACCGGGCACAGTGGCTCATGCCTGTAATCCCAGCACTTTGGGAGGCCGAGGCGGGCGGATCACGAGGTCAGGAGATCAAGACCATCCTGGCTAAAGTGGTGAAACCCCCTCTCTACTAAAAATACAAAAAATCAGCCAGGCATGGTGGCACATGCCTGTAGTCCCAGCTGCTCGAGAGGCTGAGGCAGGAGAATCGCTTGAACACGGGAGGCAGAGGTTGCAGTGAACCCAGATCGCGTCACTGCACTCCAGCTTGGGCGATAGAGCGAGACTCCATCTCAAAAAAAAAAAAAAAAAGATTTTATAAATAATTCTTTATTCCACTTAACTTCTCTGAGGCTGATGGTGGGTTTTGGTCATGGTTCTGCCACCCATTCACTGTGCAACTTTGTTGAAATAATTAAACATATTTGGGCCCCAATCTCCTCATCTGTACAATAAGGTTATTTATTTCTTTCAAGTATATGACTTGTCATTCCAGGGATCCTAGGTTTTTAGAGCTTTTGAAGAAGAAGGATAAGAGAACGATGCAATGTCCTGAAATTCTCTAATGACACAGATTGACATCTAATCTGTTATTGTTTGCACCTAGGCATATATACAATATTTGCTACAAATTCTACTTTTTATTATGCTGTATTCAATCCAAGATAAAAATAAAGCAACAAAAGCAAACAGATGAAAGTGAACATTTTAAACTTTATAATCTCATATCTTTCTAGAGAGAGGAATAAAAAACAAACTAGGACTTGTTCTGGTTTAAGGCTTGCATTGGTTGCTCCTGCAAGAAAATGACCATTTAGAGGAATTTGCTGTATTTCTTCCACTAGGAAGGAAAAAAAATTTCATTTAAAGATATTATATACTATTGAAACTACTATTATTAAATTTAGGATTTCTTATTCTGAAAATACATGCTAAAATTAAAATTAAATTGAAAAATAGCCACACATAATATCGTGACTATCCCAGATTCTGGTTGTATCCAGATGTATCTGGGAGCCCTGTCTTGGGAAAACAGTCTCCTACCTGTGCTAATGGAGCAGAACTCCTCCAGTTTATGGGGAACATTCTGTCAAGATTACAGTGTGCAACTTACAGGGAAGAATGGTGGGAATCAGTGGGTAAATGTGGTGACAGTGACAGACAGAGGGGTGTGTTGTGGGGAGAGAGATTGTGAGTGATTTTGAAGAGTTGAAATGTCTGGAGAGTGATGGTGATAAAAGCGGATATATTACTCATGAGAATAGTGACATTGGCTGATGAAATACAAATGCCAGCAGTAACATCAATAAATGAAACAACCTTAAAGTCCAGTGATTATTTTAAACCCAAATCCTAAAACATAGCCACACAAATAAATGTTACTCTCTTTGAAATGGCCAGCTTGGGAGAGATTATACATTTGTCTCAATAGTGCTGTCATGACATTGTGGGAACTCTGGGGGATATTCTTTCAGAGTCTGTAGTCTCAGGGGTGATAAATCTTTATCCTTTGAAGGTGAGTTTGATTTTTGGTAAGAGGTCAAAGACATTCAGAAACCAGTTTGACGTGTAAGGCAGTGGGTCAAATTGGCCATCACACTCTTTGGTCAAAAGTCTAGTGAAAAAGAGACTAATTTTTTCTCATGTAGTTTGTAAACCAAGAAGTGTTCTGTTCTGTCTTTTGTTTCACCATGTAGAGTCACTTCCTCAGCCTGGTCCTACTAGAACTTTCCTTTCAAATCAATGTACCTGACAAGGTCTGTATTATTCAATGGGCCCTTGGCACTATGAAGGGTATCTTGTGATTCTCATGAATCCCCTTCAGTGGATTTCACTGTAGTTATACATTTCCCCATAAAAGCTACTTATGAAATTGCGAGATAATAAAAAATACATATAGTGGTCCCTGACCTCAGTTCTTGAGCTCCTAAAACCCTGGTAGGTAGGGGCACTAGAAGAATCTTTGGTTTTAACATTTGGTCTTTGATCTCCAGGCCTGACACAGAGCTCCTAAGACCTTTGTAATTTCCTCAGTGACAGGTACATCTGACACAGAGCTCCTAATCCCTTGGAATTTTCTGGGTGACAGCATCTTCTATCCTAATGAGGTGGTGGTTGGTGGGCTCCTGGTTAGCCTGAGAATGGGGGCTGGTTGCCAAGGGAATCAACCTTGCAGTTAGAGAGTTGGAACTTTTAGCCCACCCCCTGATGCAGAGAGGAGAGAGGCTGAAAGTTGAGTGGCTCACTAAAGACCAATGATGTAATCAATCATGCCTATGAAATTAAGCTTCCATAAAAACCCAGAAGGTCAAGGTTCAGATGAGTGTCTGGATAGCTGAATGCATGGAGGTTCCTGCAGGGTGGCGTGCCCAGGGAGGGCATGGAAGCCCCACACCCCTTCCCACATCCCTTCCTCTATACATCTTTTCCATCTGGCTGTTAACCTGTATCCTTTGTAATATCCTGCATAATAAATGGGTAACTGTAGGTAAAGTGTTTCCCTGAGATCTGCGAGTCACTCTAGAACATTAACCAAACCTAATGTTTGGTTATGGTTTGGTCATGGGAGCCCCCAATTTCTATCCTATAGGTCAGAAGTTGCAGAGGCCTGGATTTGTGATTGGCATCTGAAAAGGAGGGCAGCCTTGTATGACTGAGCCCTCAACCTGTGGGGCCTGACACTGTCTCCAGGTAGGGAGTGTCAGAATTGAGTTAAATTAACTTGGTGTCCACTGGAGAACTGCTTGGTGTGTGAGGAAAAATCCCACACACATCTGACATCAGAAGTGTTCTGGGATGAGTGGTGTGTGAGGGTAGAAAAAAGTATGCTTTTTCCTTCAAAGTACCAAAGTATAAATTTTTAAAAATGTAAATGATCTCTTTAGAACCTAAGCAAACAAGTCCGAGACAAAAAGGAAGCCATAAAGCTGTTAAAATAAAACTGCCTCTAAAATAAAACTCTATGCTTCATTACATTCTAGTCTTGCTTTATAACATTAATCAATTACAAGTGCTTTGTCTCTTGATAGTGACTAGATAAGAAGAAAGACAGATTGAGATGGTTTCACACATGCTTCCTGATCACTTAAAGTGTGTCATATTCATCCACTATCCTGACAATGTCTGTGCTTCCAGTTCTATCCACAGCAAAATGAAAAGTTAGTATGGTAACCAATGATTTAAATAACAGGTTCATATTATTCCACAATTCTGCATTCAATACACTTATAAAACTGACATCAGCACTTCTGAGGGAATTCAGTAGCTCACGTTTTGAAGCAAGGTTGAGTACGCAATTGCCTACACCCAAAGCAGGAATGAGATCAGAAGTTGAAATTCTGCTAACAGTTGACTTCCTAAGGATGAAAATAAAAATTAATCAGCAACCTCAGGGCTTTTATTATGAACACTGAATTAAATAGAGAATGACATTTCTTTTCAGTCTCAGCAATTAGAATAAAAAGTGCCAGCATAAATGAGAGATTTTCTTGCAAATCTTAAAATGTTTTAGAGGAATCACTAATCCCTTTATTTATTGGCGAAACAGAAGTGTGAAGACAAATCGTGAAAATCACTTCCATGCCACCCACTTCTAATTTCTGATTAGGAGAGGACTCCAGTGATTTACATATGAAGAATTTATTTTCCAACTCTGCATGTCTAGCTTGCTTGATAATAGGAAATAGTTAAGGAGAGTAACCCCAGGTGCTTGCAGCTGGTGGTGGGTGGGTGGGGTTAGTAGAGTATATCTGAGAAGAAAGGGAGCAAGGGCTGTTTGGGGTGAGATGTGGAGGGGGAGGCAGGAGCTGAGCCAGAGAGGGTTTGAAAGAGGAGACTAGGCAGCATCCCAGAGACAGCGACATCTGCAGGGTGGGAAAAGTTGATCTCCCAGCCAAGATATCACCACTAAAACCTACCCATGGCTGCAATGCAGATTCAAGGAGCACAGAGGTGACAATATACCGAGAGATTCAGATGTAAGAGGGGGCAGAGGAGAGATGGCTTGTGGGCAACATACCCTGACAACCTTTGATCTGGGGAAGCTGCCTCCTGGAAAAGGCCATTGATGGGGATTTCATCATTGAAGAATTTACTTTGAGTAACAAATTGCAGCTAGAATGACTGAGATGAACCTAGCTGGTTAAAGGCCCTCCCTCCTATAAAGATAGAACTGTTGTAATCAGGCAGCCTAGAATGTGCATGTCACAGGATCCAGAAGAGGCCAGCAGAAACACCAAGCCACAGTAATCAAAGAGGAGGGTGCAGACCGGACCATAGAAACAATCCAGTGATTCTTTCATACAGAGGCATTGAGGGTTAGCAAGGATAATGCTGCTGCTGTTATTTATAGTTGATAATTACATGTATATTTGTAGTCAATATTTTACAGCTATATATCATATATCATAATTGGAATAATACAGAATTACACTGAAAGGTTGAGTTAATTGTGTGGTTCTCATTCATATTTGTTATCAGGTCAATTGTTCTCAATGAACCCATCAGTTATCTCTGTAAGTAACAAGTTAAAGAACCCCTTAGGGAGCTGTTAAAGATAGACATTTCTGGACTGGATAGATTCTCAACAGACAATTGCAGATATGAACCAGGTCATGGGTGGGTGGACCAGGAAGGCAGCACCTCCTCTCTGGCTCCCTATTCTGAAAACTTGGGCATTTAAGTGGCTTATCCACAAGGGTCTGAAATTAGGCAATCTAATATTTCAATCATGTGAAAAACACCAATGGATACAGCAGAAAGTGGTAGAAATCATGAATGATACAACCTTTCCTCACTAAACTACCCACACCCAGATAATTGGTGCAGAAAACCTACTGCCACGTTCCTGATCTATTGTCCAGCCAGGGTTCTCAGATGCTTCAAGAGAGCATGATGTGTCTGTGTGTTCTCTGGGACTTGGGGACCACATCAGCCAGGATGTCCCTCACCTAGGCCAGGCTGAGGCCAGGGTCAGCTCTGAAAGTGAGACACCTTCATTACTATTCTGTAAACCTGGGAAAGAAGAGGGTAAGTCGGAAAGGCCAGAGTAGGCATATAATGCCACCACTCTCTTTCATAAAAGACCCCTTTTTAAATTATTAAATAACACATCTTCATTGTAGACTACCTTGTAAATATAGAAAAGTGAGGAAAAGAGAGTAAACATGATTCAGAATCCCTGAAAAGCAATCAGAACCATTACAGCCATGCTTTGCGCTCTGCTCTAAGGATCAAGAGAGATTTTCCTCATCAGGTGCTGGGTAGCTCCTCTCCCACCATCTCCCCTGCTCTCTGCTCCAGCAACAGGCACTGCCTCCAGTCTCCTGCACAGT
Organism: Homo sapiens; assembly: GCF_000001405.40. NCBI lineage: Eukaryota > Metazoa > Chordata > Mammalia > Primates > Hominidae > Homo > Homo sapiens. Next base: position 200,704,356 of record NC_000002.12, on the reverse strand, counting down.
GTGTGTGCAGTTCCACCCTCCTTACCTGGTAACTCCCCCTTCCTTTCATCTCAGCTGAGAGAAGCCTTCCATAACTGTCCGATAAGTTTGGGTCACCCTATTACCTGCTCCTCTAACATCACATTCCACTCTTTCATAGCACTTGTCACAATTGCAGTTTTGCATTTCATTTGTTTATTTCTTTGATACCTGTCTTACCCATCAGATTATAAGCTTCATGAGAGCAAAGTCCAGGCCTTTTTCTTTAAGTCATTGTATCCTCAGTGCTTAACACCATGCTTGTTTCCTTGTCTAACTTCACCAAGTCCTTCCCATCTTTATGGTTGAGCTTGAATTCCACACCTCTTTCACCGTACGTCCTTTGGCTCTCTTATCTCTATCATTTCCTACTAAATTTGTATCCAGTTCCATGTGATTGGCACTGAATCATTCTCTAGTTGAACCATAATCCTAAGTGACACTATAGGTATATGCTGACCTGCCTGCCTGCTTTTCTGCCTCCCTCAATTCATAAAACAAATCGGAGCACCTACTGTGTGTCAGGCATGTTCTAAGGGCTGAAAGCACAGACATGTTATCCACTGTCAGGAAGTCAACATTCTCTTAGGGGAAGACAGTCATAACCAGACAATTGAATACGTCAGTTGTAATTTCAGATATGATAAGTGCTATGAAGAACCAAAGCTGGGTAATAGGTTGATTGTGAGAACCGGTGCTTGCAAGCAACCCCTGGTAACTCATCATGGTGATTACAAAGCATTGCCGTACCAGCAGCTGTTGCTCAGGACCATTGTTGTGAAACTGAAAAGCCTCAACTAATGAATCTCTACCTTGTGAATTACTTTTCTTTACCTTTCCATCCCATTCTGTATTATGAGTTTGAAAAAAAGAAAATATAAATATGTTTTATATTTATAATTGCTTATGTTTACAGGAACATAATGGTTCAATAGGTAATATACAAATGTTTTTGGAGTCTGTTTCATCAACACATGTGAATTCACTCAGCAGAGGGAGCTCATGCTTTAATTTTGGGAAATTGGACAGAAAAGGCTCTTGTAAAAAGAACCTGAAGTAGGCTTTGTGGCTCTCATTTTAAATAAGACTTGTTCACAGTACTTCTTGAAGCCGAGACCAGTTGCTTAAGAATGGTTTGATTTTCATTTGCATAAACAGATGCGACATTTTGGGGCAGAGTTTTCTTCAATAAGGTTCTGTTTTGCTTACCAAATAGACCAACTTAGACCAGGCATCCCAGCTCAGGAATCTAAGGATTCATCTAGAAAGAAGGTAACTGTCCCTAAGTTACCTACGTCTCTATGGCTTTTCCTATTACACCCTGAACTCAGAACATGCACTTATTTGACCTGTTTTAACATGACTGTGATTTGGCATTGAAAACTTACAAATAGAGGTTTTTGCCCTTTGAGATTATAAAACAGATATTTATTGAGAGTTCAAAGGATGTTCAAAGGATATTAACAACAAGGTGATTTAGGTTCAAAGGCAAAGACTGAGAGAATGAATCAATTTTTCAGATAAAGGGCCAGCACCATGAAGTTGACTCAGCGGTGTTGAAACCGCAGGTAAAATCAGCAACAGAAACCTACGGGGGGTGTGTGTATGTGTGTGTGTGAGTGTGTGTAAACTACAATTTTCCAGTTATTCAGAGAACTATAAAATGACTGAAAAGGCTGTTTTAGGTCAAAGTTTTTCTAGCATTATGCATGCTCTTATTGTGCATTTCTACAAGGAAAAAAGCAACATTTAAAAAACCTACTTTTTATTATCAAAGAGATTCGTTTGTAGAAAATACAGGGAAAAGTGTTGAGGAGCATAACAAACACAAGTTATTTTACTAGTGCTTGCAACTTTACATATACCTTTAAAATTAGTGTATGTAGCATTTAAGCGGGTATCTATTTTTGTCTTTTCCTTTCTTAAAAATCCCAGATTTTCCTCTCTTAAAAATCCCAGATTTTCCTCAATCAAAATTTAAAAGTCACTAAAACTGAGCTAATCCAAAAAAAGTCAATTTTGAATGCATTCCATAGATTGTGGAGAAATATTCCACTAATCATAAAGGAAAATATTTATGTCAAATACACTTATTGCATCACTCTGTAATTATTCCTTTATATAGCCACATTTCCCACAATACTATTAGTTCCTAGGGAAGAATTCATGTTTTTTTCGGGGGGATTGATTTACCAGCAGGTAGCCCAGTGCCTGGTGCCTGGTAAAAGCCTAATTACCTATAAAATTAATAAACAAATGAGTATTTAAAAATAGTTTTATTCCACCTGTACTTTTCACCAAAAAATGTTGATCTAAAGAATTGAGTCCTAAATTGTGGGGAAAACACCCATGCCTCTCCTTGTTGGGTAGCTTTGAAACAATTGTTAAAATTGGTTCTTCTGAGTTAGAGAAGGGAAAACCGAAGGAATACCTGGCGAAGTTCTGTGGCCTGCGAAAACGGTGCTTGCTATTTACCAGGGAACGTGGTAGCTGCTCTCATCTGCTACCGGAGGGAAGAAAAACGCTAAGTACGCCCTGAATCGTGGAGGTAGTTAGAGACAGCTGAAAGACTTCTGGGTGAACAACAAACATTTTGTTGAGCCCCAGCTCTGTGTAGAAAATTGAATCTCAACAGAGGATGTACAGTCTTTACCAGGATTTTCTGAATCTAGCAGACATTCTAAAGATCCTATGTGGTTCAGCATTACAGTGTCAAATATGATTTCCTCCAGCCACATGATCTCATGATTTGCTTAGTGTCAAATAGCCTGAGCTTGCTTTACCAGAACTATCTGCAACATCAGGATCTTGTTACAGTAAATGAGAACGCACCTTCTTGTATGTTAATCACTATAAATAATTCCAAAATCCTTGCAAGATGGATAATAATTGGATGGAAAACTTCTTTGAATTTCATATCAGGCCCTAAAAGACAGAAGGATTATCACTGGTGGGAAATAAATCAGCTAGATTTCATTTTGCAAATCACACTATGATTCAGAAGTGATAATTACAGATCCTAATAAAGTGAAATAAAACTATTACAATTGTGGCTTGTTTTCCTCCTCAGTAATTTCCCCGATATTGGAACTGAGTTTGATCCAAGCAGTAAATCATCTGTGGATTTTTTCACTCTAGAACCCAATAAAAGAAACATCCATTTTATTATTTACTGATGTTTTAAAAGAATGGAAATTTTAGCCTCAGAAAATTTAATTGCATTCTAGAGTTGGAATGAGAGGCCAGATTGCTCTTTATGAGCCAGATGTATTAATTGCATAACGAGTTGGGCACAGGGGGTGAATTTTAATCACCCAGGAATGTATTTTGATTTATGAGTAGATGCTGCAACTTACATCTCCTTTCGCTAATCTAGTTTTTCAGTATACAAAGTGAAAACCTGCTTCCCCATGAACTAAGGTTTCCCATCATAACAGGGGGGTGCTGGGGTACCTAAGTTTCAGCCTCAGAAGATCTTTCTGGGTTCCTGGAGTGATCCAGGTAGTTCTCTCCCCTTGGAAAGTCAGAGACCCCAAAAGAAAATGGGGTCCCAAATGGAGACCCCAAAAGAAAATTCTCTGCCATTCTCTGCAGTAGACAAATGCAGACTTCATGCTGATGTCAATGACAAAACACACACTTTATTACAGCTCACAAACTGAACAAGAATGAATGAAACCCACCATGGATAACAAAACACATAGAATAGTGGCCTAATTGATTCATAATAGAATCCACTGCTTTGCATATTTATTTTTCCATCTCTTACAGCTTAAAAAGAACAAAATGGATTTTAATTAAATCTTGACTTATAAGAATCCTATGTATCAGTGATGAGTTGTCTAATGTCAAATTTCCAACTGAAGAAATAATTATTGACTAAGTTATGAATGAATATAGCACATTACTAGAGAATTAACTATGTGTGCATTTATTGTCAGGCAACCATGTAGGATTGAAAAACACAGAGTACACCAGGAGACCCAGGTTCTAACCATGGCCTGGCCACTAAGTAGCTAGGTGAGTTTAGGAAAATCCTGGAACCTCTCTAGGCCTGGCTTGCTTTATCTGGAAATTAGGTATTTGACTAGATGATATAGAAAGTGCTTTTGGCTCTCAGAGGCCATTGAAGTATGGGCCACTGTGGCTCTTCGACCCCATTGAAGTGTGGAGTAAGGCTAACTATTGTTGGACAGCAGAAATACAGTAAAAACATAGAACATTAGATTAACTGAAGCCGATGGGGACCTTCCTCTCACAGGCCATTATTTTTTCCCAAGCAAGATTGAGGAGTCTCACAGCTACAGTTGAAAACTGGACTTTTCTCAATTAGCAGATGTAGTTAATGGGCAGAATTTCTTCAAAGTTTTCCTCTTCTCTATTTCTCTAAAACCAATGGCTGTGATAGCTGACAATAAAATGAAATGAACAAGTATAAAATAAATATTTATGAGGGCAATTTGCAAATAGTTGACCATGCTTAATTGGATAGCCTTTTTCTTTTTTTTCTTTTCTCTTCTTTTCTTTTTTAATGAGCTCTGTGCTCCCAGTTTTGATTCCATACAGGATCATCTATTAAGGTAATATTTTCTAAGTCTAAAATTGTTACTATTCCACAAGGTCTAATTAAATTTGCCACTATTTTTATAGTGCTCAACAAAGAATATGGCATTCAAGGAAAAGCCTTTGACTTCTGATCACTCCTTCACATTTATTACATGAGTAAATCTGAGAACCACTGATCTAGCTTTACAGAAGAAAAAAACAATGAGGCCCAAAGAGGGAAAGTGAGCTGGCCAAGGTGACACAAATGGTTAATGTGAACAGGACCATGAACCCAAGGGCACCAGGCTTCTTGGCCAGAGTCCTCTGAAACTGAAATAGTCCCACGCACCTGGAAGAAGAATGGTTTAAACAATTTCTGCAAGTTACTAATGAACAAGGGAACCATTTCTCAAGTAGGAATTGAATTGCTTAATTCATCTGAAATTAACTTTGATGATACCCCTGCAAAAATACTTTATGAAAAATTATTTTGTTCATTGTGGGAGCTATTGAGAGGGCAGATCTTTTGGTGGAATTTTCCAGTTTCATAGATGATTTCACTTTGAATGATTTCAACACTGAACAAAAATCATGGTGGAGAGGCTGCTGGAAATTGAGTAATAATTAAAGGCAGATTAGCTACGTGAGAATTGCCTTATCATAAGGTTCTGTAAATGTTGCTGTAAGTTATGTGATTTGCTGGAAAGATGACAGAGAGATGGGAGCCCCTGGGAATGGATTACAACTCTGATTAATGAAATAATGCATGTGTTCCTCTCATCAGGGGAGGCCAACGCTTCTCAAAGTGTAGTCTAGAGATACATAGAGGTCCCCATAAAACCTCCAGGGGCCCCAAAGTCAAAATTATTTTGTAATGAAAGAGATTATTTGCCTTCATCCTTCTCATTCTCCCATGAGTGTACAGAACTTTACAAAGGGTGCTTAACGTGTGTCATCACAACTGGCTGAATGCACAAGCAGATAACACGATTCCAGCTGCCTTCTTTTAAGCCTGTATCACAGAGATTTACAAAAATGTAAAACAATGCCACTCTTCTCACTGGTTTTCCTGTGGAAAAATATAGTTACTTTTCATGAACAATGTTATTTACGCTAATGTGCAATGGGTTTACTCTTGTTACTTTTAAATAAATTAACGAATGAATAAATGTTTAAAATGCTTTTCCAGTTTTAATATCAAATACTACAAATGTCAATATTTAAAATCCACATAAACAAGGCTCTTTGGGGTCCTTAATAATTTTAAGGGTGTAAGCAGCCTGAGACAAAAACGTTGAGAATCACTGTGTTAGGCATTTGTGACACAATGGTGAATGCAGCACTCAACAGTGCCCTCGTGGAGCTGGCTTGAGTTCACAACCTAGGGAGTAAATAGGCAGTCAACTGGGAATGGAAATAGCCTATAGGGGAAGGACAGAGTTCTGTGGGAGCACAGGGTGATCCTCTTGAATTGGAAGGATTGTTTCAGTGAAAGAAATGAAGAAGGCATTCCTTAATCATTGCTTTAGACTTCATCTCTTCCATCTCTTAAACATTCAGCCCCTGCCTTTTAATTTTATTCTCCCCCATCAACATTAATTTATTTATTTTAGTTTAGTTTAATTTAACTTAATTTTATTTTTTGAGACAAAGTCTGGCTCTATTGCCTGCTGGAGTGCAGTGGCACGATCTTGGTTCACTGCAACCTTGACCATCCCAGGCTCCAGAAATCCTCCCATCTCAGCCTCCTGAGTAGCTGGGACTACAGATGTGTGCCACTATGCCGGGCTAATTTTTGTACTTTTTGTAGAGATGGGATTTCACCATGTTTCCCAGGCTGGTCTCAAACTCCTGAGCTCTAGTGATCTGTCTGTCTCCCGCCTCCCAAAGTGCTGGGATTACAGGTATGAGCCACCATGCTTGGCTTACCAACAACATTTAAAACTACACAAGCTCCTTCCACTAATAAAGAAGGCCAAAACCCCAAACTTCGTCCCCAGTTCCCCTCCATCTACTGCCCTTTCCATTGCCTCTCCCTCAGCAAAATTTGCAAAGATTTTGCAAAATTCTTTTTGCATCACAGACTTCATTTCTTTCCTTCTCTATCTTCAACACACTCCTACTGCTTTTGTGAAGATTAACAGCGACATCTGCATCAGTATTTTCAGTTCTCATCCCACTTGGTCTCTCAACACTTGCTGTATTTGACCAATCTCCTTCTATTTTCTTGAGATGAAGTCTTACTCTGTTGCCCAGGCTGGAGTGCAGTGGCGCGATCTTGGCTCACTGCAAACTCCACCTCCTGGGTTCAAGTGATTCTCCTGCCTCAGCCTCCCCAGTAGCTGGGACTATGGGACTACAGGCATGCACCACCATGCCCAGCTAATTTTTTGTATTTTTAGTAGAGAGGGGTTTCACCATGTTGGCCAGGCTGGTCTCGAACTCCTGACCTGAGGTGACCCACCCGCCTTGGCCTCCCAAAGTGCTGGGATTACAGGTCTGAGCCACTGCGCCCGGACCTGACAAATCTCCTTCTTAAACACACTCTTCCACTGCTTCCGGAATACCCCAGTCTTCTGAATCTTGCACCCCCTTGCCACCCTCTCACTCTCAGTCCCTTGGGTCTACTTATTCTAATACCCATTCGTGAGCCTTTGAAATTCCACCGGCTTAGACCCAGGGTCTCTTCTCAACTACACCCTCATCAGTACTCCTGGTTTTGATCTCAATGATCAAATGTAAATTTATACAACCCACCTTGACCTCTCCTCTGAGCTTTCAACTACCTACTTGATACTCCCCTTTGGATTTCTTAAAAGGATCTTAAACTGGTATGTGAAAATCCAGATTCCTGATCTGTCCCCTGAAAGGTGGTTCTACTCCAGAATCCATAACTCAGCCTCTTACTATGTAAATGCTAAGTCTAGGAGTCACTCCTGACCCTCCTTCTTGTCACCCTTTCCTGGGCCACTGTGGTAACCATCTGTTACCCTGCATTCACTTGTGTTCCTCCCAATCTTTTCTCCATACAACAGCCAGAGGGATCTTTCACAGTAGTAAATATGATATGACTTTCCCCCATTCAAAGTCCTTTAATGGCTCCCCCTTACCTGTGCAAAAAATTCCTGCCCATCCAATCTGAATTAAAGTCCCACCTCCTGGCCTCCACCTTCCTTTCCAGCCTCCTACTATGGGGTGAATGTGGGTGTCATAGTCAACTCTCTAACATGACATGTCCTTATCATTTGGAATTGCTTGATTTCTTTTTAATTCCCACATTCTGCAAAGCCACAGACCAATGCACATGACTTTTACTTTGCCTAGAATTCCCTCTCCATGTCCCATTTATTCTCCTTCGTCACATCTTGATAACATGTGTTTATAATTGAAGTTTATCTCCAGCTTAACTCTTTGTGAAGCCTCCCTGAATGCTCACCGTGTCCTAACTCTTGCTCTCCGCTATACTCCCAGAGCCTGGGTCGCAAGTCCCATGTATAACCCTCTTCATGTTCTGCTGCTGGTGGTTACTGACAGGTCTGTCTGTCTCCTCATTGGCCTGTGAGCTCCTTAGGGGCAACTGGTTTGTCATTCCTGTATCCCAAGTGGCCAGCTCAGTGCCTGGCACTTGGAAGTCTCCTAAAAGAAGTTTGTGAAACAAATACGGGTGAGTCCAAGGAATGCCTGAGGGAAATATTCAGAAAATAAAAGAAAAGGGGGCAGTTAAATGCTGTCAATCTGTGCGGAGCTGCTCTGGGAGACAGGAAGGCTGTTACCGCACTTACCTACTCATCACGCGCATCCTGGCTTTTCCTTCTGGCTTCATAAAGGTGCTTGTGTGGCAGAATGGACTGTGCGAAGGTCCTGCCCTGGACCAGAGGGAGAGGAGTTCCATGAGGTGAAATATAAGGGAAAAGGTGCGTCCACCTGGGGCCAAGTCTGGGATGAAAAATGCTTTTCATAGGTTCCTGAGGGTGACAGTTGTACAAAGGCCTCCTTGGGGGCAGAAGGTGGCAAAGGCACAGCTGCAGATGGGCTGATGAGACTGTTTATTCCCTCGCAGTTGGCATAAAAGCAGAAGTAAATCAAAAGAAAGAACATAACCGTTAGTTCAGATGGAAATAGCAAGTTCCTGGGTTGGGTCTACAGGCTGACATTCTTCTTTCTTATACGATTTGGTACAAATCATAAGGGAAAAAATTAATGTTTCAATTTTTCAGTAAAAACAAAGTCAAAGTTTGATGAGTGTCATGATTGTTAACAGCCTACTGTTGAGTTTCTCCTCTCTGGTGGGCCTGGACTGGGTACTGGGGACACAGGGTGCTGAGAGACAGCCCAGCCCTGCAATTGCATTCTGGCTGGAGAAGGCCGGGGGTGGGAGGAGCGGAAGGAAACTGGCAGCTGTTAAGTAGCTGCTCTGTACTGGCAGCTGGAGACAGATGAACTGCAAGGAGGGGTGGCAGGAGCTGAGCATCAAGGAGTGGTACAAACACAAGCTCCCCAGGAAGCCAGGGAGTAAAGGGCTGCAGAGGCTCCTCCGGGGGAGCTTGTTCTTACTTACTTTTCTATTGGTGTCAGAAGCATCCAGCGTTGCTTCAAGGAGGCCATTCCTGGTATTGCCCTTAGACCCTGGGTCACTGGGTCCTGTGGCCCTCTCTCACCATTCCCATCCCTCAGGAGCAAGGGAGGGAGGAGGGAGAGGACAGGGAATGGAACCAGCACAGAATCAGATGGGAAGCTGTTCCCTGGGTGTAGAAAGAAGTCAAGCAGATCCTCTTGGCGACACAGGGGAGGCTAGTAGGAGACTGGGGAGAGGCAGACAGGACTGTGGAAAGTCTTCAAAGCAGGCCTCAGATTTGAGACAGAATTCTGGGGCCTGGGAGAGTTACTCTGAGTTTCTGAACCAATATTTCTAGAAGATGAATTTGACTGTGGTATGTAGTAGTTCCCAATTCCAGGCCTGCTGACTGGTCGCATCCATGACCTGGGGAGGTTTGTAAAAGTTCAGAGCTTGTCCTGGGCCATACTACAGGTGGTTCTAATCCAGTAAAATGGAGGGGAATCTCAGGCAAAAACATCTTGAAGAAGCTTCCTAAGCAATTCTGGGAAATTTGAGACCCTGCTATGAGTTAGGTTGCATGGGAGGTGTTGGAAGGAAGGTGACCGTATAGAGAATCTGTTGTAATAATTGCAGTGTAATTGAAGATGGTCTGGACTCAGGGAGTGCAAGTGCAGAGGACAAGGGACAGATGAGCCTGCAGACCGCTACATGAGCCCAGCATCAAGCCTTGGCTCTAGGGGAGAAAAAGCAAAAGGGTACCAATAGCATTAATATGGAAGTCAGGAGAGAGTTGTTTAGTGGAGTAAGGTGAGGGTTACGATGAACTCAGAACCAGGTATGTAAGGGAAGGGTCAGAAAAGAGAGCAGAAGTAGAAATGGATTCAGAAAACATATGGAGATGTCACCTGGAGTCTCAGGAATGGATGAGTCATTAGGTGAAGAAAGTGCATGCAGATAATTTAGCTACAAAGGAAACAGGGAGGATGAATGCAGAGAGCGAGTGGGAATGAAAGCAGCTGCATCTATGGGAAGGGCTGTCTCATAGATGAGGGACAGGTCTACCCAGGGTTAGCCCATATGTGGAAGTGGCAGGACAGCAGATCTCAGCTTAAAGTAAGAAATGGCTTCTAACAGATCTGCCGAGAACCTCCCAAGCCAGCTCTGACTGTCAGCTGGTACAGTTTACCAGTTCTATTGGGACTTCAGCATGATTAGTTGATGCGTTGCAGGGAGGTGAAGTAGGGAAAATAATAGCTGAAGAATGAGTAATGTTTAAATTAAGTACCATACTAGGTTTTTTTGTAATGTCATTTTTTATGCCTCTGAGAGATGAGGCCCCCATCCTGGAGTTTGTTCTTATTTACATTTCTATTGGTGTCAGAGGCATCAAATGTTGCTTCCAGGAGCCCATTCCCAGTATTGCCCTTTGGCCCTAGGTTGCTGGGCCCCCTGTCACCATGCCCATCTCCAAGGAGCAAGGAGACCCCAGGGTTAAGGGACATTCCACCAACAGCCTGTACCCCATCGCTGAGCCACAGGCTGTTGGCACTCATGGCCTCAGAATTTCCTTCCCAAAAGGCCCGAAATCTACTTCCACAGCCCACGTGGGCCTCTGCTGCAGTCTCTCCTCCCAGAGAGGACAGATACCCATCTAGAAGCTCACCCCTAGGCCTGAGCTGTGGCCAAGGGGCAGCTGTTTGGGGAATGGATGGAGCTTGGACAGGTGAGTTGGGTGTTCAATCTGTGATGCCAGCAATGTGGAACAGAACTGGGGTGGGAAGAGAAGAGAATGAGATGTCTTCTCCTTATATTCTTGCTTTGCGCTTGCAAATGCTGGGGGGAGGCCTGACCCTCCTGTAACTCCAGGCCGTGATATTTGATGTCCACTGGGTAAACAGTCTATACCAGTCTTTAAAGTCCCCCCTACCCTTTCAAATATAACTAGGAATCAAGCAAATTTGGATTCTAGAGGGAATTGTATTTCTGCTGTAATTACTGTACCATCCATAGGAATTTCTTTTTGTTTAAACTTTTTTTGCATATGATTATAAAATTAATGCATGTTCATGTAAAAACATCATGTAGAATTGCTGAAAAATCTACAGAAGGGAATAAAATTACTTCATATGAAGTAGAGATAACCACTATCAATGTTATGTGTATTTCCGTCCACTCTTTATAATTGCTCTGTATATATGAGATTATACTATGCTTATACATTTTTTCTATAAATCTGGTATCAGAGTGCTCAATTTTTAAATTTTTTCACTTCAAACCATTTTTATTTTCAAATTCTTTAAATATTGCACAAAAGAGATTTTCCAAGATAGTATAAATTCCAATCACATGGTTATGCCATGAAATACTTAAGCAATCCCCTATTGTTGGACATTTAGTTTATCTCTAATTTTTTTGTAATTATAAGTAACATTGTGACAAATATCTATGTATATAATAAATATTTGACTTACCTTCAATTACTCCCCTAGAGTAGATTCCTGGTGGTGAAATTGCTGGGTCAAAGAATGTATACACAGAAATTTTAAATTTCTTGGACATTTTCTAATTTCTACAGCTTTTGTGAGCCATCTCTTGCCAAAGTTGGCTCTAAGGACAATTCTGAACATCAGTTACCAGGAAAAACTGGCATTCAATAAGCAATTATTATGTGCAGTCACTGTACTTGGAACTTTCAGCACCTCATTTATGTCTATGATTTAGCCTTCCCAACAATTTCCTTGAAATATTATCCCAGTTATACCAAGGAGGAAATTAAACTGGAGCTGGAAAGTTACAGAGCTAGGATTCAAGCTAGGTTCCATCTTGCCAAGGCTGGTGTCACCATGCTGGTGCCATGTTTGAATAATTACTATATCTTGCAGGCCCTGTATGTGGGGTCCTTTTCTCCCAGATAGACTTGGGTTTGCAGCGATTGGGGGAAAACGGAAGGAAAGGAATAGAAGGACTGAGAGAAAGATAATTGTTCTTAGAACTCCAAAAGCCTCTTGCACCAACACCCCAAGCCCCAATAGTCAGGGGTTCATCGAAATAGATCAAAGGGCTGCGCAGAGGCCAGACAGTATGTGGTCAGCATGATATTTTGTGTTTTACAGACATGATATAATTTACACTTTATAGTCATAATCCCATTTTACAGATAGAGAAACAAAGGTTTAAAAAAGGTTTCCATGATAGTGGAATCAGAATTTGAGGCTATGCATTCTGATAATGGAGTTCATGGTCATAAAACAGGTAAAAGAGGGCAGAAAAAGAAAGACTTATACTTGCTTTGTTCTTAGGGCCTGCTTTTCTCTTGATCCAAGCAACATTTACCTTCCCCATTCATTTGGCAGCAAAATGAACTCTATAGAAGAAAACAAGAATGGAAAAATCAGAGAATCCTGGAGTTGTAAAATACCACTAGAGGTGATGATGATGATGATGATTATGGTGGTGGTGGTGGCAGCAGTGGTGGTGTGCTATGGTTCAGAGACTAGGGAGGAGCAGGGAGCAGGTTACCCCAGGGAGGACTGAAAACCCTGGTGCCCCTGGCGCCTCCTAAGTTAGAACGATATCCACTGAGTTGCCACCAAGTCACAGGGATTTGGCTCCACTGAAGAATTCTTCAGTGGAGAAGCTATGGCCCCTCCATTTATTTCAGTCTGGGAATCTAGCATTGGTCTTTTCTCCATGCTTATCTGACCCAGTGATCTAGCCAATAAAATAGATTCAAATAATCTTTAAAGCCACAGGGAAACTGGAAATGAAATACAATCATCCCTCAGTATCTGTGGGGGATTGGTTCCAGGACCACTCACAGATACCAAAATCTGCAGATGCTCAAGTGTCCTATATAAAATGGAATAGTATTTTCATGTAACCTACACACATCCTCCTGAATACTTTAAATAATCTCTAGATTCCTTTTACTACCTAATACAATGGAAATGTTATGTAAACAGTTGTTATACTGTATTATTTTACAGTTTTTTTTTTTGACAGAATCTTACTCTGTTGCCCAGGCTGGAGTGCAGTGGCATGATCACAGCCTACTGCAACCTCCGTCTCTCTGGCTGAAGCGATCCTCCCACCTCAGCCTCACAAGTAACTGGGACTACAGGTGCATGCCACCATGCCTGGCTATTTTTTTGTAGAGATGGGGTTTCACCATGTTGCCCAGGCTACTCTCAAACTCCTGAGCTCAAGTGAACCACTTGCCAAGACCTCCCAAAAAGCTAGAATTACAGGCGTGAGCCACTGCACCTGGCCTTGTATGGTTATTGTTATTTTTTTCTTACATATGTTTGATCTGTGGCTGGTTGAATCCAAGGATGTGGAACCCACAGATAAGAAGGGCTGACTGTATAGGTGATGATGGAAGGTACCAAATAATTTCAAATTATGAATGAATGAATTGAATTGAATTGAAAAATGATCAAATAAACAAATAGATCTCATTGTAATTTGTCTTACTTCTCCAGCTCAGGTAGTTAGTTGTCATAATATTTATAACTGCTATGCAGAATAATAATTATTTGACATCAATTATTCATGTCAATTTTGTTTACATGGCTCTCTAGTCTCTATTCTTTAACCTTTCTTTTAGACATACAGTCATGTGTTGCTTCAGGATAGGGATATGTTCAGAGAAATGTGTTAGGTGATTTTGTCATTGTGGGGTCATAGAATGTACTTATGCAAACTTCCATGGTAGAGCCTACTACACAGCGAGGCTGGATGGTACAGCCTATTGTTCCTAGGCTGCAAACCTGTACAGCATGGTAGTATCCTGAATACTGTAGGCAATTGTAATGTGATGGTAAGTATTTGTGTGTTTAAACATAGAAAAGGCACAGTAAAAATACAGTATTATAATCTTATGGGACCACCATCATATATGCTGCCTTTCATTGGCCAAAACGTCTTATGGAGCCCATAGTTGTATTATTTGCATGTCCCCTTTGTTATTCTCTTTCTCACTTTTCCACATTCTTTTAACAATATAGGAATCTAAACATCTCTGGGTATATAATCTCTGCAGTTTGTAATGTATCTTTTCAATAAAAAGTTTGTATTTTTAAAATTAATGATTCCATATAGTCTTTCTTAGCTACTTCCTATAGGGTTGTTTTTTTTTTCAGTTAAGTATAATAAAAAAAATTTGGTCTTTGTCCCCAGTTGGTTGTTGGCACAGAGCTTTCAAAACACTTGGAATTTTCTGAGTTATAGGGGTGTCTTTTGTTATTCATGACAAGCCTCTGGGTCACATCTGAGTTTATGCTAATGAGACATCTTAGGATAGGGCCCCTACGTGGATGGCCTCAGGATGACTCTGGTGAGCAGAGAGACCAAGTGATTGGAGGGTCTTCCACCCACCTGTCTCTGAGGGAACAGCGGGGATGGAGATAAAGCTCTATACAAACCCTTGAACAAGGAGATTTATGACCTTCTGGGTTGGTGAATGCATCCACATGACAGGAGGCTGGTGCACCTCAACTCCACCGAGACAGGAGCTCCTACACCCAGGACCCTTCTGGACCTTGCTTTATGTACCTTTCATAGTGCATTCTTCTGTGTCCTTGACAATATCTTTATAATAAACCAGTAAATGTTAAGTAAAGTGTTTACCTGAGTTCTGTGAGCCATTCTAGCAAATTACCAAACCCAAGGAGGAGTTCGTGGGAACCTCCAATTTATAGCTGGTAGGTTAGAAATATAGGAGGCCCAGACTTGCGATTGGCATGTGATGTAGGGGATCTTGTGAGACTGAGCCCTTAATTTGTGGGAGCTGCCACTAACTCCTGGTAGATAGGGTCAGAATTGGATTAAACTGTAGGATACCAGCTGGTGTCTGGAGATTGGAGAATTTGTTGGTGTGGAAAAAAACCACACACATCTGGTGTCAGAAGTGTTTGTGTGAGAGTGTGGAGAAATTATGTGTTTTTCAGAGCGTGGGATGTGGAGGAAGTGGGCAGAGGAAGGTCTGAATCTAATGCTCTATGATTGCTACACATTGCTGAATGGCTACTGATTCCACGCAGCATAAAAGATGAAAATGTTCCTTCTCTCTTCCCCATCTACCATGAGTACTAATCAAAGATGGAAGCACATTCCAAGAGGACATAGGGATTTATTTCACAAAAATGTTTAACTTTGGTGGTGACTCAACAAAAAGTGCTGCTGAAATGGCAGCATGAGAAATAGACTGTTTTCCTATCAACAAAACAAGATGTAAGGAAGATGGCCTAATTCGTTTTCACTTGAAATATGCTATTTTATAAACTTCAGTTTCAAAAAGCCATTGAGGTGCCACCTGTCTGTGTTTCTGAGAAAAATACCTAGTTACCATCACTGAGTTGGGTAAAATGTGAACCATTTTTCTCTAAGACACAATATTGTGCTTTCCTTGAAAACCAATCCTGCATAATGCACATGATGATTTGTGACTTAATCCAGAACTGTTGGCTCTGCAGCTATCAGTTGTTTCATACTCACAAGACTGAAACTTTTCCCACTATCCACAATGGGTCTCTGTCCAGTACAGCAGCATAAATTACCTGGGAAGAAGGAAATACACAATGTTTTGACCCAAAGACCCCTGACATCTCTGCCCTGACAGGTCTCCCTTGTTTATAGGTAGGTCTCGCATCACTCCTTCCCCCCAAATCATATTAAAAATCTCAGTTGTTTTTCAAGACTGAACTAGTGTTATCAGATGGCATTTAGGATTCAGTTCTTGCACTCTTGGCAAGGGTGAGGAGAAAGGACAAAAGACAGAGGGATTCCCACAGTGGGTACAAGTCACATGCTAGAGATGTGTACACCTTGTGACCAGAGGCACTGACTGCTTTTGTTCCAGACTATCTTTTCAAGGATGCTTGTATAACAAACAGTGTTGGAAGATAAAGACAGTGTCTCCCTGCAGAAGAATAAGCAAGAATGTTTACTGTCCAGTAGAATAAATAATGTCACCTTCTGGGAGGCTTACCACCCATTATGAAAGATTTGAGCTGTCTAAGTTCAGGGTTCCTCTCCTGTAATGAAACTCATTGCATGAGTGGGCATCAGCTGGTCCTCTTCACGTTACCTTGTGGGAATTGGGGATCAGGGAGCTGATGCAATCTACTGCTCTAGCTATGTTGTTGCTGAGAGTAATCAAGTCTTTTGTCTCTGACCCAGGAGCTTTGTGTCTTCTGTTGGCATCCATCAAACTGTGACAGGCTAAGTTGTTAGCTTGTAAGTAGGGTAAAATCTCAGGCCTTTTCCAGTTTTTGATAGCAGTGGATGGTATTGAAATATCTTATAATATTGAAAAGACTGACCCTGACACAGAGGTAGTATTTCTTAGAAAGATTGAAAAAGCATGTTTGGAAGCACGGCTCCTGGGTCTAATCAGGATGTCATTGTATCATCATTACTTCTCTATCTTTTTAGGCTAGCGGTTCTCACGCAGACCCTCAAAGTCATAAATGAATATATACACAACACTTTGCACAACACTTTGTGGGTTCATGGACCCATTAAAGATATTAATTATACCTGAATCAGAACCCCTGGTCAGGACTGATTCTCCTTAAAGTTAAGGACCACATGCCTACTGCTAATAACACAATAGGCACTCAATTAATGTTTATAGAGTGGTGCATGAATACATTAAAGAAAGAAAGAAGTTAGGATACTAAAAATGTACATAGATGAAACTAAAATATGAAACCAAAGAGGACACTAGTTATATTGGGGAAAAAAGAATAACAATAAAGGAAGTCTCAGTAATTCTCCAGAGAAAATGACAAGAAAAATGGTCTTGGGAAAATAACTAGTTTTGATGAGATGGTTAAGAACATGAATTCTATGACCAAATTACCAGGGTGCAGCTTCTGACTCTTCCACTTGCCAGTTGTACAACATTGGGCTGTAACTTCACCATTTTGTACTTCAGTTTCTTCATCTACACAATTAGCATATAGTACTTAACAGAGAATAGTGTCTGGTACATGGAAAATACTCAATAAAATTAGCTGTCATTGTGGTGTCTAGATATCAAAGCATAGGCTATAGGTGATAAAAGAGGAGGATTTGAAATTTTGGTGCAATGAAGCTACTCATGTCTAATACTCACCACCAACACCTAGAGAGATGAGATTCAATATCAGAATCTGGCAATGAAGAAGGAAGGAAGGGAAAAAAGAAAGAAGGAAAAGGAAGGAAGGAAGAAAGGAAGGGAGGGAGGGAGGGAGGAAGGAAGGAAAGGAAAGAAGGAAGGAAGGAAGGAAGGAAGGAAAGAAAACCAACACAGGAGGCAGGAACTGCATGATCATAAAACATACTTTTTTTTGAGTCATTGCCAGGTTTATTTACTTATTTGTTTAATTTTTTTTAATTTTTATTTTAAATTCAGCATACATGTTCAGGTTTGTTACATAGGTAAAGTTGTGTCATGGGGGTTTGTTGTACAGATTATTTCATTACTCAGGTATTAAGCCCAGTACCCATTAGTTATTTCTTCTGATCCTCTCCCTCTACCCTCCAATAGGCCCCATTGTGCGTTGTTCCCCTCTATGTGTCCGTGTGTTCTCATCATTTAGCTTCCACTTATAAGTAAGTAAGAACCTGTGGTATTTGCTTTTCTGTTCCTGCATTAGTTTCCTAAGGATAATGGCCTCCAGCTCCATCCATGTTCCTGCAAGGGACATGATCTTCTTCTTTTTTGTGGCTGCATAGCTTTCCATGTTGTAAAAATACATACTTTTATTTATAAGTGGAAATCCAGGAAATTTACAGGAAAGAAGGAGGTAGAGATCATTTGGGTAAGAGCCTAAAGAGAAACAAACAGCCAGAAATTTGCCTAAGGCTCTCTTGTGCACACATTCTGGGCCACAATGCTTGCTGAAGGTAATTGTCCAGACATACTATTCCTTTTCTAACTTTTTTTTTTTTTGAGACAGAGTATTTCTCTGTCACCCAGGCTGGTGTGCAGTGGTGTGATCTCAGCTCACTGCAACCTTCGCCTCCCGCGTTCAAGTTATTCTTGTGCCTCAGCCTTCCAAGTAGCTGGGATTACAGGTGCGCACCGCCATGCCTGGCTAATTTTTGTATTTTTTGTATAGATGGAGTTTCACCATGTTGGCTAGGCTGGTGGTCTTGAATTCCTGACCTCAAGCGATCTGCCTGCCTTGGCCTCCAAAGCGCTAGGATTACAGGCGTGAGCCACAGTGCCCAGCCTTCCTTGGCTTTTGATATCTGCCTCAGTTTTTAGCAAAATGCTGAGATTTTCTTCTTGTTTATTGAACCCAGCTTCCTCTTTGACTCTTGGATCTGTTTGAACACCTAGTTTCAAAGCATCTCCTGCAGCCCTAGTGTGGGACTCCTTCATACTTCCATCTCCATCTTACCCATTGAACCAATCTTTAACTCCCAGTGGGGGTTGGACAACACAGGCTATCAGGTCCAATAAAAGGTATGGGTGGGGTATCTCTGAAGCAAATTACAAAATTGGAACAGAAGGATACAGCTGGAAAAGGATCCTTCAACCACCCTTCTTGAAAAAGAGGGGCTAAAAAATTCTTTTATGTCTCAAAAGTCAGGGGAATCAATGAGAGGAATGGCTGCCAAGTTAACCGCAAACTCTGTGATGTGAAAGTGACAGAAAGTTGGGGTACGGGGTCCTCGGTTTTGCTCTACAGGGCTGTGGGCTGTGAAAAGCCAATTTTGGAAGGTACATAGCAGCAATGGGACCTCTCCCATTGGCCAGAAACTACAAAAAGAGAATATAGCACAAAAGGCATAAGAAGCACTCAGAAATGAAATTTGGAGGATACAAGTGTAAATGAAGAAGAAATAAGAAGGCTATACTCAGATTGGTCTCTGATTAGTAAAAACAAAGAAAGATGAATAAATGATGAAAGCCATGGGACAAAACTGGAGATGAAGGGAAACGTGTGACACAGAGCAGTGTCAAGAGGCTAAACATCAAATTGAGATAGATTTTGTGGAAAATACTATCAACAACAAAATGCATCAAACAGAGAACACATACACAGCTCAAGGAAGATGGAATAATGTTAATAGATGTCAGAGGGAAGACGAAACTCATTCCTATTTTTGCCTCTGTATTTCTCACAAATGAATGCTTGGTGAACCTAAAGCATCAGACAAGCACAGTTAAAAGAGACTTGAAGCCGAAGATATGTGGAGATTTTAAGAGAGCATTTAGCCTCTTTAAATTTGCTCAAGGGGTCAGAGTAACAAGATGAACTATGTCCAATGACTGTGAAATAATTTGTAAGTGGGACTGTGAAACCATGGTCAGTAAGCTTTTTGAGATATCATG
Source organism: Homo sapiens (assembly GCF_000001405.40). NCBI lineage: Eukaryota > Metazoa > Chordata > Mammalia > Primates > Hominidae > Homo > Homo sapiens. Next base: position 200,684,905 of record NC_000002.12, on the reverse strand, counting down.
ATAAACCAAAGTGATGCCAGAACACTGGAGACAGGCAACCATTGATCCTGGTTTTCAAAAAGATGGGTTATAAAGCGAGGTTGACTTCATTCCCTCTCCTCCCCCTCCCCCTCCCCCTCTCCCTCTCCTCCCCCCTCCCCCTCCCCCTCCCCCTCTCCCTCCCCCTCCCCCTCCCCCTCTCCCTCACGGTCTCCCTCTGATGCCGAGCCAAAGCTGGACGGTACTGCTGCCATCTCGGCTCACTGCAACCTCCCTGCCTGATTCTCCTGCCTCAGCCTGCCGAGTGCCGCCACGCCTGACTGGTTTTCGTTTTTTTTTGGTGGAGACGGGGTTTCGCTGTGTTGGCCGGGCTGGTCTCCAGCTCCTAACCGCGAGTGATCCGCCAGCCTCGGCCTCCCGAGGTGCCGGGATTGCAGACGGAGTCTCGTTCACTCAGTGCTCAATGGTGCCCAGGCTGGAGTGCAGTGGCGTGATCTCGGCTCGCTACAACCACCTCCCAGCCGCCTGCCTTGGCCTCCCAAAGAGCCGAGATTGCAGCCTCTGCCCGGCCGCCACCCCGTCTGGGAAGTGAGGAGCGTCTCTGCTTGGCCACCCATCGTCTGGGATATGAGGAGCCCCTCTGCCTGGCTGTCCAGTCTGGAAAGTGAGGAGCGTCTCTGCCCGGCCGCCATCCCATCTAGGAAGCGAGGAGCGCCTCTTCCCCGCCGCCATCACATCTAGGAAGTGAGGAGCGTCTCTGCCCGGCCGCCCATCGTCTGAGATGTGGGAAGCACCTCTGCCCTGCCGCCCTGTCTGGGATGTGAGGAGCGTCTCTGCCCGGCCGCTCCGTCTGAGAAGTGAGGAAACCCTCTGCCTGGCAACCGCCCCGTCTGAGAAGTGAGGAGCCCCTCCGTCCGGCAACCACCCCGTCTGGGAAGTGAGGAGCGTCTCCGCCCGGCAGCCGCCCCGTCCGGGAGGGAGGTGGGGGGGGTCAGCCCCCCGCCCGGCCAGCCGCCCCGGGAGGTGAGGGGCTCCTCTGCCCGGCCGCCCCTACTGGGAAGTGAGGACCCCTCTGCCCGGCCAGCCGCCCCGTCCGGGAGGGAGGTGGGGGGGTCAGCCCCCCGCCCGGCCAGCCGCCCCGTCCGGGAGGTGAGGGGCTCCTCTGCCCGGCCGCCCCTACTGGGAAGTGAGGAGCCCCTCTGCCCGGCCAGTCGCCCCGTCCAGGAGGGAGGTGGGGGGGTCAGCCCCCCGCCCGGCCAGCCGCCCAGTCCGGGAGGGAGGTGGGGGGTCAGCCCCCCGCCTGGCCAGCCGCCCCGTCCGGGAGGTGAGGGGCGCCTCTGCCCGGCCGCCCCTACTGGGAAGTGAGGAGCCCCTCTGCCCGGCCAGCCGCCCCGCCCGGGAGGGAGGTGGGGGGTCAGCCCCCCGCCTGGCCAGCCGCCCCGTCCGGGAGGTGAGGGGCGCCTCTGCCCGGCCGCCCCTACTGGGAAGTGAGGACCCCTCTGCCCGGCCAGCCGCCCCGTCCGGGAGGGAGGTGGGGGGGACAGCCCCCCGCCCGGCCAGCCGCCCTATCCAGGAGGTGAGGGGCGCCTCTGCCCGGCCGCCCCTACTGGGAAGTGAGGAGCCCCTCTGCCTGGCCAGCCGCCCCGTCCGGGAGAGTGGTGGGGGGGTCAGCCCCCCGCCCGGCCAGCCGCCCCATCCGGGAGGTGAGGGGCGCTTCTGCCCGGCCGCCCCTACTGGGAAGTGAGGAGCCCCTCTGCCCGGCCACCACCCCGTCTGGGAGGTGTGCCCAGCGGCTCATTGGGGATGGGCCATGATGACAATGGCGGTTTTGTGGAATAGAAAGGCGGGAAGGGTGGGGAAAAAATTGAGAAATCGCATGGTTGCCGGGTCTGTGTGGATAGAAGTAGACATGGGAGACTTTTCATTTTGTTCTGTACTAAGAAAAATTCTTCTGCCTTGGGATCCTGTTGATCTGTGACCTTATCCCCAACCCTGTGCTCTCTGAAACATGTGCTGTGTCCACTCAGGGTTAAATGGATTAAGGGCGGTGCAAGATGTGCTTTGTTAAACAGATGCTTGAAGGCAGCATGCTCGTTAAGAGTCATCACCACTCCCTAATCTTAAGTACCCAGGGACACAAACACTGCGGAAGGCCGCAGGGTCCTCTGCCTAGGAAAACCAGAGACCTTTGTTCACTTGTTTATCTGCTGACCTTCCCTCCACTATTGTCCTATGACCCTGCCAAATCCCCCTCTGCGAGAAACACCCAAGAATGATCAATAAAAAATAAATAAATAAATAAATAAATAAATAAATAAAATAAAAAAAAAAATAAAGCGAGGTTGACTTCATTCTCAAGCAATTTTCTGAATCTATTCTGGAATGGATTATTGACAACAGGGCCTAGGAATGATGGCTCCTAAGAGGAGATTGGGTACCTCAAGAACGTTATTTTTTCCCAAAAGGGAACATTCATTCCCTTTTGGGAAAAAAATTCTAGACTGAGACTCTGATCAATGTCATAGACACATTGCATGGGGATTCAAGGGGCATTTGACTCACCTGTGGTCCTCTGTGGAAAGGATATAGGAACGTAAATGCATATCACAGAAAGGCTTGTACTTAATTAAGCAACAGTTCAATGTTAAGTGTTGATTTTCTCATAGTTCTCTGCTTGGCTTATTCTGTTCAATATTTTAGTCAATAACTTATATAAAAACAGCAGGCAGTGTTTATCAGATTTGTAAATAGCAGCATAAAAATTTAAAAGTATCTTGACAGGATAGAATGCATATGTGAAATTTAATCAGAATAAAAAAGTTTCTGAAAGGACAAAACAGTGGAAATATCATTTTTAAAGTCTTAAGCCATTTTAATTACATGCAAGTTTATGAGTCGTAGTGTTTTTTCCCAATTCCTAAGAGTCTATGATTTCATAAGCATTAATAACACTTCAGTAACAATTGCAGCAACAACCATAGCAAATAATAAAAAAAAAAACCCCAAAAGGTCACAGCTTCTTTTGGCTAGCTCTAAATACATAATTAAAAGATTTTAGAGTCGTAATATTTCCAAATACCATTCCAGTAACATTGGAATTGCATCAAAGACACCCACACAAAGACTGTTTCAATAAGCATATGCTACCCAAATATATATTACATTAAAATTACCAGAAACAACTGATATGGTGCCAAGAATGTAACAGTCATGTGGAAAATTGACTTTACTTTCTGGCTCACTGCCTCAGTTTCCCTTCCTGCTAAGTAGGAATGGATAATTCTTGCCCACACTACTCAAGAGGTGTGAATCATAAAGATCAATCAATAAATTTTTTTGAGCCTTTTGGCCTGATCCCTTGGATGAAAATGCTCCAGCATCTCTGCTCCTCTTGGAAGGACAATACTCTTCTACAGTTGAAGAGGTTAGAGACTTACCACTCAAGATTTCCATTAATTGCTCTGTGGAGAGTTCTGGGTGGCTCCTCAGGACAGTGTAGATGGTCATCACCATTTCCAGGGTGCAGAACCCACACTGGGGGCTGTGGGCTTTAGCAATTCCTTCGTAAAAGCAAAGGACACAGGGCTCCAGGTGGAAAGTTTAGAGGTAAGAGTCTCTCAGAAATGAAACAGAGGCCTCTGATTGGTACAACTACAGGTAGGTCCAGAGCCTGTCAGGTAGCAGCTGGAAGTGCCATGATTGTTCACATTTCGGATGCCAATGGAGGCTTTCTGGAAAAAAACTCCATTGAGGCAGTTGGGAAAGGAAGTCCTCAATGTCAGCCTAGTGCATCACTTCAAGGGCAGAGTTTAGATTTAACCAAGACCACAGACATAGGGATTACCTACTTTTATTGTGTTCTCTCCCCATTCTGCTCCCACTTGCCCCTCCTCCTGAAAGGAAGTTAAATTGGAGGGACTTATTGCCAAGGCTTCCCTCCACAAAGAGAGCTCCAGCTTTTCCACTTCACACTTTTTGTTCTGACCTGGGAGGGTAACTGGCGTTTTCTTCACTTTAGGGCATTTTTACTAATGTATCTTCAGTATGTAAGTTTAAAAATCTTATAAAAACTTGGCCCTGGCTGGGTATATGGTGGCTCACACCTCTAATCCCAGCATTTTGGGAGGCTGAGGCAGTTGGATCACCTGAGGTCAGGAGTTTGAGACCAGCCTGGCTAACATGGCGAAACCCCATCTCTACTAAAAATGCAAAAATAAGCTGAGAATGGTGGCACACACCTGTAATCCCAGCTACTCATGAGGCTGAGGCAGGAGAATTGCTTGAACCTGGGAGGCGGAGGTTGCAGTGAGCCAAGATCGCACCACTGCACTCCAGCCTGGGCAACAGAGCAAGATTCTGCCTCAAAACAAAAACAAAAACAAAAACAAAAACCTTGGCCCTGAGACAAACACACACTGTTGTGTGCCTCTGATGTAGTGAGAGGATTCCTGGGGGCCAAAGAACCAGCAGGCTAGTGACCTTCCTCCCCTGTGACCTTTGACTCAGTGATTTGCCAACAACCTTCATGGAATACAAATTCCTTGTGATGGGAGAGGGTATTTTTAGAGTAAGACATAATCTTTATATCCAAAGGTTTATAACTTGGTTTGGTGTGGGGTGCTCAACATATATTGTCATTTTTTCTTCTTATTTTCTGCCTCCTGTATCAACATCTATAGTCTTGACCAAAGACTATTACATAGCAACAAGCCAAATTAAACATTCAGGTCACAAAACTATTCTTTCTGGCTAGAATTATCAGCATGACTATTTACACAGACCAAACATAGAATACGCGTCCTTGTTTTTCTCATTTTATTTTATTATCTTAATTTTTATTTATTTTTAGAGATGAAGTCTTGCTCTGTCACTCAGGCTGGAGTATGGTGACCCGATCATAGCTCACTGCAGCCTCAAACTCTTGGGCTTGTGATCCTCCCATCTTAGCCTCCCCTGTAGCTAGGATAACAGGCACACACCACTATGCCCAGCTGAGTTGTTTATTTTTTTATAGATGGGGCCTTGCTATGTTGCCCAGGCAGGTCTTGAACTCCTTGGCTCAAGCGATCCTCCCACCTCGGCCTCCCAAAGTGCCAGGATTACAGGTGTGCACCACTGTGCCCAATCCTTTTTCTTATTTTATTATAGGAACCATAATAGATGTGAATCATCCCTTTTTTATGTCTTTGTGGCAGGACTCAAAGCATTCCTAGGGAGAAATTCCTCCCTGAGGCAATGAGATGGTCTGAAGTGACAGACTCGGGGGGGGGCGTCACTACCTCATCGCCACCTCCTCCACATTTTTATGGAAGTGTAATAAGCCTCAAATAGTAATCAATAAAGCTGCAGAAGGAAAAAGGAAATTAAGAATGGGTAATATTTCTTCTTGTAAAGGAGACAGAGACCTTCACCTGCCATCTGTGTCCTCTGAAACCATAAGCGATCACCCAGACAACGAGAGAGAAGCTACCTAAACCCATTGTTATCCTCAAATGTGCTCTTACCTGAACTGGGTGAATCCTGGGTTAGGTGTTTCCTACACCTTCTCTGGTGGTGACGGCAGCTCTACAGAAAAAGGAGGCGGGCACCAGGCAAGCGGTGACAGAGAAGTGACTTCAGAGTTTACACAGTAAAGCCAAAAAGAATTGGCACAGTGACAGCAGCAGTGTTAAAAAAGAAAAAGAAAATATGTATTTAGATGATTATAATAGTAATTACTTTGATATGAATATAATTAATTGAGTGAGTGTTAGAGCTGGGCCATGACATAAATGATCTTGAATGTATAATAGTATGGCTACCTAAAAATAAAGAGTCTACTACTTGGAATTAAGAAAGCCATTTTTCTTTCCAAACTATCTTGTTAAAATTAAAAATCTCAGGAATTGAAATGGTTTCTAGTTGTTCCTATGCCCATTTCAGTTTGTTGGTTGTGATGGTTGGTCAGATAATTAACACATTACCCTTCAAACAATCTCTAGTATGATTTTATAAAAAGCCTGGAAGGTGTGGGGAAGAAGTTAAATGAGACCAACTGGAAGGCAAGTCATTCAATAACTTCACCAGAGTGTAAGCTGTACAAGGGCAGGTAATTATTTGACCAGCCATCACACTGACAAACTGAAATGATGCATGACAGAAGGAAAATGTTCTGTAAGTGCAAGAGAAATTGCAGTATCCAGAGGTTTTTTTTTTTTTTTTAATTTGCTTTGCTTTCTTAAACAAACAAAAAGATATGATATTTTCTTAGAAAAAACAGTAAAGTTACTTCAGGGTCTGAATTTATCTCAATGACCTCCACAGAGGAATTGATTATATAGATTGAGTCAGTTTTCCTGTGGCCCATTATTTCTGAATAGTAAGAATCATTTAAAATAGGTTGGTTGATCTTATTTCCTTGGCTTGATTAAACATCTCTTTAGCAATTACAGAGTTACATGACGCTGTACTGTATTTGACTTTCTTTTGGCAGGACAAATATTTGGCTTTGTTTCAGAGGATAACCAACAAGAATTTGCATTGTAACACAACCCTGGCTTGAAGAAAATAATAAAAATTTATGAAATATTGGGTAGCTATACACTTTTAAAATTCTTGCATTCACAGTTCAATAAAAGAATGGAGACTTGAACTAAGGGTTTTAATTCTCATCACCACTTGCAAAACATACTCTTTGTTCTTTGATCAAATTTGAAAAGTTAAGTAAGCAAGACCTTGGCAGCAGTAGACAAATAGCATTCTTTTGGTATCCACAGGAAAACATTCGTACAATCCACTAGCACCTCCCTTTAACAGAGAAATTCTAGAAGAGTTGCCATCTCCCTAGTGGAGGAAATACGAAGCAGTAGAAAAAAACCAAACTTTGGGAGCAGTCAGATGAAAGCCAGGGTCCCTCTAGTGCTTGTTAATTGAGGGATCTTTGGGAGATTCTTTGGGAGCAGTTGAATGAAAGCCAGGGTCCCTCTAGTGCTTGCTAATTGAGGGATCTTGGGCACGTTACATAACCACTCTGAGCCTCCACTTCTTTTCATAGCCGCACGTGGAGTGTGCGACATGCAGGGCGGGTATGCTCGGTTTCAACTTTATCTCTTCCTCTTGGCCAACGATGCTAAAAACAAGGATATTGGGCTGCACATCAGGCACGGTGTCAAGGACAATGAAAAACAAGGAGCACCAATTCTAGTCATAGATGATGCCTTAGCTAAATCTCAAGCACTCGGAGCAAAGTGGGCCCAGACAATTGTTTGGCCCATTCACTTAAATGATTTAAGAATTCCCTGCATAAAGGACAACATGTTAAAATGTCAGTGAACTGTGAAGTTTATTCCTGGCTTTCTGGATGACTTCTCTTCCATTCTTGCTAGTCAAAAGTTTTGTAATTATTTGCAAATGATGGGAAGATTTGAGACCCTTAATTCGTATGTGTTTGTGTGTGGTGGCAATGGTGGTGGTGGGACAAGAGCTGAAGGAGGCAGAGCTGTGGGAGGAAGTGGGGAGGAAGAGAGAGATGCAAGAAAGATCCTAGCAAAGAGAAGTCAATGCCTGATGGCTTGGATGAATACAGGTGCAATTACAAAATGTGGTCTGAAGTTATCAACACAATCGCTTTGCATCTGGTAATCCTGACACCTTTACATGCATTACAGAGATTCTGTCTGTCTCTTTCTCCACCTCCCTCTCCTTTCCTCCTTTTTCCCTCCCTCCCTCCTTCTCTCCTCCCCTTCCCTAAGAACCCTAAGGACTACAGATACAGATTGTTATAGGTTTGTCACAGTCACACAGCAAATCAGCAACTCACACACAAGTCACCTGAACCTAGGATCGTCTTGGCAAACATTAATAAAAGATTGCTTCTATCATGGTTTCTTTCTTTATATGAATTTATTAATAATGTAGAAAACTTACTGTTCTTCCATTCACATACAAACAAACCAAGTTCATCTGACGCCTTGGAATGTGACATTATGCCACCAGCATTGGCTGAATCTTGTGAAGTTGTATCAAAAGCACCTGTTCCTGTGTCCGCCTGACAGGCTTGCCATGTGCTCCCTGGAAGAGGATGAATAGTGGATGAAGCAGCTTCCGGGGCCATTTGTATCTGCTTCCTGAGTGTGTTCCTCCAACCAGCTCCTGTCTGTCTATGTTCCCAACCCTCTTGTCTCCCCGCCTTGCTCTGTTACCCCCACTTTCCTCCTCCTTTAAGCCAACCTGGAACTTTCATGGCAATTCAGCCCTTACATAATGTATATTTCTCCTTGCCATGGGGACAACCCACTGGAATAAGCTATCTTCTTCTTCTTCTTCTTCTTCTTTTTTTTTTTTTTTTTGAGATGTAGTCTCACTCTGTCACCCAGGCTGGAGTGCAATGGTGTGATCTCGGCTCACTGCAATCTCTGCCTCCTGGGTTCAAGTGATTCTCCTGCCTCAGCCTCCCAAGTAGCTGGGATTACAGGCACACGCCACCAGGCCCGACTAATTTTTGTATTTTTAGTAGAGACGGGGTTTCACCATGTTAGCCAGGATGGTCTCAAACTCCTGGCCTGAAGAGATCTGCCCACCTCGGCCTCCCAAAGTGTTGGGATTACAGGCATGAGTCACTGCACCCGGCCTTAAACCATCTTCTTAAAGCAGCAACACGAAGCTGCTTTAGTCAGTGACATGGAGCTAAATCATGCTATATTTGCAAATGAACTACATTCAGGGGAGTTTCTTGATGGTAAATGTACTTTTTTTCATAATTTGTTTTTAAATTACAAATAGAAGGCTTATTTTAAAAAAACATAAAAGTATATAAAGCAAAAAGTGAAAATCCTCTATCCCAGTGTTTACTTCGCAAAGGAAACTAGTATCAGATTCCTGTGCGTCTGTACAGAATTTTCCCATGCACATATACATAGATACATACATGCATACATAATTTTTGATAGTTTCTAAAAAGTGAACTCAAACTATTCATGCTATTTTAAAATTTTCTTTTTTTCAAGTTATAGGTTGGTGCAAAGGTAATTGCAGTATTTGCCATTACTTTCAATGGCAAAAAGTGCAATTACCTTTGCACCAACCTAATACTTAGGTTCTCCATGCCTCAATTGCTTTCTGTAAAATAGTCAAAATAACAGTATCTCCCTTGGGGCTGTTGTGAAGTAAAGTGCTTAAAACAGTTCCTGGCACATAGGAAGGTAAGCTGTCAGTAAATGTTAACTATTTGTATTATTGCCATAAATTATTAGTCATCTATTGATTTACATTACATTGTTTTTAATTTTTCACTATTATAAATAATGCTGCCATGAAAATCCTTGGACTTCACCTTTGGACATTTGAGCAAGTATTTCTGTTGGACAAATTCCTGGAGTTGGAATTCCTGGGTTGAAGGCTATGCACATTGCTGAATCCAACTAAATCACCTTCTAAAATGTGTTCCTTAATATAACAAATCATGTACACAGCCTTCTCCAGCTCTGAGCATTATCCCTACTGTCCAGTTTTCCAGGATGTGGGAGAAATGACAGTTCATAGTAGGCATTTCTCTAGTTTGGTGAGGTTATCCATCTTGCTAGACAATTAGTGAGTATTTGTACTTATTCTTCTCTCCTTTGATTATTTTTCCCTAGTAGGTTTTTTATTTATCTATCTGTAGAATTTTATTATATACAATAGGTACCAACCATTCTCTGTTATAAATGCCCAGCTATCCTCTGCCAGTATGAACCACCCACTGGGGACATAACATCATACAGAGTGCTCATTTTCAAGCATCCTGCGTCCTGGAGGAGGGAGCCCATCCTCTAGCTGGCATTCCAGCTGTGCCTGCGCGAGGTTGTTTCATTGCTCTGTCAGAACAGCTGTTCCAAGCAGGATAGCGTCTGATGTGACCAGCAGGTTCCACAGTCATGCACTCACTCCCAGGCTGCTGTGAAGCAGATCCCCTTACTTTGCTGTAAATTGCCCCGGCGTGATGTTACATGGGATCTTATGATGATTAATGTAATACTGTGTAAGCCCTTAGATAGTGGTGATGGCTAAGATCTTGCAGGCAGGAAAGGCAAACCTCTACCCAGAAAACGTTAAAGTGAATCATTGCCCCTTCCCGAATGGAAAGGGTTCAGTGTAGTCAATTTGCCACCAAATGGCCAGTTGGTCTCCTGGAGGGATGGTGTCAAATTGAGGACCAGTTTTGGTCTGTGTTGGAAGCAGATTGGATGTTCAGCATCAGCATCAGCTACATGGCAAGTGGAAGCCCATGCTGTCGGGCCCGTGCAAGGCCTCCATCCCTGACACCATTGGGTGAGCACTGACTGGGGTGATGGATGACAGAGTTGGCTAATGTCACATGGCCATCTCATTTGGTCCACTTAATTGTTTAGCAAATCTTTCACAGTGGGAGCTTCCTGCTGGGTGTTAACCTGTGATACAAAAATCTTCACATATCATGCCACTTCCATATGCCCATTCATATGCCATCTTGTCCCCAGTCTTGTAATATCACCCCCCCCACCCAGGCCCTTGACCAGCTGGCCAAACCATTTGTTCCATATATATCCTAACCTTGGGTTGCACCACTCCTGTTTTCCACATAATGTGGATAATCAGTGTGCTCCCCAAAGCCCTGCCTATTGGGAAAATTTCCCCTTGCCACCTCTAAGAGGGTCTATACTGCCAACACTGCATATCTGGATTGTACCCAAGTATGGAGCCAACCCTCTTGTGAACCCAGCTCTGTCTTTTTCCTTCTGCATCAGCTTAAGGACCCCTCCACTCTGCCTAGCAGCTCTAGGTGTGAGTTGAGGGAGAGACGCTGAAGCACCGGCGTGGGCCACTGTGTCTGGGGTACCTGCTTCTGCTGCTGGCTTGTTCCTCCCGCTCCTGCTCCTGCTTGGTTCTGGATGTTCTGCTTCCTTCTTACTGTATAGCTTTTGCTTGCCTGATCTTACGACTTGTGTTTTCACAAGATCCTCAAGTTACTTTTGTGCCTGTAACTGCAGAGCAGTACTGGATAGTGGCAGTCAGACCCAAGGAGGGGTAAAAGTGATAGAACCCTCCAGACAGAGGACACAGGCAAAGGCTCCAGAGTGAGAGCTACAACAGGAAACCCAGACAGGAAAAGGGAAGGGAACATGAGCCAACGCTGGAGAGACAGGCTGGGGCTAGATAACCTAGGCTGCAGATGCCATCTTAGGGATTTGGGACATGTTCTGCTGAGATGAATAGGAAGCAATTGAAGGGTTTTAGGCAAGAGTGTAACATGATGATTTTGTGTGTGCATGTGCATGTGTGTGTGCCCACAAATTCATGTATATCTTTGGCTTCAATGTGAGAATGGTTGGAAGGAAAGCAAAATGAATGCAGGGAAATCAGGAGGGGATTATTGCAATAGTCAGGGGAGAAATGAAGGTGGCTTGGAGTAACATAGAGGCTATGGAAATAAAGAGAGGGAGAGGCAGATTCAGGAACTGTCTTTGATGTGGGATTGACAGGATTTCGTGCCTGAATAGATGTGTGCGCAAAGAGAACAGAGCACCTCAGATCATTTCCCGTTTCCGGCCTAGCAACCTGTGGATGGCTGTACAGAAAAGGAGATCTGCTTGGGACGTTTGAAGTGCCTTTGAGACATCCAAGTGGCAATGAAAAGCAAGAGTTGGGTTTACAGAGCCAGAGCTTAAGCAAGAGAGTTACCTCCAGCCATGGGAGTAAAGGCAGCCACCCACCAGGCAGAGAGACTGGGAAAGAGGGCCCATGGCTGTCTCGAGAATTCCAACATTTACAGAGGTGGGCTGGAGGGGGAGGAGTTGGCAAAGGGACAGAAAGGAGGCATCTACCCTCGACTTTTGCCCTCCCACGACCTGCATCAGCACAGCATCCAGGATAATCCTTTGCAACAGAAGCAAGTCCATGTCACTTTTCTGCTCTGCAGCCACTTAGATTAAAAGCTCAAGTCCTTATAGCGGCCTCCAGGTTCTACATGGCTGCCCCCGTCCCTGGCTCTGTGCTAGCCACATGGGCCCCACTGCTGCTCCACAAACGGGCCAGGCACACTTGCTTGCAAGAGACTCTGCTCTAATGCCTTGTCTCCCCAGTAATGCTCTTCCTCCAGATACCTGCTTAGCTCACAGCCTCCATTCTCATTTCCTCAGGAGGGCTTTCTCTGACCTATTCTAACCACAACCTGCCACCTGCTCCATCACTCTCCATTGGCCTTAACCTGCTCCACTTCTACTTCTTCCCTTAGCACTCAAGCATCAACCATACTCCTGTAATTTACTTATTATTTTTAAAATTTTTCTGCCTGCCCTTACCAAAATAGGATCTTCCCAAGGACAGGGATCTCTGTCTATTTTGTTTGCTGATAAATCTCAAGTGCCTAGTACAGTGCCTGGCACAGAGTAAAATGCTCTATAAATACTTGTGGTATAAATGAGAAAATCTGCTCTTAAAGGCAGAGATCCATGTGACTTCTCTCTGCTCTTAACGGAAATGGCGTTTTTCCTTGACTATGCCTTGCTATTTAGCCTCCCTTTGAGGCTTCCATGTTTTTGGAAAGCCATTGATTGGGACAGGCTTCTTGATTCTCACAACTTCTCAATCTTTCCCACATTTTCTGTTTCTCTCCACAGATACTTTTTTAAAAATTGAGGTATAATTCACATACCATAAAACTCACCTTTATAAAATTACAATTCAGTGGTTTTTAGTATATTCACACGTTGTAAAATTATCACCACTCATTCTAGAACATTTTTCTCACCCCGAAAAGGAATCCCATATCCATTAGCAGTCTGTGGTCCCAGCAGCCTCTGGTAGCCATTAATCTACTTTGTGTCTGTGAATTTGCCTGTTCTGGACATTTTGTATAGATGGAATCATATAATATGCAGCCTTTTGTGCCTGGCTTCTTTCATTTAGACAATGTTTTCAAGGTTCATCCATGTTGTCACATGTAATAGTGCTTTTTTTTTATATGGCCAAATAAAACTCTCTTGTGTGGATATACCACATTTTATTAGTTGATGGAAATTTGAGTTGTTTCCACTTCTGGGATACTATGAATAATGCTATGAACAGTTATGTATACATTTTTGGGTGAATATATGTTTTAAATTCTCTTGGGTATATACCTAAGATTATGGTAATTCTATGTTTAACTTCTATGTTAACTATGTTTAACTCCTTGAGGAAATGCTAAACTATTTTCCACAGTATCTACACCATTCTACACTGCCCCCTGCAATGGATAAGTGTTCCCATTTTTCCCTATCCTAGCCAATACTTACTGCTGTCCATCATTTTGATTACAATCATCCTACTGCATATAAAATGGTGGCTCATTGTGGTTTTGATTTGCATTTCCTTAATGACTAATGAGTTTGAGCATATTTTTAATGCTTACTAGCCATTTATATATCTTCTTTGGAGATACATCTACTCAAATCCTTTGCCCATTAAAAAATTTTATTGATACATAATATTTATGCATGTGATATTTTGTTACATACACAGAATGTTAAATGATCAAGTCAGAGTAGTTAGGGTAAAAACTAAAAATAGAACTACCATACCATCCAGCAATTCTTTTGCCTATTTTTAAATTACTTGCCTTTTATTGAGTTGTAAGAGCTCTTTATGTATCTGGTTACAAGACTTTTATCAAATATATGATTTACAAATATTTTATCCTATTCTGTGGGTTTCCTTTCAATTTCTTGATAGTAACTTTTAAAGCTTTTGGGTTTTCATGAAAACTTTGGTGAAAGTTCGCTATTTTTTCTTTGGTCCCACTTAGATACAGTGTCTATATTCATTCTGACAAGAGGAAGGTGATAGCAGAAAAGGACAAATGAAAAAATGACAACTTCACAGTTCATATTAGTAATGAAATTATTTAGAAAATTGCCTTTCACTATATGGTATAATTTCTGTTGGTGGATAGAAGCCAAGTAGGAGTCACATGCAAGTCATCACCTATTCCATTTAGCTGGATGGATTGAAGAGACAGAGTAATGACGGATATCACCCTAGAGGAAACCAATTAGTGTTTATAACATTGAAAATGATTTATAGATTGCTTAAGCATATCTATCAAATCTAAATGGAATACTTTAAATCAGCTCCATAGAAAAGCAACACTGTGGGATGATTTCTGAACTGTGGAAACTCTGTCTTTCAGATCTAGCATCTTCCAGCACAGAGATAGGACAGATTGCCATCTGGGAAGAGGCACTCTGTTTTCTCCAGAAGTTTGCATTTGATTCAGATGGGTACATTCCAAGGAACGTAGGATCCAGGTTCATCTCTCGGAATCTAAAATAAAAACAAATCTGGATGTTCAAACCTGGGAAATGTTTGTGACTTAGGTGAAAAATAGAAGAACATAAAGTAGGTTAAACACCAGCAGAGGGCAACCAGGGCCATGACAGGTCAGGGAACAACAGCCTGTGAAGTATAGAGGAAGCCAGGGGAGGACTGGAGAGGTCCTGGGGTTATCATCTCACGCTTGAAGACCACCCAGTGAAAAGTGGAGTGGGTCTCTGTTTCTCCAGAGTAGAAAAAGCAACGTGTCAGGGGCTTAGGGAAAACCATGAAGGATACCACAAAGAGCCAGTGTGAGTGGAGGATGGGAGGGGCTTTCCCTTCAGTCAAAGTCAGGGTGGTAACTGTGAACAGTATGACTTTCTTCCACAATTAAAAACCCTGTCCCTGAAAATATCCAAGGAGGGTAGAGATGTCTGCTCGGCATGGGCGCTGTTGCCAGAGGGGAGGGGTTCCTGCTAGCATACTTTCCGGGTGCCCGTTTGGGGTTGGGGTGGAGGCAGACTGTCAGAGGGGCCTATATTCCTGGACTGGGTGTCCTAGGTTCAGGGCATAGTTCCTGAACTTCTATTCCTGACCAAGGTGTCCTAGGAAGGGAGCAAAACAGGAGAGGAACATAAAACTAATGGGAATGAACTTTCTTTTGTCAAATAGTATAGAATGGAGCCAAGCAGGGGCAGGCTGATGAAAAAATGCAACCCGAGGGGTACAAGTTCAAGGACCCCTCTGCACATCTGCTCAAATGCCCCCAGGTTTCCCGTCACCTTTTCTGGCAAGAAAAGCCACAGCAGTGCGTTCACGAAAACTTACCACAAGAACAGAGGCCAAAAATTCAGAATTTTATGATCACTATTTTTTTTCTACCATGCAAACGTACCATTTTTGTGAACTTGTCTTCACAGGCCATCCTAATCTTCTCCGGGGTCAGTGGACTATTAAGGGTCAAGGGTCCATGCAGGCCTCTCTCCTGTCGTGCTGCACTCACTGCGTCATGGATAGCGAAAAACACGGAACACCCCAGGAACACCCCCGACTCTCCCAGACCCTTGAAAGGAAGCATGCCAACTAGATTATACCTCTCTCTCTCACTCTGTATATATGTGCATATTTATAGCATATGTGCATATATAAAAATATTACGTACTACATATGTACATTTTTTTTTTTTTGAGACAGAGTCTGGCTCTGTTGCCCAAGCATGACACTGGAGTGTAGTGACACAATCTCAGCTCACTGCAACCTCCGCCTCCCAGGTTTGAGCCATTCTCCTGCCTCAGCCTCCAAGTAGCTGGGATTATAGACATGCACCGCCACACCTGGCTATTTTTTTGTATTTTTAGCAGAGATGGGGTTTCACTAGGTTGGCCAGGCTGGTCTCGAACTCTTGGACTCAGGTGATCTGCCCGCCTTGGCCTCCCAAAGTGCTTGGATTATAGGCATGAGCCACTGCGCCCGGCCTATATAAATTTTTTGTTTCAAAAAGTAATTTAATCTTTTGATCCAATATTCCCATTCTTAGAATTCTAGCCTCAGGAAATGACCTACATACAGAAGATGATTATTAGGCATGAAGATGATTATTGCAAGGTGAAAAATTAGATAGAACCTGATGGCAATAGTAGTTGATGTTAAGTTCTAAGATTTGGAATACTAAAAATTTTTATCATAATGTTAGATTAGAATTAAAATGTTTAATAAGAATTTTTCTTCTGCAATCCTGGTAAAAATCCCAAACAGCCAAGAGAGGAATGTAGCCTTCCTGTCACCCAACAGGTATCATATAAACATGCATATTTACCCATAGAACATTACTTACCTTAGATGAATAAAGAGTATTTGAGTTTTGAGAAGGAGGCAACAAAGCAATGTGCAACTCCGTGGGCATGTCACAGATGGCAGGGATTTTATATTGGTCTGGACCACGAGTGTGCAGAATGCCCTGGGGAGAATAATTCAGTTCCTCTATTGTATAAAGTCCCATGCCTTGAATAAATGCACCTTCAATCTGAGGCAAGAACAAAAAAAGAATTTCCACGTATGAGAAAACACAGTCAACACTAAGTAGCATTTCAACTTCATGCTGTTTGCTTGAATTTTAAAATTACAGTTTAAGAGCATTTTCAGGGTGTCTTGGAGCATGTTGCTGAAAGTTTATCTAAAAGCCATTTTAAACATGTTTGTTCAGCATTAAGTTAAAAGAAGTTCAAAGTCAGCCGGGCGTGGTGGCTCACACCTGTAATCCCAGCACTTTGGGAGGCCGAGGCAGGCGGATCACCTGAGGTTGGGAGTTTGAGACCAGCCTGACTAACATAGAGAAATCCCGTCTCTACTAAAAATACAAAAAAAATTAGCTGGGTGTGATGGTGCATGCCTATAATTCCAGCTACTCGGGAGGCTGAGGCAGGAGAATCGCTTGAACCTGGGAGGCGGAGGTTGCGGTGAGCTGAGATTGCACCATTGCACTCCAGCCCGGGCAACAAGAGCAAAACTT
Organism: Homo sapiens; assembly: GCF_000001405.40. NCBI lineage: Eukaryota > Metazoa > Chordata > Mammalia > Primates > Hominidae > Homo > Homo sapiens. Next base: position 200,668,128 of record NC_000002.12, on the reverse strand, counting down.
AGTCTCAAAAAAAAAAAATAATAATAATAATAAATAAAAATCATGAAAAAAAGAAGGTCAAAGACAAAGGACTAGGGTTCTAATTTTGGTTTGGCCATTGAAATGAGTGCTCAGGAAGAGTCTTCACAGAGTCTGGAGCCCAAGCACCCTCTTCTTTTGTTTTTTGCCCATGAGGCAGACAAACCCCCCTGACTGATGTGTCCAGAGACCCCAGGGTGCTAGTGAATGCTACAATCCCATTGTCTCATCCCACCTCCTTGCCCACAAAGTGGCTAGCCTCACATCTCTGGACTCTGATTTTAGATCAGTCTTCCAAACACTTCAGTCCATCCCCACTAAGTGAAGTCTTGTCTCTAAAAGCCCTCCACCCACCCCTGGCAGTCCCCAGCCCTCTTCTGCTCTCTGACTCCCTCCTCATGGCCCACCCCTCCCACACAGGCCTTCCCCATAGTCATCTGCCCTGGCCTGATTAGCAGCCATGAACAGGCATGCTAAATTCCATGTGTTTCTGTAGGGTGACTTCCTCCACTCTTCTTTCACCCCTAATGTCGTTTCTCATTCTTTCCTTGACAACCTGGTTCACACCCACTTCCTCCCTAAGCCTCCTTTGACTTCTCCACACCACAGATTCTTCCCATTCGCCAATAATGCAATGTCATGATGGTGGGGGCGGGGGGTGGGGGGGAGGGGACACAAGATGGTGCCCTAAATCAGAGGTAATGAGCTGAATTGCCTCCAGGTTCGAGACACGCAAACCCAGTATATGAAGATTCCAGGTGGGTCCTGTGTCATTGGAGAGTGTGGGACTCTAAAGGTACAGCCCACCGACTTCACTCATGGAAATGAGGATCCAGTGTGGGCAAACTTTCTGTTTTCAAGAGAAACTAGATATTTATGACTTTCCAATCTTTTCAACTATTTCAAATTTAAATTTGAAAATGTCTGTGGGTGGAATCCAGCACTACAGGCTGCCTACCAACAGCTACTGCTCTGATGACTTGAGGCTTGTTATCCCAACACGACTTCAAACTCCTCGAAGCTGAAGCCCATCGTGTGGCTAAGGCTCAGCACTGGGCACTAACTCTATTTATGTCCCAGAAGTTTGGAGCTCATCAGTCACCTGTAGGCTTGGTCTTGCCTCATTCAAGCTCCCTAGTCACAGATTTTATGTTTCTTCAAAAACTACCTAAAACACCTTTATTTCCTTCCCCCTTTTAAACAGTAAAACATTTGAGCTCTGCAGTTGGTCTGAATAGAGTTGACTAAAGGGTTAGAAAAATAAGATGATGAATAAGACTGATGGAATGCTCTCCTGCAGACCCCACCGCACTTTTGGCTTTTACAAATAGAAAGTGAGACACATCAGTTACACGTACCTGGCCTATGTCAATGGCTGGATTTATACTGCAGCCAACATCCATGACAATGTCTGTTCTGATGTTCTAGTATTAAAAAAAAGTTAAAATGTTTATTTTAATGAGAATAACTTAGGGAGAAGAAGCTGAGGAACACTTCCTGCCAGGCTGACTTTGGTATAAAGCCTTTCTTTCAGCCATGTCATTTCGAAAGAAGCAACAAAGATTTTATTATAGGACAAAGTTTATTATGTAAAACTTTCAAAATTATACAAATACTCTTAGCCAGCTGAAGCACTGTCTTTTTTTCTTGGAAATAATAGGAGAAAAAAATATTTACTTCATTTTGATTCAAGCTGTATGATGCAACAGATTGAGTTTAATTCACTACAACAGATATAACATATGACACAACAAAAGAAAACATCTATGGCCCTCACGATCCTAGTTGCAAAGCTTAATGGCTAGCATACAACCAAACATCCAGGTACAACTGGCTGAGGAATGTTTACTGAACCACAGAGTTCAGGGTGCACCAACAAAAAAGTCTTCAAATTGTCATCTGCTGTTCTAGACTTTTCATTTTTGTAGCAGAGAAGAGAATAAAGTTGACACTACAACTTGCTACTGATAACCTACAAATGAGGAGAAGTACAGCAGGCCCAGCCAGAGTGTTAGTAACACCTTTGCTTTCCAGCAAGTCTGTACATTTTTTTTAATGTGATATAATGGTCTCTGCCATGACTAACAGATTGTTCTTATAATTACTAATTGAACAAAAGAAATCCAAGAGTTTCCTTATTTGATCTGGGACTTTCATGTAACATTTGAAAATTAGATAATGATCTGGAATGTTTGACAATAATAAAACTTCAGGAACTCACATTTCTTATTTAAACACACAGTAAAATGTAAAGTCCTCTTTGACATCAGTCAGCAAGACTGGCCTTCCAGGAGATAAGTGGCCTCAGCTGAAGGTTAGAGGAGGAGCTCTAAAGTCTTCAGTGTTAGTGAAGGTTGTGCTTTCAAAGCTGTGTGCTTAGGCTGGTGGGGCTGGCTTATGCCTGTAATCCCAGCACTTTGGGAGGCCGAGGGGGGCAGATCACTTGAGGCCAGGAGTTTGAGACCAGCTTGGCCAACATGGTGAAATGCCGTCTCTACTAAAAATACAAAAATTAGCCAGGGGTGATGGCACGTGCCTGTAGTCCCAGCTACTCAGGAGGCTGAGGCACGAGAATCACTTGAACCCAGGAGGCAGAGGCTGCAGTGAACTGAGATCATGCCACTGCACTCCAGCCTGGGCAACAGAGCAAGAATCCACCTCAAAACAGAAAAAAACAACCCACAAAGCTGTAGGCTTAGTGCTGTCTGTCGTGTCTTTTGTTAGGACTGGAGAGAGTGGATCTAGGTTGTGGTAGGCTGCCTAAAAGATGGCTCTGGATAATCCTCACCTCCTGGTATTCACATCCATATGTAGTCTCCTCCTATACTCTACCAGGCCAGCCTGTTTGACCAGTAGGCTATGGCAGAGGTGACAGTAGTCACTCTGAGATTAGGTTATAAAGCTGGGCTTCTGTCTCGGGTACTCTCTCGCTTGCACATGCTCTCTCTTTTTCTCTTGGGCTGGTCTCTCTGGAGGAAGCCAGTTGTCTTGTCCTGAGGACACTCAGGCAGCCTACAAAGAGGTATCCACATGACAAAGAATGGAGGCCTCTGGCCAACAGCCAGTGAGAAGCTGAGCCTCCTGTCAACAACGCTATGATGGAGGGAGATGGAACAGGATTCTCCTGTCCCCGTTGAGCCTTGAGATGACTGTTGCCCCAGCCACAGCTTGACAAGCCTCATGCAGAATCACCCAGATAAGCCACTCCCGGAGGCCAGCCCCTCAGAAGTGGTGTGAGCTAATGAGCATCCACTGTTTTCAGCACTAAGTTTGGGGGTAATTTGTTGTACAGAACAGGTAACTGATATTTAGATGTAGGTTCAAAGTGAGGAAAATTTTGCCGGAATAAGGGCAAGTCTATCAACAGGAGAATGGCTGAGAAACAGGCCTTTGGGGAGGGCCCCTGGTAGAATGTCACATTCTGGCCCTTTGCCTAGCAGTGACACTAACCTGAGCTGAGATTTAGCTTTTATGAAGGCATCTGATGAGGCTATATGACACATCCCCTAAGATCATTCAAATAAGTTATAGGAACATGCCTTAAAATTTCATACTAGGCTAATTATTACCTTGTTCTTGGATCTTAACAAGGACAATGCATATATAGGAATATAAGAAAATCCACATGACTAAGTTTTCACCAACTTTTGCTTTGAGGGAGAAGGGACTTAGAAATCAGTTATATGGGCAGGGCACAGTGGCTCAGGCCTATAATCCCAGCACTTTGGAAGGCCAAGGTGGGTGGATCACTTGAAGGCCAGGAGTTTGAGACCAGCCTGGGCAACATGGTGAAGCCATGTCTGTACTAAAAATACAAAAATTAGCTGGGTGTGGTGGCGCAGCCTGTAATCCCAGCTACTTGGGAGGCTGAGGCACAAGAATCACTTAAACCCAGGAGGCAGAGATTGCAGTAAGCCAAGATCAAGCCACTGTACTCCAGCCTGGGTGACAGAGTGAAATTCTGTCTCAAAAACAAACAAACAAACAAACAGAAATCAGTTCTATGCAAGAACCCGCTCCCTAGTAGTGTAGGGCTGCTAGTCTAACACAAAAACCATGCTCAAAGTGATCACTGTTTTGCCCTAGTGCGAGGTTACCCTATAGAGATCCAGTCTGAATTAGAACCAGACAGGTTAGATACTTGAAAAGGCAGGTTCAATAAAAGTGACCATAGTTTCAGAGATTAGGTTGACTATAGTTTTAAAAAATACATGCTGGAGACTTATTAAATGAAAATTTAAATCTGATCACAATCCAAGAACACAGGCATAGAGGATATTTGTAAATATCAAGAACTAGAGCTTGCTTCTAGGTACATTTTGGAAGAGATTATCACTAAACTGGTAGCTTGGTCACATGACAGTTGTTAGGGTATCACAGTCCCATTTAATGTATCAGTGATCATTTATTAGTATTGACAGTGACCAGTAAGTGGCTTCTTTTACTCCCGAAGGCTCTGGTACAAGAGGAGAAATTCTATGAGTCTTTGAAGCAACAGAGACAGAAAGAGGGGGAGAGAGAGAGAGAGAGAGAGAGAGTGTGTGTGTGTGTGTGTGTGTGTGTGTTTGTGTGTATGTGTGTGTATCTCTTCAGAGCATCCCTTGAAAGCATAAGGATGCTCTTAAACTATCTAAAAAGCAAGACCAAGCCAGCTCTGTGGCACAATGGATAGCACACTGGACTTCTAAAAGGCAAGACCTAGCTGAGTAAAAGATATAAAAAAGTGGCCACTACCTGCCCTGGGCTGGCTTGGTGCTTGTTAGCAGATTACAGATGTCTATGAAATCCTTCAAGAATGTCATATCTTGGCATTTCTCATAAAAAGTCAGAATTGCTGGTTGTGCCAATAGTCTACATGAAAGCCCCCTTTAGAGCATGTTTCTTTCTTCATGTAGTTTCTTTCCTGATTCCATTTAAAAGGGCCAGGGAAATAAAGACAGGCCACCAGTTGTTTTCCATGGCAGCAACCAGATCACCAAGGCAATTGTGGGGATTCTATTTTCTTCTGGTAATCCAGGGAAATCACCCTTAGGCCAAATGCACGATGCTGCCACTCACTAAGCTCTCCTCAGATAGATGGCATCTGTGGAATTTAGGTGCATCCTAAGTGCAACTTGAAGACCTTTCCAACCGGTACTGACCTTATGATCCCCCGTCAGGCAGTCTATTTCAACCTCGGAACAGGCAGCTCCATAAACAAAGTATTCGAAGGGCTGGCCTTCGCCTTTCTCCCAGTTCATGTCTGACTCATAACCTCTGGAAGAAACAGTGAGTGTTGTTAAGTGATCACGTCCCCTAATTGCAGACCATGATGACTAAACAGACCCATGAGGATTTATGCAAGCCACAGGAATATACCTGTACCTAATGTATGTGCCAGCACCTAATGTATGTGCGATAAATGTGTTGAATAAATAAGTATTTAGTTTTTTCTTTTAAAACTTGCTTTGTCTGATAAAAACATCTAACTACTCCTGACTGGTGCCTCCTTACTCCTGGAGGTTAGCTTCTTACTTCCTGAATGTCCATCTTACTGCTTTTGGCTAATATTGGATCATCAGATTTGGGGAACTCAACCTTCATTTTACACCAAACGCTATTTCAAAGGTGCATGCTTGCCTGCTTTGTCTATCTTTCTGGCTCCAGAATTTGCCCCTCTGTGTGAAGGATCAGGTCCCATGGCTCCCATTCTTTGTCTCTACTCTGGTCTCTCACCATCAAGCTCCATGGCCTGCTCTGTTCCTAACTAATCTTTAAGAACATCAAATAAATAATGGTAAAACAGAAGCATGGGTCAGCAGCTTGCAGAACTCTCTACCCTCTCTCCTCTGCTGCCCTGCAACCTGGAGGTGGCCATTAAAAATGCTTCCAATGCCTGTTCCTGACAGGCAGTCAGTGCCCAGGTCCCGCACCAATGGCAAAGTGATCAAACCAGGTAAGGCTCTACATCACCCTGCTCTCAGACAGCTTTCACTTTCCATTAAAATAATTTAATAAACTGTTTTCCAGATTCACTGAGTTCCTGTTGTTTCACATCTTAATGTAACATGGTTATGGTCCAATTTCTTTTTTGCCAATCCTGAAGGTGTAAAATGGTACCCATCTTATGGGTTTAATTTGCTTTCCCCTACCTTTGTTTCTTAAGAGATAGATCGTGTTTTCAACAAAAAGTCAACCACTGCCGAGTATTCCAAGTACTAACCACAGAGAGCCTTATAATACCACCCACTATGATTAGAATCATCAGTTAAGCTGAATTTTGTGTGCCTATTTTTCCTAACAGAAGTCTTTCTGGATACTAGCAGTTAAATGTTCTTTATAACCACAACCATGGATTAACTAGCAGTTAAATGTTCTTTATAACCATGGGTAAATAGAAGGTAGAAAGTCAACGTTTGCCAAAATTGCAAGGGAACTGAAACTCTTCCTCAAGATACCACTGTTCTTCTCCATAGCATGTGATCAGAGGGAGTATTTACCTGAAGTATCCAACAGCTGAAAGGTTAATGCTTTCATCAAAAGCAGTCTGTGCCTGTGAAGGAAGAGCATAGCATGATGCAACAAGGATGCCCAAAGAAAGAATCACTCAAGACTTCAATTTTAATTTTACCCTGTGTGTTAAATAAAACTATCAGCAATAGTAACCAGGAAGGACCCAGATTAATCCATTCCTTTTGGCTTTCTCCTCTGTGGTTCACGGCTTGTAGCTGTTTGTTCAGCACCTATGATTGTACTAAATGCCCGCTGTGGTATGATACAGGCTGGACTAAAGTCATCAACATATGTTCCACTTAGGAAGAAATTCACTCAGTCATCTGCAGAAAATTTTCAATTAAGATGGGACATTTTAGAAAACAATGCTTGGTTGGCTGCTTAATTTTAATATCAGGTTTCTGCTAGTCTATAGAGTAAGGGTTCATTTTATAATTCATATTTATGGGAACTGTCAATCCTTTCTGGACACATTTGTTTCAGGTGAGGGGAATAATTTTGCTAAATTGTACCATTTACACCAAAACTCTGCAGTACACAGAGCTGACTACTATGCACAAAAATCAGGGTCAGGTCCAAGTCCCTAAGTCTAGGAATGAAGGTCAGAAGCACATCAATCATTAGCGAAGAAAGTGGGCTGAATGGCTGCATCTCATGGTGGTGGAGTACTACTCTCCATGCTGCACCTCTCTCCAGCTTTCTCCAGCCACACTGACTCAGGCTTTCTGGGCTCAGGCAGCATGGGACAGAGGACAGAAACAAATATGCCCAGGAAGTATAGACAGACCCCATAAATATGAATTATAAAATGAGTCCTTACTCCATGGAATAGCAGAAACCATTTCTAAGTGGGATCCTCAAATGTTATTTCCCCCAGACCTGTATTTGTAAGGTTGCAAAAACTGACATTCTAGAATAGCCAGCGTGACACATGCTCCCAGCTTTTATGGATATTTGTTCCACAACATCTGGTAGTTGATAAACTATTACTTTGAAAAGTTTGTTAGCTGACTTTAGAATGTGTCTTCTTTTCCAACTAGATTATAAGCAGATCAAAGGAAGCAGTTGAGTATTTCCATTCCATTGAGTACCTATTACTGGATGAACATATACCCACTGGCTTGGTTTCCTATTTCTAAACGAGTGCTTATATGATTTTTACTTTTACAGAGTGGTTCTACTATTGTTTTTCTATTTTAGGAACAGCAGAACCCAAAGAAAGAGAAAAAACAGATGTACAGTTATTATCTAGACAACCCCTAGGCTACATAGGATGAAACATTAATTAATTCTGGATTAAAACAGGAGTTCTGGCAGAAGAACCATCTTTTTCTCTAACAGAAAATTTTCCCAGATACAAGAGTTCCTCCACCACACTGTGATAGGATTTCCACATGCTAAGAGCCAAAGGGCCTTTTATTTATCATTACACAATGGTGGTACCTTTGCAAATGCCCTTTCTACAGATTTCAATTAATGCACATTGCTCTTGCTCTCCTCCCACTCCTTTTTCTTCTAAAATAAAATACAGAGAACCATTGATTCTCACCCAGTCTTTCCAAGTTCCTTTAGGATTCTTGCTGATGATGGGTTCGAGGCGTTTTAGAAGAGTTTGACAGGCATCCTAGAGATTATTTTTAAATTAAAATTATGCTCCTAATTTCATGCAAACACCAAATTCAAAACAACATAATATGTACCATTCCATAGGCTTATCTAAGAGGGAACATGGAAAAATAAGACACCAACCCTGTATGAAGGTGATATGAAAGGTTTCATATGAGTGTGTGCACGTGTGTGTGTGTGTGTGTGTGTGTGTGTGTGTGTGTGTGAGAGAGAGAACTGGCCTTGTAAGCCATGCTAAAAAGTCAAGACTTAATAAAAAACCTCTTGGAAAACCACCAGCCATTGCTTTCAGACATGGCATGGCCACATTTATTTTGTGAGAAAATTCACTCCGGCAGCAGAAAGCTAGAGCAAAAGGCAATGAAGTTGTGGTGGAGAGACAGAAGTCCTGCATCGGCCCTGGGGAGAGGCGCGAGCCTGTCTTAAAGTGATACTAACATAATATGGAAGCAGAAAGACAGAGACATTTTTGAGTAGACTTGAAAGGACTTGCTGATTAGAAAAATGTCAGGAGTGAGGGAGAAAAAGAGGTGGCATTTCCAGCACAGGAGAACCACTGGGTGCTGTACCACTGACTGAGGGCAAGATGGGGAAGGAGATATGAGTTGGATTAACTCTCAGCATCTTTGGAGCTCCACCCACCCACGTATTTGGCCCTGAGGGAGTTAATGATTTGGACGCCACTGCAGTGACTGTTACCTTTACTGCCAAACCGTTGAGATCTGCCACCACAGAACCTCCAGAGATATTTGCATTAGGGACAGTTTCTGTGCTTGTTCCACGCAGGTGGACATTCGACATTGGCATTCTTAATTCACGGCTGACCACCTGAATTTTAAGAGAGAGTTTCCTTTTAAACACTTTGATTAGTCACAGACCTGTGCACATGCCCACGTGGTAACACATGTGTGATACCCTCATACCCATGACAGGGACAAGGGAGCAGAACCACAAATTCCTCCAGCCATGAAAAGTTTCTTGTTTCTAAAAATCCTATAGCTAGTCTGGACCCCAAGTCCTGAACACACTTTCTTTTTCTTTGACTTTCTGGTGATAGTGTCAGAAAGAGGAGGTGAGGCCCCAGGCCAAGGCAGGAAGAAATGCTTCATTCTTGTTTTTATAATCATGATATTGACATCTTTGAGGCTTCTCCTACGACCACACTCTGCAAAATTCTAGCAGAACCTTATCAATGATAGGAGATGTCTATCTCCTATCCACATTTCTGGAGTTGCCCCAGGGAAAGAGTGCTTCCTATGAGAAAGGACGATGGCCTTGGAAAAGCAACGGCATGAACATGTGGGTCACAGGAGATGGCGCCAGTGCCATGTGCCAACACAAGGACTTAGCTGGCTGCTTTATTCTTTATTTTTAGCGCTAGAGAGCAAAATCATATTGCTAACTTTAGTTGATCCCAAACTTGCCTCTCTCCTGCTAGCAGCATGGCTTGAAAGTGCTTGCCCACAGCTTCTACAAGGACACAGGCATACAGAGCCCTTCCATGAGGTCTGGCTCTCAGATCATCCACACAGAGTGCAATAGGCTTAGAATATCAAAGTCTCTGGTGATCCAATAAGGAAAACACTGAAATCTTACCCTCCAATGGGGAAAGTCAATTCTCAAGTGACTGAGAGAAAATATGTATTTAACATCTTTATACTCAGAAAAATGTAAATGAAAGCAATAATGAGATACTTTCATTCACTTATCAAATTATCTACAAATTTTCAACAATCCATAACATTCACTGTTGGTTAGGGGTGTCATGAGAGGGATACTTTCTGGAAAACAATTTGATAATGTGTGTCAAACAATTTAAAATGGTCACACCTGTGACCCAGTAATTCTATTCCCAGAAGTCTATTTTAAGAAACAATCAATGATTTGATCACAGGTTAGTGTACAAAAATATTCACTGAAGTATTCAAACAACTGGGGGATGGTTAAATAAATCATATATGTATCCACATGCAGCCACATACAATTCATGATTGTAAAGACTGCTTAATGACAGGAGAAAGTGTTCACGCTATATAAAGTGGGTGGAAAAACAGAATACAAAATTAAACAAAAGCATGTTGGTGACTTTTTTGCAAAAGCAAAAAAGACAAGATGTAAAGACTCCCAAATAATGATTATTCTATGTGGTGAAACTGTGTAGGGTCTTTGTTTTTTAAAATGTTCTGCTGCTTCCAAATATTTTATAATCTATAATGTTACTATTATGATTAACAAAAGAGAAACAGTAGCTTAAAATTAATCTAAAATAAGACAGCCAAAAGCAAACAGATAAAGTTTGACTGTAAATATCAAAGGTGATTTATATTAGCAATTGTTCGGAGCCTGTAATACAAAAAGGGCAAGAAATAATCCAAATACATCAGAATTTACACATTATCTTATTGCCCAAGAAAAACTCAGAAAGGACAACTCAACTGTCACTATATCCAAAGGAAAGCAGCAAATAAGCATATAATTTTCTTTAGCAATAAAACAACTCGAGATTCTTCTGCCACATTCTTTTAGGGGTTTAGTTGCAAAATTGGTTTGTTTACCCAGTTTCTGCTAATCATTTAACAGAGTAAACTGTCAAAGCTCAAATCTCCTATCCTTTGTTTTTTATTTATTTTTACTTTTTGAGACAGGGTCTTGCTCTGCCACCGAGGCTGGAGTACATTGGTGCAATTGGCTCACTGAGGCTTCGACCTCCCAGGCTCAAGCAATCCTCCCACCTCAGCCTCCCAAGTAGGTGGGAAAACAGGCTCATGCCACCATGCCCTGCTAATTAAAAAAAAAAAAAAATATATATATATATATATATATATATTTTTGGTAGAGATGGAATCTCCCTATGTTCCCTGGGCTGGTCTCGAACTCCTTCACTTAAGAAATCCTCTCACCCCAGCCTCCCAAAATGCTGGGATTACAGGCATGAGCCACCTCACCCAGCTTCCTATCCTGTATTTTGTAACAGAAAATATCCATTCATAGTTTTTCTCTCATGAACAGATCTATAAGCACACACCCAACTCAATCGAGTTATTTGCATTCTTACCTGAATCATTTTAGTGTGGACCCCCTGCCCCATTTCAATTCCACCGTGAGTGACCAGCACAGAGCCATCAAGATAAATGTGAACCAAGGCAGCAGCCTGAGCAGAAAAGACGAAAACTGTTTCTGTGATCTTTTTGATATTATCACATATCGTGTCAATTAAAACATTTTCCTTGGAAATATTTCCCTCCAAGAATCCCGCACCCCCCAGGGTGGAGCAACATTTTAGGTTTCTTTTTGGGGTGGGGGAAACCAGGGCGGGGACTCTATTTTAAAATACAAAGTAAAGTATAGACAGGTAGAGGGAGAGGGTGAATAATTGTGTGCACACATATTCTCATAGTTGTAGGCATGTCCCAGAAAAATGAAAATGGAAATCCATTTTCTTATAATCCCATATAAGATGAGATAGATAGACACTAAAATTGTTTTGCTGCAAAATGACTAAGCTCACCCTAAATCATCTTGGCACAGAACTACAGAGCTTTGGAGTTAGACAAGAACTTGGAAGTAATCTTATCTAACTGTATAGCTCCCCACAAGGATCCAGAAGGAACCAGACTGCTAACAGCATTAAAGACTCTTATAATCAGAAACATCCAGTCTCTAAGCTAAACATGTTTTTATAATTAACAAGAATGTGCCTTCTTGCGTATCTGCCTGTGCTAAACTAGAATATGGGGATATCCCAGAAAATCACAGCAGGAAAGAAGGATGGCTTCTTCCCTTTGGCTCTGCAATGTAAGAGCAACATCAGCAGCAATGGTCCTCCTAGAACAGATATCTCTCAGTGGTTCCACTGTGGTCCGGGAAAGCCTGCAAGGCAACCTTTACAGTTTTGCAGCAGGGAAGTGCTGACCGCATGGGTGTGGTCTGGGTCAGCTAGGTTTCTTCACATCTAATTTTTTAGGCAGAGTGACATAATAATCTAGGATTTGTAATGTCAAGGTCTTCAGAAAATTCTGGTAATAAGCCAATGTCAACTTAATAAACCAAAAATTTTCCTAAGCCTTAGTTGCTCACTTAGATTATTTGTAAGCAACCCTGGTCATTAAGTGAAGGTTGATGGAACTGCATGTTAATCACCAGATAAACCCAAGAAAAAGACTGCATTTCCAGATCAATTCTCTGCCCATCAGAAGGGCCTTCCAAGCTGCCTGGGGACCGTGGACCATGCTTGGAGAACTGTCTCTTTATTTGTATCCAAAGGTTCACATTACCCCCGTGAATGACAACCAGAAACCTCTATCATTCCAAATAAGGCAAGTTTGACAGTGAAAATGCACTCCATTTATTTGGTCGGCAGGTGTAAACTAGGGATGTACTGGGCAAATGGGGACATCAGGATACCCTTTCTCTGAGGACCAGGCACATATGTCCACAGTCCAAAGGAGAAACTTAGACTCTTGAGGAAGGCATAGTAGCCATGATAATGACACCCAAGGACCTTGGGAAGATGTAATAGAGTGTTTTTTACTGTTTATTGACTCATGACTCCTGGAAACACCATCTTTTGCTCCTGGACATTCATCCTCAAAATAATAAAGGTAAGGAAGAGTTTTCCTCTACAGAGAGCCCAGGGCTGGCTGCCTGGGGGCCATGCATCAGATGTCAGGTGATGCCAGCTGCAACAATAGCTCCTGGGCCCCATTCCATGGCACTTCATTGTGCTTTGCTAGAATATGAGCCCCCTGAAAGGAAGGATCACGTCCTAAGGAATCTCTCGGAATGCAACATAGCAACACACATGCGGTAGGTGCTCAGTAAATGTTTGGTAAGTAAATTTGCAGTAGCATAGCCATGCAATCTGTTTCTTAATCTTGTAGACTCCATATTTGGCCTCCTTGGCTCGCAAAGTGTGCATGTAATTCATAGTTGGACTTGGCCCATGTGATTAAGCTACAATTATAGTGGATTATACTTTTCCAACATTGTGTGACCCTGCTGGTTATAGCATTCAGCCTGTATGTCCAAGACAGCATGTCTATCAGATATCACTCAGCCATTTGTTCCATGTGGTGCTGCAATCTCCTTGGGCCATTTAAAATGTCAAATTTGGTTTAGTTAAGTGGCACCACTGTACAGCTCATTGTTAGTGCCACAAAAGATAATTCTGCAAAGCTTCATCTATAAAACAAGCACAACTGGAGAGCTGGAGTAGATGGTCCTCCAACATAAGTAGAGGACCTAGTCGGGGAAATTTAAATCTTCAAACAAATACTACTGGTATCGATGAGAAGTTAGCTTCAAACCCGCAGATTCCCCAAATGTTTCAGCCATTCAGACATTTGAGTTCCTACTCTGTGCCAAGTGCCATAGTAAGGCATTGGACACACAGAGGTTGGTTAGGTCCTGTCTGTGCCATTCAGTGTTCAGACTGCAGGAAGTAAGTACACTGATATTGCAGGTTCAGCTCCAAACCACAGCAATAAAGCAAATCACACAATTTTCGTTGTTTCCCAGTGCATACAAGTGTTTATGCTACACTGTACTCTATTAAGTGTACACTAGCATTATGTCTAAAAAGATTGTACATATTTTAGTTTTAAAATACTTTGTTAAAAAATGCTAACAACCATCTGAGCCTTCAGAGAGTCAGAATCTTTTTGCTGGTGGAGGGTCTTTTCTCAATGTTGATGGCTGCTGACTAACCAGGGTGGTGGTTGCTGACGATTGAGGAGGTAGTTGTAACAATTTCTTTTCTGTTTTTTTTTTTTTTTTTTTTTTTTTTTGAGACAGGGTCTCTTCTGTCACCCAGGCTGGAGTGCAGTGCCTTCCTTACTAAGCTTAATCATTTCTAGCATTTGATTTCAAGTGAGACTTGTGACTCTTTTTTTCACTTGAACACTTAGAGGCCACTGCAGGGTTATTAAATGACCTAATTTCAATATCATTGTGTCTCAGGGAATAGGGAGGCCTGAGGAGAGGGAGAGAAATGGGGGAAGAATGCTCCTCTATTTGTGGAGCAGTCAGAACACACAAAACATTTATTAAGTTTGCTGTCTTATATGGATGTGGTTCATGGTGCTCCAAAACAATTACAACAGTAAAATCAAAGATAACTGATCACAGATCACCATAATTATGAAAAAGGTTGAAACACTGTGAGAATTACCAAAAGGTGACAAAGAGTGAGCACATACTGTTGGAAAAATGGCACCAATAGACTTGCTTGAAGCAAGGTTGCCACAAACTTTTAATTTGTAAAAAATGCAGCATCTAGGAAGTGCAATAAAGCAGAGTGCAGTAAAACAAGGTATGCCTGCATAACACAGGTGGGGCACGTTTGACCCCCTCAGCTGCTGGGCAGGGACTGCCTCTGCTCAGGGAGGCCCTGTGGGACGATGAAGGCGGTGCTGAAGTTGAATCCTTGTTCTGCCATTTATTGGCTGGATGTCCTTGGGCAACAGAGAGAATCCCTATGAGCTTCAGTTTCCCCTTCTGTGAAATAGAGAGATTCATACCTACCTGATAGAGATGAGATAGAGAATAATCAAGTGGAGATTACAAATTCCCCAGCCCAGGTCCTTCCATGGAGAAGGCACTCAAATATCATGTCTAGTTTCCTCCTCTATTTAGTTTGTTTCAGAATGGAGGCTTTTAGCATGTGCCCTCCACGGAGTTTGGTCTCAAACTCCTTGATTCAGCCCTAAGTAAATATTTTCAGCACGTAAGTTGGTCAGTTTCCCAGGTGGCCTTCAAGAATGAATTTGTACTGCTGGCTGTTGCCTAGTTTGTTCTCAGCTGAGCTGAATCCCACTTCAGTTCCTATCAAAAGGTGTTTTGGGGAGACCACGTGGTGTAACTAGAAAACCCAGCTTTCAGAGCCACTCAGGCCTGAGTTCTAGCCCCAGCCTTACCTCTACCAGCTGCAGGACCTTGAGCCAGTTATTTAAACCTTCTAAGCCTAGATTTTTTTTATACCTAAAATGAGGATACAAATCTTCTAGGTTGTCCCAAGATTAAATGAAATACCTAAAAGTACTTACAACATCGTAGTGCTCAGTAATTGTCACTATTATTATTTTTTCTTTTTTGTAGAGATGGGGCCTCACTATGTTGCTCAGGCTGGTTTCAAACTTCTGGCCTCAAGCAATTCTCCTGTCTTGGCCTCCCAAAGTGTTGGGATTACAGGCGTGAGCCACTGCACCTCACCATATTTTTCAAATCTACTTTTTGAGAAAATTCTGATGAGGAAAATGGGTGAGACCTGGTCTATGGTGGAGGCCAGATATAAAGTAATGGCAGCCATCAAATAGAGGCAGTGCGCCATGTTTACCCACGGCCAAACGTGAGAGGATTTCCAGAGGATCCATGAACAATGGAGGCTGTTTTTCCTGATGATCCTGACTAGTCTGCACAAGGACAGACAGCCCCAGCTGACCTCTTTGGTAGCTGCCAGCTAATCAGTTTACCCCAAAATTCTATACCAAGACTCAATGCTTACAAACCCTTTTCCCAGTGGTAGTTTCTTTCTCTCTTCTTTTGTAATAACCTCGTTTTTGCTTTTATTTCTCAACCACAGTATCTTGACTGTCTCCCACATTTGAGTAAACTGCATGCAGATGACTACATGGCTCTGTGTTATTTTTTGCCATCACAAACAGGCAAGGAATGAGAAGACTGCAATAAGATCATCATTTGTTATAACACTTCTCTGACCTACCACCTGCCTACAATCAAAGCTGCATGCAAATGTTCTCAGGATGGCACCAAAGCTCAACTAGGACAGTTAGGTGAATGGATGGATATGGGATGGAGGAAAGGACCTTCCTACCCACTTTTCCTGGCCTCTTCTGATCCCTTAACACACAACATCCACACTAACGCCCCTCTCGAAGCTCCCCTACCCTGCCATTTGTTCCTATTTTGTGATCGCTCAGCACAGCTGCCATGCCTTCTTCATGACTCCAACCAAGGAGTGAATTCTGCAAAGAGGAGTGACAATTGTGAGGGTCCTCCCAGCTTATCTGTATGTACATGGATGTGTGTATGTAATAAAATAGATAATAGGGGTTCCCGGCTGC
The DNA here is from genome assembly GCF_000001405.40 of Homo sapiens. Taxonomy (NCBI): domain Eukaryota; kingdom Metazoa; phylum Chordata; class Mammalia; order Primates; family Hominidae; genus Homo; species Homo sapiens. Next base: position 200,651,911 of record NC_000002.12, on the reverse strand, counting down.
CATACAATGAGCTAGAATGTTGCAGTCCTTCACCAGCCGTTAGGGGTAAGTTTTATTCATTCTTAAGAATGAATGAAGTCAAGAATGAAGAGGTGGAAACTGCAACCAAGCAAGGGGATTTCTTTAATCAATGAAAGAAATTAAACTGCAAGAGCAGATTCCCAGTCCCCCCTTTCACAGTTTTAAAAGGTACAAGGTGAATAAACTTCAAAAATTCTATTTAAAAAGTGATTTATTTTTCTGAATTTAATTTATTCCAACCCACCCAGAAGGAGTGGAGCACCCAAAACCTTGCAGCTCCTCATTTCTATTTCATGGTCCAGCGACACCGAATTGCGGACACTGGAAGAGGAGTCTTGGAGGTCATCAGTCCCACCCTCCTGCTTTCCACATGAGCAGTCTGAGCCCAGAGCAAATGGACTCAGCTGCCATTTGCCAACTCCTGTTGCCAGGGCCAGGAGTAAACCTCAGTCTCCCAATTTCCAGCAAGAATGTTTTTGACCAACCATGGGCATGTGAGCAGAGGAGCTCTGGTCTCCTCTGGAGTAAAGCTAGCTTAATTACTTTGACTTTGGTGGCTTTTGTGAAATTTAACAATTGGGCATTGCAACCATATGGCTAATATGACTTAAGGAGAAGTTTCCTCAACACCTCTTGCTTTGTCAGGGCTGCTTCCAGGCAGCATCCTCATGTGCATTTGGAGAACTCACCTGACCAGCAGCACGTGAGCCAAGGCCAACAGGAAACTTCAGGGGGACCATGGCCAGTCCTTTCTTCTTCCAATAATTCTCTGCATTGAACTTTTCCACAGCAACTTTCCTCAAGGAGTAGGAAGACATGGCCATACATTCTCTCCAACACTGGATTAGGTTCTTGGCATTGATCTCTTGTTTGTAGGGTGTTTGATCAATTTCCTTGTACATGTTTATGATTCGCACCTATGAAAGAAAAGGAGATTAAAGCTGGGAGGGGAAACCCAGCAGACATAGGCTCATCCATTCACCATCCTCCTGGTCAAATTCTGCCCATCCTGTAAGGTCCAAGCCAAGTTCTACTGAGTCCTTGTGGAAGCCTTTCCTAATGCACAACATTGTCCTCTTCCTCTACTCAGAGCTTCTATCAAACGTGCTAGCAATTACTTATGTGCTTTCTATGCTACTCTTGTGCAACTTTAAAGGATGGAACCTTTACCTTATGTTCCAATATAACTCAACACAGTCCATGTACACTGTAGACTCTTAATTCTAGTTGCATTTGGGTATCTGCTGAAAGATCATCTAGGCCACATGATTTGGATTACTCCCATGCTATGTTGCAAGATAAGACTACTCACCTCCAAAACAGGCAAGCATGAAAGTTCGTTTAAATATAACCAATATCTAGGATGAAGAACAAATTAAAAGATTCTATCCCAGGATGTCTGAAGCACTGAGTAGAATTCTTCCTGTATTCCCAGAATTGGTGACTAAGACCCTAAGCTGAGAATAAAAGGTGCCAAGTATGTCACATTCTCAGCTGAGAAAACTCATAGCACTTGTGGCCAGCCCCCTCCCTAAGCTGACAGAGCCATCACAGACACACTCTCCCCACCCTCCGAAGCAAATTATCAGATCATTGTAAGAGAAACACTGGAAATTAGTAAGCCATCTCATTTGGGGGAAAGTGGTGTTTTTAAGAGGCTGTTCCCTGCTCTAACTTCCCTGGGAATGAAGGGAAGGATGTAATTCTCCTCCTTAGTGCTACCAAATGTGGCAGGACATCAGGAGAGAGTTTAGTGGGATGGCCAGGAAGGGAGGGGCAAGGCCTCCCACACGTTCAAGAGAAGCAAAGAAAGTGGCTACTGTTGGGTGAAAGCTGGTAGATGAATTGGGACCTGGGGCCTTCTAAAGACTGCTGGGGCATGAGCAGAGAGGTGTGGTCACCAGTGGAATGCTGTGCCAGCTGCCCGCTGAAGGTCCAAGGACTGCCAATTTCTGGAAGAGCTGGCAGAAATGGAGCCATAGACAATGTACTTGAAAAGTGACATCTGTCCAAAGAGAGGACTGTGAGCTTGCCGGGAGAAGTCACACAGGGAGAAACTGACTGTTTTCCTGGTCCTTCTTCTCTTCCTCCTTGCACCAGCATCACAGCAGAAGGCACAGGGGAGGAGAAGGGGCTGAGAGAGAGCTCACCCCATCTCCCCACACTAATTCCATTCCAGGATCTGGGAGGAGGAGCCAGGAAGGGGAAGGTCGTTGTCAATAAACAAAGTTGGGGCTGAGACTGAAAGAACCAAAAGGAGAAATTGGATCATCATGGCGGACGGGAGGCAGGACTAGATTGCAGCTCTGGACAGAGCAGCTTGTGGAAGTTCGCCGAATTTTAGCTCTAGATCGACTGCAAGAACAAAGCAATAATCCTGAGAGGACCCACAAACCCTCTGAAGGAAGTGGACTACTCCTGCAGGACCCAGGAGATACCCCAAATACCGTGAGTGCCCCAGCTGTGAGGGGGAAGGGAGATCCTCCTCTCCCAGACACACACCCCCACGGGAGAAGCTGAAATTCTGTTTGCAGGAGAAGATTCCGACTTTACCTGAAGCTGAGACAATTTAGAGAGCCAAGCAAAATGCAGGGGTAGAGGAAGCAGCAGAAAGGCCCTAGGAGCTTGCTGTGTCCCCTAGCAGGCCAGGCCATTCCTGCCTAACAACACAGGGATCCATGGTGGGGGCGGAGGGGGCGGGGGACCAGAGAAGTAGGGGGTGAAACTCCACAGGGAGAAAGAAATCTCTAGCTGAACTTTGTAACAATTTGAATGGGGCAAGAAGCCTCCTGGTCAGAGCTCAGTGGGAGGGCACAAATCTGGTGTGCAGACTCCACAGGCAGGGGGAGAAACCAAGCCCTTTTCTCTCTCAGCTAGGGGTGCAGCACAGGGCAAGTTTTCAAGCCCATCACACTGTCTGCCTGCAAACAAACTCAGGGCTGTTGGGGGGTACACATTGGGAGTGAGACCAACCCTTCTGCTTGTATGGGAGCTGGGTGAGGCCTGTGACTGCTGGCTTTCCCCTACTTCCCTAACAACCTGCATGACTCAGCAGAGGCAGCCATAATCCTCCTAGGTACACAACTCCAGTGACCTGGGAATCTCACACCCATCCCCCACAGCAGCCACAGCAAGACCCACCCAAGGACAGTCTGAGCTCAGACATGCCTAGCCCTGCCCCCACCTGATGGTCCTTCCCTATTCACTCTGGTAGTGGAAGACAAAGGACATTTAATCTTGGGAGTTCTAGGGCCCTGCCCACCGCCAATCCCTCTCCACATTACTACAGCTGATGCTTTCTGGAAAGTGCCACCTCCTGGTAGGAGGCCAACCAGCACAAAAATAGAGCATAAACCACCAAAGCTAAGGACCCTCATGGAGTCCACTGCACCCTCCATCACCTCCACCGGAACAGGCACTGGTATCCATAGCTGAGAGACCCATAGACGGTTCACATCACAGGACTCTGTGCAGACAACCCTCAGTACCAGCCGGGAGCTGGGTAGACTTGCTGGGTGGCTAGACCCAGAAGAAAGACAACAATCACTGCAGTTCAGCTCACAGGAAGCCACATCCATAGGGAAAGGGGGAGAGTACTACATCAAGGGAACATTCCATGGGACAAAAGAAACTGAACAACAGCCTTCAGCCCCAAACTTTCCTTCTGACAGAGCCTACCCAAATGAGACGGAACCAGAAAAGCAACCCTGGTAACATGACAAAACAAGGCTCTTCAACACCCCCAAAAAATCACACTAGTTCACCAGCAATGGATCCAAACCAAGAAGAAATCTCTGATTTACCTGAAAAAGAATTCAGGAGGTTAGTTATTAAACTAATCAGGGAGGAACAAGAGAAAGGCAAAGCCCAATTCAAAGAAATTTTAAAAAAGTTACAAGAAGTTAGGGAGAAATATTCAAGGAAATGGATAGCTTAAAGAAAAAAACAATAAAAAAATTCAGGAAACTTTGGATACACTTTTAGAAATGCAAAATGCTCTGGAAAGTCTCAGTAGTAGAATTAAACAAGTAGAAGAAAGAAATTCAGAGCTCGAAGACAAGGTCTTTGAATTAACCCAATCCAACAAAGACAAGGAGAAAAGAATAGAAAATAGGAACAAAATCTCCAAGAAGTCTGGGATTATGTTAAACAACCAAACTTAAGAATAATCAGTGTTGCTGAGGAAGAAGATAATTCTAAAAGCTTGGAAAACATATTCAGGGGGATAATCAAGGAAAACTTCCCCAGCCTTGCTAGAGACCTAGACATCAAATACAAGAAGCACAAAGAACACCTGGAAAATTCATTGCAAAAAGATCTTCACGTAGGCACATTGTCATCAGGTTATCCAAAGTTAAGATGAAGGAAAGAATCTTAAGAGCTGTGAGACAGAAGCACCAGGTAACTTATAAAGGAAAACTTACATGATTAACAGCAGATTTCTCAGCAGAAACCCTACAAGCTAGAAAGGATTGTTCCCTATCTTCAGGCTCCTCAAACAAAACAATTATCAGCCAAGAATTTTGTATCCAGTGAAACTAAGCATCACATATGAAGGAAAGATACAGTTGCTTTCAGATAAACAAATGCTGAGAGAATTCACCATTACCAAGCCACCACTACAAGAACTGCTAAAAGCAGCTCTAAATCTTGAAACAAATCCTGGAAACACATCAAAACAGAACTTCTTTAAAGCATAAGTCACATAGGACCTATAAAACATAAATACATGTTAAAAAGCAAAAACAAAAAAATAAAAAACAAAGTACACAGGCAACAAAAAGCATGGCAAATGCAATGGTACCTCACATTTCAATACTAACATTGAATATAAATGGTCTAAATTCTCCACTTAAAAGATACAGAACCACAGAATAGATAAGAACTCACCAACCAACTATCTGTTCCCTTCAGAAGACTCACCTAACACATAAGGACTCATATAAACTTAAAGTAAAGAAGTGGAAAAAGGCAATTCGTGCACATGGACACCAAAAGCGAGCAGGAGTAGCTATTCTGTCTGATATAAATCAGACAAAACCAATTTTAAAGCAACAGAGTTAAAAGAGACAAAGAGGTGCATTATATAATGGTAAAAGGCCTTGTACAACTGGAAAATATCACAATCTTAAACATATACACACCTAACACTGGAGCTCCCAAATTTATAAAACAATTACTAATAGACCTAAGAAATGAGATAGACAGCAACACAATAGTAGGGAACTTCAGTACTCCACTGACAGGACTAGATAGGTCATCAAGACAGAAAGTCAACAAAGAAACAATGGATTTAAACTATACCTTGGAACAAATGGACTAAACAGATATATACAGAACATTTTATCTAACAACTGCAAAATACACATTCTATTCAACGGCACATGGAACTTTCTCCAAGATAGATCATATGATAGGCCATAAAACAAGCTCAATACATTTAAGAAAATTGAAATTATATCAAGCACTCTCTCAGACCACAGTGGAATAAAACTGGAAATCAGTTCCAAAAGGAACCTTCAGAACCATGCAAATACATGGAAATTAAATAACCTGCTCCTGAATGAGCATTGGGTCAAAAATGAAATCAAATGGAAATTAAAATATTCTTTGAACTGAATGACAATAATGACACAACCTGTCAAAATCTCTGGGATACAGCAAACGCGGTGCTAAGAGGAAAGTTCATAGCCCTAAGTGCCTACATCAAAAAGACTGACAGTGCACAGACTGACATTCTAAGGTCACACCTCAAGGAACTAAAGAAATAAGAGCAAACCAAACCCAAACCTAGCAGAAGAAAGGAAATTACCAAGATCAGAGCAGAACTAAATGAAACTGGAAAAAAAGTACAAAAGATAAATGAAACAAAAAGCTGGTTCTTTGAAAAGATAAATAAAATTGATAGACCGTTAGGAAGATTAAGAAAAGAAGAGTAAAAATCCAAATAACCTCACTAAGAAACGAAACAGGAGATATTACAACTGACAACACTGAAATACAAAAGATCATTCACAGCTACTATGAGCAACTTTGTGCACATAAACTAGAAAACCTAGAAGAGATGGATAAATTCCTGGAAAAATACACCCTCCCAGATTAAATCAGGAAGAATTAGATACCCTTAACAGACCAATAACAAGAGCGAGATTGAAATGGTAATTTAAAAATTACCAACAATAAAAAGTCCAGGACCAGAAGGATTCACAGCAGAATTCCACCAGACATTCAAAGAAGAATTGGTACCAATCCTTTTGATACTATTCCACAAGATAGAGAAAGAAGGAACCTTAAGTAAATTCATTTAATGAAGCCAGCATCACCCTAATAACAAAACCAGGAAAGGACATAACCAAAAAAGAAAACTACAGACCAATATCCTTGATGAACATTGATGCTAAAATCTTTAACAAAATACTAGCTAACCAACTCCAACAACATATGAAAAACATAATCCACCATTATCAAGAGGGATTCATACCAGGGATACAGGGATGGTTTAACACACACAAGTCAATAAATTTGATACACTACATAAACAGAGTTAAAAACAAATATCACATGATCATCTCAATGCAGAAAAAGCATTTGACAAAATCCAGCATCTCTTTATGATTAAAACTCTCAGCAAAATCAGCATACAAAGGACATACCTTAATGTAATAAAAGCCATCTATGACAAACACACAGCCAACATAATACTGAATGGGGAAAAGTTAAAGACATTCAACATAATATTGAATGGGAAAAAGTTGAAGGCATTCAACGGGAACAAGACAAGGAGGCCCACTCTCACCACTCTTCTTCAATATGGTACTGGAAATCCTAGCTAGAGCAATCAGACAACAGAAAGAAATAAAGGGCATCCAAATCGGTAAAGAGAAGTCAAACCGTCACTGTTTGCTGACGATATAATCATTTACCTTGAAAACCCTAAGGACTCCTTCACAAAGCTCCTAGAACTGATAAAAGAATTCAGCAAAGTTTCCGGATACAAGACTAATGTACACAAATCAGTAGTTCTTCTATACACCAATGGCGACCAAGCAGAGAATCAAATCAAGAACTCAACCCCTTTTACAATAGTTGCAAATAATAATGATAATAATAAAACACTTAGGAATATACCTAATCAAGGAGTTGAAAGACCTCTACAAGGAAAACTACAAAACACTGGATGACACAAACAAATGGAAACACATCCCATGCTCATGGATGGGTAGAATCAACATTGTGAAAATGGCTATACTGCCAAAAGCAATCTACAAATTCAGTGCAATCCCCATCAAAATACCACCATTGTTCTTCACAGAATTAGAAAAAACAATTCTAAAGTTCACATGATACCAAAAAAGAGCCCGCATAGCCAAAGCAAGAGTAAGCAAAGAGAACAAATCTGGAGGCATCACACTACCTGATTTCAAACTATACTATAAGGCCATAGTCAACAAAATGGTGTAGTAGTGTATAAAAATAGGCACATAGAAACCAGTGGAACAGAATAGAGAACCCAAATACTTACACCCAACTGATCTTTGACAAAGCGAACAAAAACGTAAAGTGGGGAAAGGACATCCTTTTCAACAAATGGTGCTAGGATGGCTAGCCACATGTAATGAGAATGAAACTGGATCCTCATCTCTGACCTTATACAAAAATTAACTCAAGATGGATTAAGGACTTAAACCTAAGACCTGAAACTATTAAAATTCTAGAAGATAACATTGGAAAATCCCTTCTAGATATTGGCTTAGGCAAGGATTTCATGACCAAGAACTCAAAAGCAAATGCGATAAAAACAAAGATAAATAGCTGGGAGCTAATTAAACTAAAGAGCTTTTGCATGGCAAAAGGAACAGTCAGCCAGCAGAGTAAACAGACATCCCACAGAGTGGGAGAAAATCCTCACAATCTATACATCTGACAAAGGACTAATATCCATAACCTACAAGAAACTCAAACAAATCAGTAAGAAAAAAACAAACGACCCCATCAAAAAGTGGGCTAAGGACATGAATAGACAATTCACAAAACAAGATATAGAAATGGCCAACAAAAATATGAAAAAATGTTCAACATCACTAATGATCAGGGAAATGCAAACTGAAACCACAATGCTACACCACCTTACTCTTGCAAGAATGGCCATAATCAAACAATCAAAAAACAGTACATGTTGGCGTGGATGTGGTGAACAGGGAACACATCTACACTGCTGGTGGGAATGTAAACTAGTACAGCCACTATGGAAGACAGTGTGGAGATTCCTTAAAGAACTAAAAGTAGAAGTACCATTTGACCCAGCAATCCCACTACTGGGTGTCTACCCAGAGGAAAACAAGTTGTTATTCGAAAAAGATACTTGCACCTGCATGTTTATAGTAGCACAATTCACAATAACAAAATCTTGGAACCAACCCAAATGCCCACCAATCAATGAGTGGATAAAGAAACTGTGGTGTGTGTATGTATGTATGTATATATATATATATGTGTGTGTGTGTATATATATATACACATATATATGTGTGCGTGTGTATATGTATATACATACACCCATCGGGTGATGGGTGCACCAAAATCTCACAATTCACCACTAAAGAACTTACTCATGTAACCAAATACTACCTGTACCCCAATAACTTATGGAAATAAATAAATAAAAATAAAAACCAACCTATTAATGTTACAAAAAAAAAAAAAAGAACCAAAAGGAGATCAGTTTAGCAACTGAAATGACCAACTTTTTGACAGCTGGCTGAGATGTTCAGGAAGCGGGGAATGAGGGCCTTGATGGAATTGTGGGTAGCAGTTATACCCCCAGCCAATGGAAGCTTCTCACCAGCCAGGGGAGAATGCAGTGCTCAGTCCTCAGGATCTTCTGCTTCAGGATTTTGGAGCAGGAGTCTGAGTAAGGTGAGTATTGCTGAACTTTGGAGTCTGGGCTCCGCATTAACCAGTTAGCTGGGGGACTTGGCACAAATCATTTGCCCCTCTGGGTCTCAAATTCCTCAACCTGAATGGCCCCCAAAGGCCCTACCGTCTCTGACATTCCACATGTTTTGTCTGTGAAGCTGATTTAGTATTACCTTCTCAGGGGATAGTCCACATTTGGCTGCAACTTCCGTGATACAAGATTCGGTGATCAGCGCTGCCTGAGGAAAGCCAAACCCACGAAAAGCTGTGTTGGATGGAAGGTTGGTTCTGCATGCCCAACCCCGGCAGCGGAGATTGGGAAACTTGTAAGCATTGTCCATTTTCAGAAGTCCCATTTCTATCACCTGGAGAAATCCAGAGTTGATGTGATTAAGATCTTCTGAACCTGTTTCACCATCCTACGACCTCAGACCAAAACCAGGCCGAAAATGGCAGCTCTCTTTTCATCTCATCTAACATGCTAAAATATTCCCATGCCCCCAATTAAACACATTTTTTGCTGTAAAATAATTTTTAAGTATTAGAATAATTTTTCCTTTGAGAGCATTATTTTTTATTTTTGTATTTTGGAGTTAATGCATTTTTTAAGATTTCAAATATATACAAAGGCCTTTGATATGTTCACAGGCCCTGAGCACTGGGTCTATAGAATGTAATGAATATAATATCCTGGAAGACAGTGAAAACAGAAAAAAATGTTTTGGCATTGGGTCTAATGTATTGGTTCTCAATGGGGAGCAATCCTTTCCCTGCTCCTGGGGACGTCTGGCAATGTCTGGAGACATTTTTCATTGTTAACATTTTGGTTGAAACTCTTTTTTTTTTAGACAGAGTTTCACTTTTGTTGCCCAGGCTGGAGTGTAATGGTGAAATCTCGGCTCACTGCAACCTCTGCCTCCGGGGTTCAAGTGATTCTCCTGCCTCAGCCTCCCAAATAGCTGGGATTACAGGTGTGTGCCACCATACCCGGCTTTAGTAGAAACAGGATTTCACCATGTGGTCAGGCTGGTCTTGAACTCCTGGCCTCAAGTGATCCACCCACCTCAGCCTCCCAAAGTGCTGGGATTACAGGTGTGAGCCACTGCGTCTGGCCTGGTTGAAACATTTTTGTTTGGGGTTGGGCTGGACACAGTGGCTCACGCCTGTAATCTTAGCACTTTGGGAGGCTAAGATGGGAGGATTGCTTGAGCCTAGTAGTTTGAGATCAGCTCTGGCAACATAGTGAGAACCCATCTCTACAAAATAATAATAAAAAAAAATTAGCTAGGCATGGTGGCATGTACCTGCAGTCCCAGCTACCTGGGAGGCTGAGGTGGGAGGATCGCTTGAGCCACCGCACTACAGCCTGGGCACAGAGTGAGTCTCTGTCTCAAAAAATAAAAATAAAAAAAGACTACAGGGTGGTAATGCCACTGACACCTACTAAGTAGAGGCCAAAGATGGTACAATGAGCAGGATAGTCCCCACCATAAAGAGCTACACACTCCAAAATGTCAATAGGGCCAAAACTGAGAAAGCTTGGTCTCATGTGTGCATCTAGGAAAAGAGCTCTAAGTATGGGAAGCCGGGGGGTAACACACAGATGCAACTTAGCCAGCATCTCTGGGCTCACACTTTGGGCACCAGGAAGTAACACATGGCTATCCCTGCAAGGATGGTCATTATACCTTTATAATCAAATATTACTTAACTATTGGGCATTTTCTAAGTTAAATTATTTTATGTAACACTCTTTTCAGGAATGTGAACTTGCTCCTTAAAACACTTACGAATAATGATTCATCCAAGGAGGCGCCTGCATTGCTGTAATGCTCCATGTCCAGGGCCAAGATTCTGCCATCGTTCATGAATCCAGCCTGGGGAAGAGAACCGATATCGAATGCTGGAACAGGGGCCAAGTCTCTCCAAATTTTGTCATTTGCAAACCCTCCACACATAGGGGAAAAGCGTCATGACATTGGATTTGGCAGTGATTTCTCGGATAGTATATAACTAGCTCTGTGATCTTAGGCAAGCTGTGTAACCACTCAGACTATCTGTGAAATGGAAGTAAATAAGGCAACACATAGAAAATTATAGGCAAGTGCCTGAAACATAGCAAGTACTCTAAATATAATTAATAATAGTATCGTAAGTAGTATTCATATCACCTTTCCTCACACTACTCTCCATCAGAAAACATTATTTTCTCATAGTTTTAGTCACCATTATGACAATGGCTTCTGTCACTATAATCCAGTCCTTTCAGCAAAGTCCCATGGTGGTAAAGGACATTTCTGCTTCAGGGTCCTGTTGTCACTTCTACCCCCAGCATTTACACAAACAAGCTCTTCATCGTTCTTCCAGATCGGTTCCTCCTTCCAACTTGTCGCTTTCTTCTAAAACCCTCCAAGTCATGTTTGCGGTTGTATTCTTCATAGCATTTTGCCAAGATTTTCACCAATTCTCTTTTATTTTACACTATAATGGCTCTTGGACCCATCTCTTCTACAACTTACTGTCATATCTCAGACCCCATGTGCTTCATGTCTGAATGCATCAGCTGCCTCCCGCTGTCTACCAGCTTCCATCCTCTCTCCTCCCCAGACTATCCTGTTACCCTCCCCAAAGCATCTGTGTTTAATTACGGCACTGAGCCATTCAAGGATCCACTCAGTCTCACTGTTTCTTTTAAGATCAAGTTTAAACTTCCCACTCTGGGACTGTAGGCCCCTCTCAGTCAGGCATCACCTAAACCCATCAATCCTATTTTTTACTACCTTCCAGGAAGTGCTCTGTGTTCTAATTCTCCCTCTCCCCTTACTCTTGCCTCTATCAAACATGCCATGTTTATTACACCTCTGTAGTTTTGCTCTTACTATTCCCACACCTGGCATGCCTTCCTTCTGCCTATCCATTCTTTTTTTTTTTTTTTTTTGAGATGGAGTCTCGCTCTGTCACCCGGGCTGGAGTGCAGTGGCGCGATTTTGGCTCACTGCAACCTCTGCCTCCCAGGTTCAAGCGATTCTCCTGCCTCAGCCTCCCAAGTAGCTGGGATTACAGGTGCCTGCCACCATGCCCGGCTAATTTTTTTGTATTTTTATTAGAGACAGGGTTTCACCGTGTTGCCCAGGCTGGTCTCTAACTCCTGAGCTCAGGCAATTCACCCGCCTCAGCCTCCCAAAGTGCTAGGATTACAGGCCTGAGCCACCGTGCCTGGCCTCCATTCTTGAAGACCTATCTTTTACCTTCTTTAACAAAGTGCCTATATATATTCCAATTCATATTCATCTCTCCATCTTTTAACCTGAGATTGTTATATTTTCATAATGACTTCATATATGTCTTATTAAAAAAAATCTCCTTCAGGATGAAGTTTACTGTAACAAATCTTTCTGAGCTAAATCAAATTCAAAATACAGTTTAGAGTGAGTGTGGTTTGAAATGGAAACATTCATTATCTCCTAAAAAACATGTATTAGTTATGCAGTTTTGCGATGGAGACAGTGCTATGCATTTAACAAATCCTATTGTATTTCATTCTGGGCACACAGGAAGATGACATTTCCCAGCCTCCCTTACAGTTAGGTGACAGAGGTCTCGCCAATGACATCTGGATACAAGTGAGATCCACAACTTACAGGTCCGGTGCCTAAAACCTAAAACACCTACCAGGTGACACTCCATGCTCTCTTCTCTCTCGCTTCCCTGTCTGCTGCCCTCAGCAAAAGATCCCCTGGAAGACTCAGAGTTTGTAGGGCAGTGATACCCAATAAAACTTTCTGTGATGATGGCAATGTTCTGCGTCTGCACTGTCCAATATGGCAGACACTAACCACATGTGCCTACTGAGCACTTGGAATATAGCTAATACGACTATGGAGCTAAATTTCTAATTGTATTTAATTTGGGTAATTTAAATTTAAATAGCCATATGCTCCTAGTGACCACTATATTGGATGATGCAGTCTGAGGGCACAGTGGCACCAATAAATGGAAACAGCTCCAGTCCCTGAATGATTTTATAAAGCAGAATCCTCCCCTTTCCCCCCTCAATGATTATATTGAGCATTATATTGAGCTGTTACTTGAGCAAGAAATGACGTAATGAAAGTTTAAGAGCTTTTAAGTTGTTTCTTAGAGAAGTTAGCCCACTCTGAGAAGTAAAATTTTTCTTATAAAGCAAAAGAATCACTATTTTCTACTACAAATTTTTTTCTATGAATTTCTGGAACCTCATTTTACAAAAATATCCTTGATATATTGAAGAATGAGGAACCCATTTACAAATAATTGCAATTTCACATAACACTACTGTTATGAGAATTATTCTACTTTTACCTCTTTTATATGTGGGAAGAAGTATGGTAATCAGATCTACTTTAATGGCGTACACACTCACGTTTTCTAGTTATTTGCTCTGTACAGCCAATACCAGCTAGCACTTAGTGTTTTATTTCTGAAACTGACATCTTTGAGCTAAGCAGAAAAGCCTCCATTGAACCAGCTAGTAATTAAAAGTCAGTGCAACCAATAGAAAGTTAAATAGATGCTCTGTTTTTGATTTGCTCATTGTTACTCCCCACTAGAGAGTAGCCAAAGACTGCCCTGCGCACTGATAGGATGTTGTATCTACAACATAAATCCTTCCTCCATGCCCTCTTGTACTCACTTTGTACTTTCCAAGGTAAGGATGGCGGCCTCCAGTTATTAACATGTCTTCTCCTCGTTCCAGAACACAGCGAACTGCACGGCCATGTCTAAAACAGAAAAAAAGTAAGTGAGGTAACCTCTTTTACCTAGCAGGCATTCTCTGGGGTTTATATAACTCCTGGCAAGAGCCTGAGTGGAGCCTACACGCCTCACAGAACAACACAACTATTTCGCATGCCTATCCTCTGCTGATCTCAGGCATACACCGTGGGCTTTCCTCCCGTTAGGTCAGGGAATAATGCCAGGCATTTGCAACTTGTGGGACAGAGGCTCTTGGGTGCCAGGGGCTCCAGGACATTGCTTTGGGGGCATTTCCCATTGTAATAACAACCTTTATTATAGGCAAATCGTCCCAAGGTCTTTAGACTGGCCACAAATGGAAGAATGCAGATCTAACTACCAAGTGCTCCCTGATAGGAGAGATCTGGAATCAAGGTATTTTTGCTTCCTGGGATGGAGGAACTGACCCATATTACTCAGCAAACAAATTAAGCCTTCTAGGTGTGCCTGCTCCAGAGACAATTTTACATGAGAATTTTTTGAGATCCTCAAAGGAAAATGGCGATACAAATGAATGTAAGCATAACAAAAGCAAAGTCTATATTTAAATCAAGAAAATATACATATACACACATATACATATATACACATATATACATACACGTATATGTATATATGTGTATGTATATGTACATATATGTATATATGTATGTGTGTATATGGGACCCCATTTTACAAAAATATCTTTGATATATTGAAGAATGTACATATATACACACAAACATACATATACGTTTATAAACATATATGTGTGTATGTATATATAGGTACATGGTTTATATGTATATAAATATATATGTGTGTATGTATATATAGGTACATTGTTCAAAAAGCCATATATATGACCTCTACATATATAGCTCAGTCCAGCAGGTGCTGAGGACAAGTAACTCCCACCCATTCAGGACCTGTTTCTGCCCACTTTCTAGGTATTATATTTTTTCTGTGGCTTTTATTATTTTCAGTAATTGACTCTTATTTTGGTTGCTATAGGACAATATAAGACAAGTAAGTGTAATAAGCTGGCAGCTTGTTTGTGTGTTTGTATCGTATATGTGATATTAAATAATCTTGGCCCAGGTTCTTCCTCATTGATTCTGACAGTGAGAACTTTCAGTGTGACTTCACTTTATTTTTAGCAGATTTTCTCCACTTACTTGTTTGCGGCAAATGCAGTGACGGCTGCAATGATTCCGGTTTTTAACACCTTCCCTCCAAACGCTCCACCAACACGCCTTACATGGCACATGACCTTGTTAGCTGGGAGCTTCAAGGTTGAGGCAACAATGTCCTGTGAACAATAATAGTTCTGATTAATCTGATCCATCTTCAGCAAGGACTTAATTGTGACTGTCATTGTCACATCTATGATTTTAACAACAACAACAAAAAACCTGTCCCCTGAAATGGACTGTGACAGTCACTAGATGTTTTGATTCTTTAATGTTGCACATGATACCCATACTGTGTGGTTATGCTAAATAATGGGATAATGTCCAACAACCCTGGCCCACAGCCCCAACTGATCTCAGCAATACTTGGCTATAATGACATTGCCAAAACTAATTAGTAGTGTTTTCATTACCAGTGAGATATTTTTGTACTCATACTTTTTTGTATTTTCCCCAGGAACCACTCCTAAAGTATTCTATTCACACTAATCCCTAGGCATACGTTTCCCAAAGCTGTGGGATTTTGCAGTCTTCTAAGCCTCACTCAGCATGGGTCTTTTCCCTGCATTCTACTGTCTCTACTGGAAAATAAGCACTTCTCAGCCAGATGTGGTGGCTCATGCCTGTAATCCCAGCACTTTGGGAGTCCAAGTCAGGCAGATCACCTGAGGTCAGGAGTTCGAGACCAGCCTGGCCAACATGATGAAACCCCATCTCTACTAAAAATACAAAAAGTAGTTGGGCATGGTGGTGCGTGCCTATAATCCCAGCTGCTCAGGAGGCTGAGGCCGGAGAATCGCTTGAACCTGAAAGGCAGAGGTTGCAGTGAGCTGAGACGGCACCACTGCACTCCAGCCTGGGTGACCAAGCGAGACTCTGTCTCAAAAAAAAAAAAAAAAAAAAAAAAAAAAAGCACTTCTCACTTCTTGCTTGGATTGCTGCTAAAGATGACCAGTTGGTCTTTCCTAGATGCAGATCTCACTCTTTTCTGCCATCCTAATGATTAGGGGTCATTTAGTCTTAACAATTGATTCTTACAGATGGGAAGCCTGAGACGGATGAGGTTATGGACCCAACATCCCACGGAGAGTGAAGAGAAAAGCAGGCCTGGAATGGAGTTCGTCTGACCCTCTTTAGGATCCTGCCTTTTACGAGGCCTCATTCTCCATAGTCTCACATTCCTACTCCTCTGCTAAGAGCACTGGCTCCTTATGACCAGAATCAAGACCCCCTGCCTCATTTCCCTTACTCTCACCCTGATGCTTAAACCTAGCTTTCCTAAAGGCACCCCTTCATTCCAGCTGGGGCGGTCATTGTGCTATTCCTCCTTCCTTCCATGCATGCTGCGTAGGGTACAGGACACAGGCAACAAATGTTTGCAGAAGAGGTGAGAAAATAAATGAATGGGTGTCATTTGATCTTGCTGTGGAATTGCCTGGAAGTGACCTCTCTTGTCTTACCATCTAGACAAACCTCACTCTCATTCTGAATCCAAACTTAAGACTTCTTTGTGGGACTTCCTGGATGATTCTAGCCCTCAGCAAACTCTTTCCTAATTTCTCCACCCACATAAATTTTGCCTTTGCTGATTTAGCACCTGGTTGCATAATTTTCAATATTGTTTCTTAACTGTTTCCTGTGAGTTAGGCACCATAGGCTTTGGAGAGCAGGTCTTCCTCTTTCTTCTCTTGTGTTCCTAACAGTGGTGCCAAGAGCTGAGCAAGAGATCTGCTGATTCCATAACTGGTTTTAAAGCTACA
The DNA here is from genome assembly GCF_000001405.40 of Homo sapiens. Classification (NCBI taxonomy): domain Eukaryota; kingdom Metazoa; phylum Chordata; class Mammalia; order Primates; family Hominidae; genus Homo; species Homo sapiens. The sequence goes on along the minus strand of NC_000002.12, from coordinate 200,635,269 downwards.
ATCCACAAACAAAAGGCTCCCACTTTAATAACACTCTTTTAAAAGCACTGAACTTATATGGCTATTAATACTGAAATCAATATGGCTATTAATACTCAATATTTCTTCAGTCCCTGAAGAAATAACATTATTGGTTTTGTTTTGTTTGTTTTGTGTTAGAGACAGGGTCTCACTCTATCTCCCAGGCTGGAGTGCAGTGGTGTGATCATAGATCACTGAAGCCTTGAGCTCCTGGGTTCAAGCAATCCCCCCACCTCAAATTCCCAAATATACTTTTACCTCTAATTGCTCTTGATATATTTCACTGGCCAGAAATCATTTAGCCATGTCCTCTCCACAATGGCCCCATGTTACCTGTATATATTTGGGAAACTGTGTGGACACGTAGACATCCATTTCTTGATCCTCTCCCTTGGGAACGACAAGCATGCTTTGGGTTTCCATATAAAAATGTTCTTGACCTCCCATATGTATTTCACCTGTTACAGGAAAATACATAAAAGTCAAGGAAGCAGTCAGAAGCAACAGGTAGCGTCCCCCAGGTATTATCCCGTTATGCAGAAATTCCACTAATAGTACTTCTGCTGGGCACAGTGAAGTATAACAAACAACAATGTTTAGCTTTCAGTCTACTTGCAGATTTGAAGTAAAGTTCTATAGGAGAATCTTTTGTGTCTGCCAATATCTAGGTCACAGAGTCCTAGAGAAAGGTGTATGACTTTCTAGAGCCAAAAGCAGAGGGGTCTTGATTCAGTAGGTCATAAGGAGCCAGCGCTGTTAGCAGAGGCGTAGGAATGTGAGAATGCGGAGGCTTCCAGCTCTAGGACCAGCAGGAGTAGATGTACTGCTCCCTGTCCCTCCTGTTAAGTACAGATAACAACCCTGAGCATTATTTATAAAACAAACATAAGAAGACTCTGAAAGGTGGAGAGAAGGCAGACCAGCTAGGGACTTCAGGACCTAAGAAAAGACACAGCAGTGAGTTCAGTGGGTTTTTTTGTTGTTGTTGTTGTTTGCCTCAGATATCCCAGACTTAGTTCCGGAGAAGCCAGCAATCTAAAAACTCCAACAGGCAAAGACAAAAAAAAAAAAAAAAAAAAAAAAATCCTCAAGAAAAGCCCACTCTCCCTAGCCAAAGGACCAGAAAAGTGGAAGACTAGAAAGACAAAAAAATTAAGACAATAAGCACTCTACTCCAGGCAAACACCATGAAAAAAACTGCAGCCCCACCCCTACTGTGAAGGTTGAGTAGGAAATCTATAGTTCCACCCTCATCAGGCTGCAATGAGGTGTCCCAGCCTCTCTATTGGGGTGCTGTCAGTGGATGCCACATGGGGAACCTGGACTTACAACCCCTACCTAGCAGTAACAAGGCATCACCCCCTTCTTCTCCATCAGTAAAAGGTTAAAGTACTCTAGTGAAACAGAATATTCTAATAAAATAGAAGATTCAAATAAGATCTAAAGTCTCATTACATAATATCTAAAATGTCTAGGATACAATCAAATATCATTCATACCAGGAACCAAGAAAATCCCAACTTCAATGAGAAAAGACAATCAACAGATGCCAACACTGAGATGACACAGATGTTAGAATTATCTGACAAGGATTTTAAAGCAGCTGTAATAAAAATGCTTTAATAAGCAATTACACAAACACTTGAAACAAATGAAAAAATAGAAACCTCAGCAAAGAAATAGAAAGTATAAAAAGAAAAAAGAAATAGAAATTTTAGAATTAAGAAATACAGCAAAAATTTAAAAAGTTCAAGGGATGGGCTCAGCAACAGAATAGGGAGAACAGAGGAAATGATTAATGTACAAGAATATAGAACAATAGAAATTGGCCAATCTGAAAAGCAGAAAAAAATAGACTGGAAAAAAAATGAACAGCACCTCAGGAACCCATTGGCTATAACAAAAGATCTAATATTTGTGCCATTGAAGTCAAGCCATTATTTGAAAAATAATGGCTAAAAATGTCCCCAAATTCACAAACGACACTAATCTACAGATTCAAGAAGCTGAGTGATCCCAAATAGAATAAATTCAAAGAAATACACTCCAAGATACCTCATAGTCAAACTTCAGAAAACTAAGGACAAAAGCACCATGTTGAAAGCTATGAGAAAGAAACACTACTTCATCTATAGGAGAAAAGTACTTTCGTGGTGAAACCCTGTCTCTACTAAAAATACAAAAATTAGCTAGGCATGGTGGTGGATGCCTGTAATCCCAGCTACTCAGGAGGCTGAGACAGGAGAGTAGCTTGAACCTGGGAGTCAGAGGTTGCAGTGAGCTGATATCACACCACTGCACTCCAGCCTGGGCGACAGAGTGAGATTCCATCTGAAAAAAAAAAAAGAAAGAAAGAAAGAAAAAAAAAAGCACTTTTAAAGACAGTAGATTTCTCTTCAGGAACCATGGAGGCCAGAAGAAGTGGTAAAATTTTTCTAGTGTGAAAATACCTGTCAACTCAGAGTTCTATAGCCAGCAAAAATATCTTTCAACAATGAAAGGGAAATGAGGACATTTTCAGATGAAGGAAAACTAAGAGTTTGTTTTAAACGGATTTACCCTGAAATAATGGCTGAGGGAAGTTTTTAAAACAGACAGAAAATGATTTTTTTTTTAAATGAAGAAATCTTAAAATATCAGGAAGGAAGAAAGAACAACAGAAATAATAAAAATACCAGTATATACAATAGACTTTCTTTCTCCTCTTGGGTTTCCTAAATTGTGTTTGAAGCAAAATTATAACATTGCTTCATGTGATTATCAATGTATGTAGAATAAATAAATAGAATTATCAATTATATTATAAAAAGGGAGAGGGATGTAAAGGGAGGTAAAGCTTCTACACTTGACTTGAACTTGTAAAATGTTGAAACCAGACTGTGATATTTTATATATGTAAATATTTTATATGTATATAAATTTTATTTTATATATGTATGTGTATATGTATGTGTGTAAACTATCTAGAGCTACCACTAAAAAAAATCTGTACAAGGAGGTATACTAAAAAATACTATAGATTAATCAAAATGAAATTCTAAGCAAATATTCAGGCAACCCACAGGAAGGTGGGGAAAAGAATAAAAAGCAGAGGGAACAAACAGAATACAATTATTACTGACGATCATGTTAATGGAAGGCAGAACTTTTAAAAATTAAAAATTTACTCAGCAATAGTGATTTGCAAATTGAGGATTCCCTCAATTTGCATAAAAAATGAGATGTTTTAAATTGCAATCTGGACTTCCTATCTTATCGAAAATCTGAGTTTAAAAAAAGAGCACAGAAAAATGAATAGATTCTGCTTCACTTATAATATATAAACATTAAAATTTCACAAGCTCAGATCTTAACTTCAATTTAAGCTCTTATCAAATAGTCTAAAGACCCATGTCATTGTCACTAGGCTTACATTCAAGCTTGCAGTATTATTGATTCTGCCTATCCACTCAGAATTTATTTTGTTAAGTAGTCACTTTATTTAAAATATTCAGAGCTAAAAAAATTAGACAGAGCTGTTCCTGTTTAAATCTGTAAAGAAGGGAAAGTTTTAGAAACCTGTTATATTGCACTGCCTACCCTGACAGCCCCCACCCGTAGTGCCCCCTCTTCACCTTAGGGTATTGCTGTCAACTCTCTAGGTTGGAAACCAATTTGATCAACTAATCCCTGAGATAAAATGTTATCCCAGTATGGGTTTAGGAGTGATTCCTCCAGGCATATTTACATTTTAATAAGAGGCCCTTAAAGTCCCAAATCTGCTAAGATGTGAATGTGTCTATCTGTACCATGCCCAGCAGGATAGGTTGTGGGGAAAATCATCTCAGTTTCAGGGCTCCCTGGGTCTCTTGCAAATCCTTTTATACAGATTGTTCTCTGTGCTCTCCAGTATAAAGCACATCCCAGCTAACAGAATTTTAATGAGATAAATGAGAAGCAGGATAATGTAGAGGAAAGAATACTAACTTTGGAGTTGGGAAAACTCTTAGATTTCATCCTGGTCAATCAGGTAGCCTCTCTAGCCTCAGCTGGCTCATTTGAAAATGGTAATCTTTAGCATCCTCTGGTGCTGTGACACCGGGATTAGATAGAGTTGAAATATATCTTCGCAGCAGATAAGTGCAAACAATAATAGTTCTCCCTCCAAGAACGCATTCTAAGACCTGATGTAATGCTCCACATATTTTATCTTTTAAATATTTTTTTTCTTGGAACACCTATCTTCTTTCTTTTTTTCCTTCAACTTTTAAGTTCTGGGGTACATGTGCAGGATGTGCAGGTTTGCTTCATAGGTAAACGTGTGCCATGGTGGTTTACTGCACAGATGAACCCATCACTTAGGTATTAAACCTAGCATGCATTAGCTATTCTTCCTGATGCTCTCCCTCCCCTTACCCCCACTCCTACAGGCCCCAGTGTGGGACACTTATTTTCTTAGAAGACAGATAAAGTGTTGCTATGATAATTAATTGCAATTACCTCGCATTGAAATATCATGAGATATTAGGAGAAACTCATAATCCAAAAGACGATAGCAGACAAAGGGAAAAGCTAGACTCAAACTTGTGAGTCAAGAGGATGAAAATTGGTTTTCTTTTGCCTTCCCTTGTCTTTCCCTTCCCTTGTCTTTCCTTTTCTTTTCTTCCCCTCCTTCCTTCCTTCCTTCCTTCCTTCCTTCCTTCCTTCCTTCCTTCCTTCCTCCCTTCCTTCCATCCATCCATCTTTTTTTTTTGACAGTCTCACTGTTGCTCAGGCTGGAGTACAGTGGCCTGATCTTGTCTCACTGCAATCTCCGCCTACCGGGTTCAAGCCATTCTGGTGCCTCAGCCTTCCGAGTAGCTGGGATTACAGGTGTTTGTCACCACACCTGGCTAATTTTTGTATTTTTATTGGAGACAGGGTTTTGCCATATTGCCCAGGCTGGACTCAAACTCCTGGCCTGAAGCTATCTGCCTGCTTCAGCCTCACAAAATTCTGGGATTACAGGCAAGAGCCACCGTGCCCAGCTTCCTTTTTTTTTTTTTTTTTTTTTTTTTTTAAATAGAAGGAGTCTTGCTACATTGACCGGGCTGGTCTCAAACTCCTGGCCTCAAGCAATCTGCCTGCTTCAGCCTCACAAAGTGCTGGGATTACAGGCATGAGCCACCATGCCCGGCTTCCTTTTTCTTTTTTAATAGAAGGTATCTTGCTACGTTGACCAGGTTGGTGTCAAACTCCTGGCCTCAAATGTCCTGCCTTGGCCTCCCAAAGTGCTGGGATTATAGACGTGAGCTACTGCAGCTGGCGTTTATACTGAAAAGTAGTATAAATGTCCTTTTTAATATTCCCGTATCATTTTTATACTTATCAATGGGGTATGCAGCAATAACAAAAATTCAAGTAAGAGGCAGACTAAATCAATCACCTAATTGAATTAGATAATTAAAGAAGATGTCAAGGAAAAATACAACAATGGAATTCTTGCACAAATACTCATTATGTCAGGAAACAAACATGAAACAAGGAACCCCCCTAAATATTGATATTTCCAACATGCTCATGCCGGGAACGCTCTATGATAGAAATGTACCCTCTTTTTCTCTTCATTCCCATAAATCAAACTCACTTTTCCAGTATTTTCCACATTTTACTAGCCCTAAGAATTACCTGGAAAACTTGTTAAGACCAGTTCCTGGGCTGTTTTGGATCCTCTACAATTCTAAAAAAGGGCACAGGGATCTCTAGGTCTCATAAATATCCTCAGTGATTCCTATAAGGAGAAAATCTTGGAAACACTGGGTTTGATAAATGAACACCTGCCAACGTATCTCACTAATAGACAACATTTTCAGGAAAACAACAAAAACATCTAAATCTAATAATCATTGCTCACAGTTATTGATTTGTTACTATATGCCAAGAACACATGATTATCTCTTATAATCTTTATAATTCACATTTGAAATTGTTTTTACTTTATCCATGTAATATTAAAACAGGGAGACTGAGCCCTGAGAAGTGCCCTGCCAGGTTACACAGCTAATAAGACACAATGCCAAGGAAAACTGGTAGGTGACAGTTCCAGGTGTCTTTCCTACAGCTTTCAGGTGACATTTCCAGTCAGCCCCTGACACGCTTCAAGTTTAATGCACCTATAGAGTTGAGACATGATGGGCTTGGAACTTAAGAAGCTGGGCTGACTGGTGACATATTACACAGCTCTGGCTGTGCACTCAGGATGGGATGTGTCTTAGGACTCTTCCTATTCTTGTGATCAAGGTTGGTGAGAAAAATTAAGAAGATGGGAGTTGTGTTTTTTGTTTGTTTGTTTGTTTGTTTGTTTGAGATGGAGTCTCCTTCTGTCACCCAGGCTGGAGTGCAGTGGTGCAATCTCGGCTCACTGCAACCTCTGCCTCCAGGGTTCAAGCGATTCTTGTGCCTCAGCCTCCTCAGTAGCTGGGATTACAGGCTCCCACCACCACGCCTGGAATTTTTGTATTTTTAGTAGAGAGGGGTTTTTGCCATTTTGGCCAGGCTGGTCTTGAATTCCTGGCCTCAAGTGATCCACTCACCTCGGCCTCCCAAAGTGCTGGGATTATAGGCATGAGTCACCATGCCCAGCCCAGAAGATGGGAGTTTTTAACATGCACTAGAGGCCAATGCCCTGGAAATTCACTTAAAGACAGATAATGCCGGATGATTTCTCTGCTCTGAGATGTGGCACAGACTGCCCATACCCACCCAATAGCATGTCTGTAAATCAGAGATCTTGTGAGGCAGGCATTAGGACAGCTTTCACAGCAGCAATGACAGCAGAGTGTGGCGGGGAAAGCATGGGTTATTTAAGACTTATGATGAACCTCTTTTTCTGCTATAAAGGACATTATTGAGACAACTAGCGAAATTTGAATAAACTGTGTAGATTAATAGAATATGTGTTAATATTCTGATTTTGATAACTATGTTTATGTTAGACAACATCCTGTTTTTAGGAAACAAATGCTGACTATTTAGGGGTAAAGAGACATACATCATGTTTACAATTTACTCTCAAATGGCTCAGAAGTGTGTGTGTGTGTATGTGTGTGTGTATAATTGGGGAATCTGAGTGAAAAATATTTGGGAGTTTCTTTAATGTTTCTGCAACTTTTATGTAAGTTTTAAAATATCTCAAAGCCAAAAGTTAAGGAATTGTACTGGAAAGCTATAATTAACTATTTTCTAAGAGGCAAATTTAATTTTAATTACATACATACATACAGCAAAGAAGTCTGGAAGAAAGAGAAAGGAGAAAGGGAAGGGAAGAGGAAGGGAAGAAAAAGCAGAGAAGGAAGAAAGGAAGAGAGGGAGAATCAGAGAGAGAAAGGATGAAGAAGAAACATGGGCTTTGGAAATCCTAATAAAGCCTATCAATTCAATGGCCAACTCTGTTATTTAGTAGTTGTTGTGTGACCTTGGTCACACTCCATAATTACGCTGAGCCTCCATTTTCCAGCCTATAAGATTGAGATAATAATACCCTCTTGCAGGGTGGTTGTGAACAGGAAAGAAAATGACATCTCTAACAACTGGAGCCTTGATGAGGGAAGGGGGGTCAGGGAAGAGGGGCAGGGTCTTGCCTCCTCTTTTGCCTCCCCATTGGCTCTTGGCCTACCCCAGAGACGGAGGGAAACACATTTGTGAATGAGGTGCCTGTTCTGCCTGTTCCTGAGGAGCAACACCCCCCTAGGCTGCCCGATGATTTCCAGAAGACAAAGGAAGCCTTAAACTGACATGCTTAGAAGACTTCCAGGGTTGTTTACTCTTCCATTACTTTTTACCTTCAAGAATTTGATCAACCACTTTAAATGCTTCGTCAACATTTCCATATTCCAGTTTCCTTTCTGGCTTGAAGGAGGAGTTGTGTTGTATACTTTCCTAGAAAGAGAACAGAGGAATGAGGCAGCTTGGGCAAGAGACCCTGCCCTAGGGCAGCAGACACACCCCACTGCACATCCTCTGAGCAGGGGTTGTTTCTCCCTTCACCTTGTGGTTCCGTGCACTTTCACCATGACCCTGGTGAGCCAAGCTAAGAATCCAACTGCAGAGAGACTCCCCAGTGAGGAAATGTAAATGTGCCTACTGAGTCTGAAGAAATAATATGCACAGAAAAAAACTGGCATCTAAGTGATCCCAGAATGAAACTAGTATTTTCCAGGCAGGTTATTGTCTGCACACCACAATCCATTTCATGTAGCCAAGGCCATACAGCACAGGGCTTCAGAGCCTGGGCTCTAGACCCAGTCAGCATTGTGCACACATTTTTCCCACTTACCAGCTTTGACTGTGGGCCTATCACTTCACCTCTCTTATCATTGTCTGTAAAATGGAAGTAACAGGTGTGCATATAGCTCCAATAGGATCGTGGTTGGTGAAGATAAAATGAAATAAGACGTGAAGAGCTTATATTGCATATAGTAAACACTCAATAATTGCTAGTTGAAAAGACTCTAGTGATTGGGATCATGGTGGCTCTGCCTGCCAGCCCCATATTCCTTCTTTGTGGGGATGAGCATTTCATTTGCACAGGGCAGTAGAGCACCTGGGACCTCCAGCTCTGGAAGTAAGATTTCAGACAAGCCCTGTCTGGGAGCTGGGTGTACAAATCCATTTATACACTAGCTCCTATTGGCTCTCCCTGGGTGCCCAGTAAAAGGGTACAGTGGTGCACAAAACCAGAGATGTAGTTACAATAACATAGGTTGGTTTTTAGCTATCCCTGAGAATTTATCTTGCAGTAATCCATGTGTCCACTGGCAAATGTGGTGTGCCAGCTCCTGCTGGCATTATCTACTGTGGGTTATTGTCCATCCATGAAATTCCATTCTGTTGGTAGTTGGGGATTCTCTTATCTCTGTTTCCTTCTGGCCACCAGTAGGTGTCTAGACAACACCCCTTAGAGGGATGGGCTATTGTGATTCTGCCATTTCCCCCATTCAAAAACTGGGTTGGTTTGTTTATAGCACCGGTGGGGCCCAGGTTCTTTGACAGAGTGTTTGTTGATTGTTTTTGTTACTGACTAGCTATGTAACCTTGGGTAACCCTGCCTTTTAGTTTCCCCATCAGAATGGGGATAAAAATAGTTTTTGCCTCATAGGATTGTGGTGAGCATTTAGTAAGTTAATGTGTGAAACTGACCTAGAACCATGTTGACCACACAGTGAGCTCTGTATAGGTCCTAGCTATGCTCATGTTGTTGTTGATGATTATTATTCAGGACAGATTCCGGTAGGGAACACATTTTTTTCCATTATGGTCATCAGCCTTACCCCTTGATTCAAGAGTTTTGATCGTTGCCCCATTCAATCTACTAAAAACTCGAAAAGCATGTGCCAGATTAAATCTTTGTGATAGTGACAGAGATATATTTGTTTTTGTTCTATTTTGATTGATAACACACTTCCTATTGGAATCTGTTCATGTGCTTTTCTTATTAATCTAAGATTAAAGAGATTCCAGGTTGAAAAAAAAGCTAGGTTTTATAAATCCTATTTTTAAAAGTTTCATCTTTTTCAACTTCACTGGCTGCTTGCTCTTTGAATAACTTTGAGCCAATTTTCTGAATTTTTCTTAGTCAGGAAAGTGATAAAAGAACTGTAATGTATAGGGAGAGGGGCATATTTCCCTGCTCTAAACTTTGATTAAATTTGCTCTGATCCAGTTGATGATCTTTAGACTTTGAGAGCTTAATCTCTGAACACAATGTGAGGCAACTCTTTTCCACAAAGCCAGAGCTTGTATCTGATGCTGGGATTCTCTGGCAGACAATCACGAGTCTGCTGGTTGAAGTGGTGAGGGTGGGGGGAGTGGCATCTATTATATTTGCTTATTGGGGCTTTTATTTGGCTGGAAGGTAGGGGGAGTGGAGAGTAGATATTTAGCCCCTGATATTGGGCAAAGATTTATAAACAAAATATTGATGAAGTGTTACGTAAATAATTTCTAATAAGTAATTCTAACTCTCCAGCAAACTTCAGGGGACAGAATATATGAAGCAAGAGCAGCATGCAACATGTAAATGAAAAGGGCCTGAGAAGGGAACAGAGTGTTTGAATTTGAAACTGGCCAGGAAAATTTGGGAGGCCTAATCACACTTCGACTCCAATTAGACTTCTACGTTTTTGTCTATTTGACATGATTTTATTTTTATTTTAAAATGTAAGAAAAATTCCCAGAGACAAACTCCATGTTCCTAAGCATCAAGCAGCATGGCAAGAAGCACCCCCAACACCCAGTTCTCCTGGAGACACTGATCGTGCCCAGGTTGTTTCCTCAATTCTGCCTCAGGCCATGCCGGTCACCCAGAGAACAACATGTTCATTATGCTGTGAAGCTAATATTGTGTCCCAGAGCACATGCGGCCTGTATGGACTGAGTCTCATCTATTTACACTGCCTCCCCAGTGTTCATTCTTTCATCATCCAGGAAATTATAAGAACCAATGGAATGCACACAAGAGAACATCCTATCATTTCATGGAGATGAGTCTTATAGCCTTTATAAATTTTCAACTCCTTTCTAAAAATCAGGATAGAAAATGCAATTCTCCAGTTTAAGTTGCCAAAATACCTGTAGGCATCATACGACTTATCTCTTGAAAAATCTAAAAATCGTGTCTCTGACACTCACTTCATGGAACATCCTGTTGGTCCTCACCATGTGCCTGGGTGAAGGTGGGTAAAAAGTCATAGAGTGGATCCACTTTCCTGGACATCACTGTTTCCCATCTAGCATCCCCTCCCCTTTCCCTTTCCAAACAGGGCTCAGATTTGTTTCAGTTTCCTACACTCCCCTACATAGCCCACTTACTTCAGAGAAACCTGACCCCAACTCCTACCCCTAGAAGTAACCAACAGCTCCTCCATTCCTCTGCCAGTCATTAATTTGGAGATGGATATGTGACCTAAGTGGCTTAATTAGGCTGGATCTCAGGATTTGTGCTTAGAATGCTGGGGCAATAGGGTTCCTCTTACTCCTTGAACATGAACAAGGAAGTCCAGGTTGTCCTGGCGGCCATCTGTGTGACCACAGGAATTGAGCTTGTATTGTGGGCAGCAGAGAAGAGTGGCAAAAAGAAGCCATGTCCTTGGGGAAATTGTTAATACTGAGACTGGTTAGAGGTTAATAAAGTCCGTGTGCTTTGGAGGCCACTTTGAGCCACATTTTCCTGTTACAGTAGCCAAAAGCATTTTAACTGATATTTGTTCTGGCTCCCAACTGGCACCACCATTCCACAGAACTCATTACCTCAATTGTTAGTATCAGCGGCTCCAAGTCTTGATAGACAATCTTCACTCGCTTAGCAGCTCGCTTTGCCTGAACCTCAGAATCGGCAAGCACAGCACAGACAAGCTGACCCACACAGAACACCTACGACACAGAAAGACCTTTGTTGTCAAGGAGGGCAGGCATCAGGTCCTCTCTTTTATTCATTTTCTTCCTCCCTCCTAGTACTCGATTACAGTAGGGCTAGGGCTAGATACACACAGGTGTGACCCCTCCACATCTGTCCATGACTATAACCACAGCTGGCCTCCTGATCCGAGGCACTGGGGGAAGTTTAGATCCTTGTGCTGTATCAGAGGAGCAGGAGTGATGCTGTCTTGAGGACAGCAGGCTCAGGCTCCAGGCCAAGCCTATGAGGCTGTGTGAGGGCCAGCCTGTCCCATGGCTTGATGTTTGGCTGTCACACGACAATCAGAGCTGTTCTGAGAGAGGCAGCCTCTGCCTGCACGGACAGGGAGGACCAGGAAGTCACAGATCATCTCAACCAGAGAGAAAAAGGGGATGACCTGGGAAGGGGAGTCCCCTGTGATAACAGAACCCTGATGGTGAGCACATCTCTCCTCACAAACTGTCTTTTCATGAAAAGATGTCCTAGCCAAGACGTGACCAAGCAGACAGCATCCCCTTCCTGGGGGGGTTGACAGCTAGGATTATTCGCCTGCAGGTGGGGCAGCTAGGCTCAGGAGTTCACACAGGGACCACAGCAGAAATTTAGATGGGGAAAAGAAACCTTAAGACTTGAGAAAGGTAAAAACAGTCTGGACTGGAAGAAGTCACCATCATTGCTGAGTTCTCTCTCCTACTTTATGCTGTGATTCACAATTTCAATGTAATCACTCATTTTAAAAATTGACTTTGAACTATTATGTCTTTTCCACAATGAACATAAAGTAGTTTTATCATCGAAAAAAAGGCATTAAAAACATAAAATCTAGCATGAACACAAAAAAAGTGTGTTTGTTTGGGGTAGGGGCAGTGAAGGAGAGAAAAATGAAACAAGAATGGTAACGTGTTGATAACTGTTGAAGCTGGGTGATGGATCTATGGGGTTCATTGTATAATACTTTCCCATTTTTGTGTATGCTTACAATTTCTACAATGAAAAGACTTTTAAAAGCCATTAAGTGCCATAAATGAATGTTTTAAAAAGCATTAAACCAACAAAGGCAATCATTCACAATGGCACTCCAAAGACTCCTGATTTTGCTCCTGTGACCTGGCACATAGATGTGGCCCCTGAGATGCTTATGATCTTCATAAGCACACCTCAAAGAGCAGGTACTATCATGCAGCCAAGATCAGTTTCACTTGTTTAGTAAACATTTATGCAAAGGGCTTAAATTCTCACCGTCTCTGCCAGTGCTACACAGCCCTGCTTTGGGGGAGTTTCAACCTTGAGTTCAAACTCTCAGTCATCAAGCTTTCATTTCTACAGATAATATCTTCAAGGGAGTATCTTCCAAGGAGAGCCAGAGGAAGGGACTGTTTCAAATTATGAAGCCCTTTTGGGTAAACACTGAACTGAGCAGTCCGAATTATGCAGAAAACCTGTTGACTGCTGTTCTTGCTGTAGCCAAAGTTTTAATCATTTGTAATTTTCACAAGGCAACAATGTTATCACTATACCTCTACTCATTCACCCTGCAATGTGAGAAGCAGTGTGTGGAATACACAGATGAATCAGACATGGGTCCTCACTCAAGGAATTTATACTAGGTGGAAGAAATATATAAGACATCAAAATAAACAAGCTTAACACAAGGTAGAAAGTACATAAAGGTCACTTTGTTTTCTCCTCTAGACTTTAAGCTCCATGAGAGTAGAGATCATACATATCTTGTTCAGCTATGGTGACCAGACATCATAGATGCTCACTTTTAAAAATCCCATTTAAGCCGGGCGTGGTGGCTCATGCCTGCAATCCCAGCACTTTGGGAGGCCCAGGCGGGCAGATCACCTGAGGTAAGGAGTTCGAGACCAGCCTGGCCAACATGGCAAAAATGCTGTCTACTAAAAACACAAAAATTAGCCGAGCATGGTGATTTGTGCCTGTAATCCCAGCTACTCAGGAAGCTGAGGCAGGAGAATCGCTTGAACCCAGGAGGTGGATGTTGCAGTGAGCCAAGATCATGCCACTGCACTCCAGCCTGGGTGACAAACAGAAACTCCATTTCAAAATAAAATAAAATAAAATAAAAAATAAAAAGCGCATTTAACACATGGAAATATAAATAAATCAGAATAAATTGAGAGAGAGAGAGAGAGAGAATGAATGAACTTCTGGATTGAAGAATGAGAAAAAAGGCTTCATGGTGCAGATACCACTTGAACTTGTAGTTGAACTTTGACCACACTGAGACTGGGACAATAATAAGGGCTTCTCAGGGAAGGGATTTCCATATAAAATTTACCATTATTCCATCTTCATTTACTCATTTATACCATTAGCAGTATGCCATCTCACTATTAGAAAATGTAAAACACCAAATAATCTTTTATATAACTAGTTAATGTCTTTACTTGTACAGAAAATGAATATATTTGAATTCATTCAATATTAGAATATACTTTTATAATAAGCATTCTAAGAATACTGGAGTCTTTCATGGTGTGCCAAAGTAGATGGTATCTTTAAGAAAATATGAAGCACCGTTAACTGAGAAAGTTATTTTTCAAATAGAAAGCAAAAATGCAGTACCTTATCTGTCGCCAGAAATTTCTCAGCTTCAGTAAAAAAGCAGAAGGAGTTGACGTCACTAAGATGTTCTGCTGTCATGATGTCCACCACACCGGGCATGCTGAGAGCTTCTGACAGATCAATAGACCTAGATGATATACACAGCAGAGCTCCTTAGAGTGGCCATAGAGGCCAAGAACATGGTTAATTGGATAATAAGATATGAGAGAGGTAAGAACTGTCCAACAGTCTCTGCCAGACAATTGGGAAAAAATTCTTGGGACAACGAAGTTGTAGTAAATCCTACATTTCGATCCTGTTTCACCTCTGGTCTGCATTGGATATCACCAACAAATAGCCTATTTCTTCACACCATTACTTTTCACTAGTGTGACTTAGATGAAAAGACAATCATTTATGCCCATTGAGTAAGAATTTTACCACTTACACAATCTTAGCATGAGCTCTTGAACTAGTCACAAAAGTCAAGAAAAGTTCCTGGTCCACCAGAGGCATGTCATCACAGTAGATGGCCTCCCCCGTGGCATGCTTCACACCAGACAGATGCATGATGGGGTGGCCAATTGGGTCTTCAGGATGCTGCTTTGGGCCTATATTCTGTTTAATAAATAACCAAAATATACTTTTACATTTCTATAGAGAAAGTAGGAATTATTATTATGCACATTTCCCATAAGAAGGTAGCTATATAATTTAGACTCAAACCAGAATACTTTTGCATATGAAAAAGCACTATTGGGCTGGGCACAGTGGCTCATGCCTATAATCCCAGCACTTTGGGAGGCTAAGGTGGGCAGATCACTTGAGGTCAGGAGTTCGAGACCAGCCTGGCCAACATAGTAAAACCCCGTCTCTACTAAAAAAAAACAAAACAAAACAAAATAGCCAGGTACGGTGGCACATGCCTGTAATCCCAGCTACTCGGGAGGCTGAGGCTACAGAATCGCTGGAACCTGGGAGGCAGAGGTTGCAGCGAGCCAAGATCACAGCACTGCACCCCGGCCTGGGAGACAGAGCAAGACGCCATCAAAAAAAAAAAAAAAAAAAGTCACTATTAATAACACCAAGACAATAAACCTACTACAGTAATTCAATAAGCCAACTGGTATGTCAATCCATGATGTTGTTCTTATTTTTCACTTTTTTTGAATGTAGACCCCAAACATCTCAAATGGAAATTCCATTTGTGTAAGTAAACAAATTTAAATCTTTCTTCTTGACAATACAAAATTATGTCCTCTTGCTAATGCTTATGTATCTCTTTAAATTTTATTATCAAAATGACTTTACTGTTTCTATATAAGCACGATACATATAATATTTTACAGAAGAGTATGATGATATCGTGACTATGTTTGTAGAAAATACTGAGGGTATTACTTCAACCAGAATAGCCTTCTTTTTTTCAATTTTGAGTGAGGAAATATAAGAAATAATTGGCAAAACTCTTAACTTAGACAATCCTGATAGAGAATGAAGCCAAAGGGACCTGCAATTGGAGTAATGATCCACTAATGTTGCTCTTTCTTAGAGCCCCATGGAGCAGAATATCTTGCTGTTGGCTCTGTAAATACCTTAAATGTGTTTCATTAATCAAAGCAGACATTAATCAGCACAATGTCTGCCCTGGTGTTTCAAATATGGGAATTTATGGCTTTCCCAGTCGGGTGTGTATTGTGAAAAGAACTGAAGATATGAAGAAAGAAGGAGAGCAGGTGAAGAGACAGACATAAGGCCAGGGTGAAGGCTGTGGCTGAGGAGTGGCCTGCTAAGCCCTGGTGGGTACCCCCATCTGTAACTCACTGTGTCAACATTGCACTCGGTACTGGGACTGAGGCCAGACTCCCAGAGGCTTTCTCTGGAAGACCTGGGGGTGAGGGGCATGCAGTCATGTTGGCCAGGTTGAGGTCAGAGAAAAGCTATGGACACCTCCCCTTCCCATCCTGCAGCTCACAGGATCACCCTGAGCCCTGGATCTTCCTTTTAGATGAGCCTTACAATGCCAGGCTACACATCATATGGCAGGAGGGAAGAGAGAACAAGTCGCCAACACATACTGGTTAAAAATCTTTACTGGGAGAAAAAAGAAGAAACAGGCCTATTTCCAACATAGCATCCTTTAAGGCATCTGAGCGGGGAGAAAAGCTAAATTCTTTTGTATTTGATTACCAGAATGTGCAGTTTGAGAAAGCCTATTCAGCACATATGAACAATAAGTTAGATACTTGAATCCATCTAAAATGGTATTTCATCTCACTCTTCACTGCAGGGTTTCCTGTTTCAAAGTCTGCCCTGGTCCAGTGAAAGTGCTCCAAGGCTCTTGCTCTATGGAACTGAAGACAAGCTGTCTGGATCCCCCCGATTAACACATTTCCTTTTCATGCAGATGTTTTGCTTTCCTTTCTGAACATTTGGATTTAATTCATCTAATCCCACAAATGGAGGAGACCTCTGGTTATAATGAGAGCTTTACTTAAGACAGCTGTGAAATGTACAGTTCTCCAGTGCCCTCTGCTGCTCCAGGAACTCGAGAAGAGTGCTCCCCACTCACTACCCAACTACTTAAGGGCCTCAAAAAAACAAAAAACCTCTGGCTGGAGATAGAGATCAGAGATTCTCCAGGCAGGTGGCAGGGCTGGAATATCAGGAGAGAACGGCAGAGTGGCATGTGTTATTTCAGAACATGTTCAACATTGATTTGAAAATAAAAAAACCATATTATTTTCATAACATAAATGACAAGAAGTAAAATGTCAACCAAATTGTGGCTGACAACTATGCACAGAAAGTAGTGTAATTTCTACAATTAACTTGGTATAAGACATGTGTGTAGGATGCATTTATTCCTATTTTATATAAAATTTACTGTTTTGCTGCAAAATAAACACTGTTGATAAGCATTTATTGTTCTAATTTCATATTTCTTTTACTTAAATGTAAACTTCAGTTTTGTAGTTAGTATAATACAGTGAACAAAAAACGGAGTATTGACTAAGTTTTTGTTTTTTCATTTTCAGTTATTGTTGAGTCATCCTGACTTTATCAGCTAGAAAGCAGGAGACTATCGAGAAAAATAATTTAGACCTTGGCCCAGGGCTCCATTCAATAAAGGTAGATATTAGGCCACGAATGTAGGGGACTAGGGAAAATGAGAGAAAAGTTTACTTATTGGGGTTCAGGCATGAGCACAGATTGGAGACAGTCCCAACACTCCAGCTCTATTGACGTAGCTCACACTGCCCTGTCCCCATGGCAAAGGAATCCCCTCAGTTCTCCTCTTCCCCCTCTGCTTCGAGGAGCTGAGATAGTGATGAAAAGGAAAAACCAACAATGAGGTTCTACCAGGTGTGGTTTTTCATATGTTGCAGATGGTAGGAATTGACTTCCTCTGCAAAATATCCCCCAAAGTGCTGAGCTGTGATGCTGCTTGGGCTCTCAACCTGAACCACATTTGAGTGAAAAAAAATCACCCACATCTTCTTTTTAAAACCCTAAGAAGTTTTTTCATCCTGAAAAGCAAAATTCCAGATAATTCATAAGCTCAGACATTAAGGAAAGACATTCATAGGTATCTGTAATGGGTCTGGGAGTTAACTGACATAACACATTTCACTGTAACAAACAAAACACTTCATCACATTGAAAAAAAGTCTTTTGAAACCATGTTGTGTGAGGCCTGCCAAAAAACTGAGGAAAAATTCCAAAAAATGTCTTTGTCCTACCGTCAAAGATATCATACATTTTTTTTTTTTTTTTTTTTTTTTTGCAGTTAGTTGTGATAAATCTACTGGTGAAAGAAGCTGTCCTCAATTACCTGCTTCTGCTTAGTATTTGGCTAAAGATACTATGGAAGGAAGAATGCTGTCTCCTCAAACTGGTGATCTTTTGAAGCTGTGTCAAAATATTTTCAAAGCAAATGAACTGATTTAGGGGAAAAATGCTCTTCGTGAGTGCTGACGTTGCTCTAGCAATGTGGATGTTTGTATGTGTGTGTGAAAAACCACGGGCAAAACAAAAACAAAACTCATCTATGTGGCAGACATATTGCATCTAAAACTTTGTTTTGCAATCAATGATAAACTCTCATTCAAGATCATGCACTATGTGAAGATTTTCCTTTTTCTTTGGATGATTTCAATATCCATTAATTTGTTGTTGTTTCTTTCTGAAGTTTATTCCATTGTCTAAGAAATATTAGGGTATTTATAAGCCAAAGGGTTCAACTATCATATTTGAAAAGAACACCGGGGAGATGGCAGCTGTTTTTAACTTTCAAAACAATCATTTTCAATGGAGTTTGGTGCATTTTAATTTTTAAACATATTGAACCTAAAACCTCAAGGAATACACACCAACGTCAATGTTCATTACGACATACTATAAGCTTTCACAACCAAATCCAACAATAGTTTCAGTGAACAAATGCTTTAAAAAGCCTTTTCATGTTCTTGACTTACTAAAACTCTCGAGGTCAAGTTTCCTGATAATAATTTCAAGGAAAAACCCACCAAACTGTATCCACTTTACCAACAGGGTGACTTCAGGCATATTTTTATGATGTGGCAGAAAATTCCATTTGAGAGTTAGGAATCCTGTTTTCTAATAGCCTTCATTACGAGAGCACAAAAAGCTCTTAGTACTTACGTTTGATTCAACTCTAAAATGTAACTCACAGAAAAATCACTAGAAGAATAGAGACTAAGGGAGTAAAATATCTTAACATTCAAGCTAAACAAATCAGCAGTTCTTTTTAAAAGCATTATTGAATTTTCATCAACCTCTAGGGGCTGTGTCTTTTCCTCTGAAAATGAAAGCAAAGCAGCCCATGGCCTTGCCGCAGAGCGTGGCTTTATTGGACTCTGATGCCTGCAGTGCCCAGGGCAGAAAACACGTGACAAGGTGGCCATCTCATGCGTGTCTGTGGTACAAGGCCACAGTGCAAAGCACGTAACCTTTAAGACCCAAATCAACATTCTTCTTTAATATTACCACTGCTAGATTTGTCTTTAATCAAATTCTTCATTGATTTTGGAATTTTAGTTACCCATAAAGAGGCTGTGAGTTTACCAGAAGTGGAGCTTGGACTTACAGAGCTTGAGTTTCACGGAGAGACAGTGGGAATGTCCAGGTCAAATCACTATAGCCCAGATTGTGAATTTTTAAAAACAAGAAATACCGCTCACCTGGTACTTTAATGTACTGCAGTGATGTTTGGAATGAAGATCTTCTAAAGCACTTTCATACTTGTCTGCAAGGCTAGGATAGTGAACTGGATCCTGAAAAGTAGAACCATTGCAGATATTTTAAATAGTTTGAATGCACCAGAATGATTTTGGAAGTGAGGCTAGCATGAGTCTTAGCAAGCATCTCTACTCTGAAGTCTCACGTATATTAAGCACTCACCCTATTCAGAACCCCAGAAATACAAGCAGCTCCCTGACTCAAGGACATATACTCTGAAAGGTGCATACATATTTCCTCATATTATGAATAGCCAGATGAATACGGTAGGTAACTGGCTTCCACCAGCTCTATGTTTCTTATGATTCTCTCATATACTCTCCTAAATGATATGAGGACTTACAAACTGATCCAACAAGAAGATAGAAGCTAAGTAAATAAAATAGAAAGGAAGAAAATACTTAAGCCAGGAAAACATCAGAGTCAAAGTACACCATTGCAAATAAGCATAAAGGTTCCATGTTGCCTGCCAGCTGTGTAGAAAGGGGGACACAGGCTGCATCCCTGTCGCTGCCCTACAGGGGAAGGATTCTGGTCCCCAGCAAGAACATTCCTCAGGACTGAGGGAAGTGAGTCATTTGGTTCTTTACACAAGACTGAACATTGCACAGCCTAGAGCTGGATGGGGGGAAAGGCTTTCAACAATACACATGGTGGTTATTTTTTCTAATTTACATAATTTTAATAGAAAATAAAACCAGCTAGGTGTCATGGCTCATGCCTGTAATTCCAGCATTTTGGGAAGCCAAGGCAGCAGGATTGCTTGAGTCCAGGAGTTCAAGACCAGCTTGAGCAACATGGTAAGACTCTGTCTCTCCAAAAAAATAAAGAAATTAGCTGGGCATGGTGGTGCATGCCTGTGGTCTCAGCTATTTGGGAGGCTGAGGTGGGAGAATTGCTTGAGTCCAGGAAGTTGAGGCTGCACTGAGCTATGATATCACACCACTGTATTCCAGCATGGGTGACAGAGACCCTGTCTCAAAAAAAAAAATTAAATAAAACCAACAAAAGCTATTATTTTTAAAGAGAGGAGGGGTATAAGACTACAAGGCAAAAGTTTTAAATTACATCGCTTGAGTCACCCAGAAATTATATTAGTTTGCTACTAATTGGAGGAGTCTATAATTGGTTACCTGGTGACAATATGTCACTTATCTATGATTTCAAATTTTCATTCTTAATAATGTGATACTACCCTTCTGGTTCCTAGTTGCTCCCACCTACACTGAGAAGATACCCTCAAAAGCAAGGATAAGAGAGGACTTTGTGTCTGCTATTTAAAGTGACCATACTAACTTCTATACCACAGGAAGACTGTTCTTGGCTTCCAGTCTGTTTTGGTCAGCTGGTTATAGCATGGGGTTTGTGAGGCCAATGAGGCTCAAGTCTCCTTTGGGTCTAATGGATTTATTCAGAGAATTTTTTTTAGTTGTGTCCTCCCCAGCCAAGAATCTTGTAGCTTTAATTGTTTGCCCTAAGAGAGACCAGGCAAAAGAATGCATGGATTGTCACTACTATTATTATGACTACTACTACAGATTTCCTCTGAAGCACTAGGGACCATATGAAGCCCTTTTCCTACAATGACGCATTTCACAGTCATCTTGTGCAGTGGCTGCCATCATGGCCACCTTATGGGCTAGGGAAATGAAGCTGAATCTGGAAAAGAACACCAAACACATGAAGTCAACCTCAACGTGAAGGTAATAGCTCAAGAGAAAGAAATGACATACAGAGGGAAAACATACCCAAATCATTAGCAAGTTTTCTGAACATGATCTGGAAAAACTAACAGTCAGAAACCAAATAATTGAGTGGTGTTAAATAAAAGCCTGATCAACTCTTGGCTCTACTTTCAATTCTTCCCTAAACTCATACCCACCCACAGACAGGCTGAGGGATGTTCAGCAAGTACGTGTGTTTCTAATGTGGATTGTCTTTTTTATTCTACAGCTATTTGGTAGGGAGTCATTGCCTCTACTTTTGGTGTCATCATAGCTCCCAGTACTGGGGAAGTTAATGTGTAAACAGTTGTTTACCATCTTTTTCAAAATCTGTGACACTTCCAGGTAGAACTTGAAGAGGAAGCTGATGATGAGAGTCCTCTTGAACTCCACTTTCCCACCTGGCGCCGAGCCCAAAAGGGAGACTTCATTCAGAATAAGCCTGCAGGCTATATCCAGCATCTGTTCGTTCCAGTGCCTGGAAAGTCCAAAGAGAAGACTCCTAGCCTGACAGGGTTTATTACCCCATATCTTCATCTAATGGGTAAGACAAATAGCCATAGTTTAATACAGGAAATAAGAGTACAAGCTCTGGATCAGGCAGCCCGAGTTCAAATTGGCCCACCATTCTCAAGGTGGCTAGCCTGGGTCTCGCCATGTCCTCACCTGTAAAAGGGGAATATTAGAACCCAACTCACAGAATGATCTAGAGAAATAAATGACAACTCATATAAAATCCACAGTCCAGGAGTAACTGACCCTCATTTACTCACTAATAAATGTCCTCACTAGGACATTTATTGCATGCCAAGATCTGCTTTTAGCACCTTATATGTATTCACTCATTTAATCCTCTCAACTGCCCTGTGAGGTAGGTATGATCACCCATCTTTGACAGCTAGGGAACCAAAGTACCAATATAATTAAGTAAGCTGACTGAGAGCATGGAGGAGTTAACAGAGGGTAAACTGAGATTTTGGCCAGTCTGCCTTTCTCAAGTTTTAAAGCTCATGCTTTTAATCACTATGCTTTGTTATGGCAGCTGATACCAAGTAATGCTCAAGAAATATTAGCTATTAGTGTCATCTTTAGATATAGGAAGTCAGGTAAGCAAATGCCTTTAACAATTTATTATAGAACAAACTCACATAATTGGTTTTTCATCATGGCAAATTATTCTCCCAAAATAAAGAATACAAATTTGCACTGTTGAGGGAGGGCTTCTCTGTCTGTCTGTCTCTCTCTCTCTCTCTCACACACACACACACACACACACACGCACACAGAGTATATAATTCCCACTTCAGAATTCACTAACATCAAGACATATGGAAATAATAACAAAATCTTATTGGAATTCCCAGCCATTAAATAGAAAGGTATGGAACACTTTTCTTCTTGTAATCACATCTCACCACAAAAAGGGCTCCTCTAATACTTGGAGTCTAAGGACAAGTATTAGAGGAGCCCTTACTTCTAATGCCTTACCTTCCAATGAGTTTCTGGCAGGAATTCTTGGCACAGATGGTGGCTGGACCAACGCCTCCATATGAGATGCATAACTCTCTAATAATGCCATCCCCTTCTCCAAAAAAGACTCTCATTCCTGAATTGACTATCGCTAGCGCATTCTCCTGTCGCTGGGCTTGTCGGAAGGCTGACACAAATTCCCACTGAAAGAAACAGTTAAGTGGCACATGTAGAAACACTGAGCATCACCTATGCACTGGGCAGTCTGTGTGTCTTGAGTATCACCTACACACCGGGCAGTCTGTGTGTGTTGAGTGTCACCTACACACCAGGTAGTGTGTGTGTGTTGAGCATCACCTACGTGCTGGACGGTATGTGTATGTTGAGTATCACATTGATATCAGATATGCAGCCCCCAGCATCTCCAGAAAATCATTCTCCGTTGTTGAGGCCACCCAGTGTGTGGTTCTTTGTTATGGTAGCCCTAGCAAACTAATACATCCTCTGAGGCAGGCTTGATTATTCCCATTTTACAGATGAGGAATCCAAGGCGCAGAAGGATTCAGTAATTAGTTCAGGCCTTGAAACCAGGATTCAAACCTGACTCTATCTCATGCAAAGCCTCATGTTTTTTCCAATAAGTTCTATTGCAAATGTATTTTTAGGCTTTTTTCAAAACCCAAGATATAGGTAGAGGCATACTCTTCATGTCATATTTAGGGAGAAAGGCTTATGGGACAAAAACCTTTTAGAAAGTTACTTTAGAGCTTGGGGTAGGGGGAGAAAGAGCGAGAATGGCAGAGATAAGTCTGGGAGTGGTGGCTCACACCTGTAATCCCAGTACTTTGGGAGGCCGAGGCAGGTGAATCACCTGAGGTCAGGAATTCCAGACCAGCTTGGCCAACTTGGCGAAACCCCGTCTCTACTAAAAATGCAAAAATTAGCTGGGCATGGTGGTGCGCACCTGTAATCCCAGCTACTCGGGAGGCTGAGGCAGGAGGATCGCTTGAACCTGGGAGGCAGAGATTGCAGTGAGCCCAGATCATGCCACTGCACTCCAGTGTGGGCAAAAGAGCGAGACTCGATCTCAAAAAAAAAAAAAAATCTCCTAATTCGAGGAATGATAGGGGCATGCGTAATACAAGGAAAAGGCAACTATTCACAAGTCTTAAAATAATGACCTCATACCACTTCCTGAAGTTGAGCCTTTATCTCCCACATAAACACTTCACCCTTTTTCTTATTCCACCATATACTGGAATAAACAAGCCATAGCATCACAGGTGCAACTGGGAAATTGACAGTGGGATGTTCTCACCTTCCTTGAGTAGGGGATGTTCACTGAGACCAAGATTTCTTGAGGCTTAAGATCTGCATTAGGGCACTTGCTGAGGAATTGCTCATTTAAAGGAATCTGTCGTTTTCCTTCTGTGGAAAGAAATGACACTTTCCCTGGGATCTGTTTGGTCTGTTAAATAAACTTCCAAAACTTAGGAAGTAATTCTACCAAATACCTGAGGAAACCGGTTGTTCAGGGAAACAGGTGCTCTTCCTATGCTTCGCAAATCTTTTACCCTATAATGCGTCTTGCAATGTTTCTTCTAGTCTAGGCCCCATCTCTTTTTGTTTTCCTTGCTTTCTCATCGATAAAAACATCGACTGGGCGTGGTGGTTCACACCTGTAATCCTAGTGTTTTGGGAGGCCAAGGCAGGTGGATCATTTGAGGTTAGGAGTTTGAGACCGGCCTGGCCAACATGGTGAAACCTCTCTCTGCTAAAAATACAAAAAAATTAGCTGGGCATGGTTGTGCGCACCTGTAGTCCCAGCTACTCAGGAAGCTGAGGCAGGAAAATCACTTGAACCCGGGAGGGAGAGGTTGCAGTGAGCTGAGATCATGCCACTGCACTCCAGCCTGGATGACAAAGTGAGACTCCATCTAAAAAATTTTTTTAAAAATAAAAAATAGATTTAAAAAATAGATGAAAAGATCTCACAGAGTAGCCCAGAGTTTCAGGTAGAATAGAACCTTAGCAGTCCTCTTCCTGACAACACAATTCACTTAAAACTTTACAAGTAGGGAGTAAATATTAATATCTCTTTTGATATTCTGATCAAGTCAGCCAACAAATATTTATTGTTTATAACCAGGAACCCCACTAGATACAGTCATGAATAAGAAATTATCTTTAATAAATTTGTATACTACTGAGATGTTATCTTACTTTTTTATATCTTGTTCCAACACCTGAAGAATTTTAGTTCTTTAATTAATATATAAGGAAGAGGAACAGTTTAAAACTATAACAAAATACTGAAAGCTAAGAAGCTTTTGATGTCTATATTCACATCACAAACCTGTTTCTCATAGTATGACTTTTAGGGGATGTTACTCAAATTGAAAACCCTGAATGCAAATCTTCCTCTTTAAGATAGTTTTGTGACCAAGCACTGTGGCTCATGCCTGTAATCCCAACACTTTGGGAGGCAGAGGCGGGTGGATCACCCGAGGTCAGGAGTTCGAGACCAGCCTGGCCAACATAGTGAAACCACATCTCTATTAAAAATACAAAAATTAGCTGGGCATGGTGGCACATGCCTGCAGTCCTAGCTACTCAGGAGGCCAAGGCAGGAGAATCGCTTGAACCCAGGAGGTAGAGGTTGCAGTGAGCTGAGATTGTGCCACTGCACTCCAGACTGGGTGACAGAGCGAGACTCCATTTCAAAAAAAAAAAAAGATAGTTTTATGGTTTAAATGGTATGAAGAGTAAGTATTTAACAATGCAGATGATAGAAAACTAGTCCATATTTTTTAACGAAAAAAAACCCCACAAATTTACAGAGGACCAATTAGAACTTCCTAATAATTTTCAAGCAAGTTGGAAGAAGCGATAAATTAGATGTTGTGGACTTAGTTTTAATAACAAAAATCAAGTAAATAAATATAGAATGAGGCCCAATCATTTTTCACCTGAAAAAGACCTGTATGTTTCCATCAATGATAAATTAAGTGTGAGCTCAAAGCACGATGTGGGTGCCACAACACTCCTGTACCACCTGGAGAATGTCTTCAACAAAGGGACCCAATAGTTCTCAATAGTATGTAGTTCCCAGCAATAATCAGATCACATCCGGACATTAACCAACACAAACATGTCCAGTGTAGGGTGACCAGTATGAGGAAAAACAAACAAACAAACAAAAAACCAGAAAGACACAGGGGAAGAAAGCCTGTGCTATTAAGACAAGACTCACAAAATTTCCAGTATCCAGAAAAGCAGAGAAATGTATTGATATTATAGGGAAAAGTCATTTTCAAGACTGGATTTCCTGCCTCCCCAGAGAGAAAAAGGGGTAGAGAAACAGCTTAATAATCTCCAAGTAGGGGCTGTCACTTACCTTTTGATAGCAAGTTGAGGGTACAGTTACCCACAGCCAGGATGGGATTCAGATCTGAATCTGGATGCCTGCTAATGATGTGTCCCCCTAAAGACTTTTAAAAATAATGAGTTATTTTCATTTATGTAATCATAAAAAAGCAAGTGCTAAAATAAGGATTAAGCAAGGCTTTGGAGAACTATTTTTTTTGTCTGTTCCAAAAGAATGAAAATGTCATGATTCATCAGGGAGAGTCACCCAAGGGATGCATACCAGAGTTTACTGTCATCAGATACATACAGCCATGTTCCTGATCTGGGACCCAGCCAGAGTTCCCAAATGCTTCAGGAGAGCATGGTACATCTGTGTCTTCTCCTCTGGAAGCTTCTGGACTACATCAGCCAAAATGTCCTTCACCTGGGCTAGGCTGAGACCAGCACCAAGGGTGAGTCCTGAAATGAAGTCATTTGTAAATAACACAGTGCGATCACTGCTGATCTGAAAATGTCCATTAGACCAAAGCTACAGACATAGAATCTTTATACTGGATACATGCTGCCCTGCTTATTGGTGATGGTGGTGATGGGCAGTGATGGTGGTGATGGTGATGAAGGTAATGGTAGTAATGAAAGTGGTGGTGAGGCGATGGTGGTAGGGATAGCAGTTGAGGGGGTGGTGTGGTGGTGGTGATGAAGGTGGGGTAATGATAGAGGTGGTGGTAGTGATGTAAGTGGTGTTGATGGAGGTAATG
Organism: Homo sapiens; assembly: GCF_000001405.40. NCBI lineage: Eukaryota > Metazoa > Chordata > Mammalia > Primates > Hominidae > Homo > Homo sapiens. Next base: position 200,608,684 of record NC_000002.12, on the reverse strand, counting down.
AAGGCTGAATTCTTTGAACACTCACTCTATTGAGTATTATGTTGAATGCTTTAGATAATCTCCTTAAATCTGAACATACCTATGAGATATTAATAGCCCCATTTCACAGATGAAGAAACTGAGAGTTGAGTAACTTGCCTAAGATCTGACAGCTAATATATGCCATTGTCAAGAGTTAGATTTCAGAGGCTGTACTGCAAACCCACATTTCTATTGCTTCTTATCATTGCCATTATATCAATTTCCTCTACAGGAGTAGAAAAACCAGTCTGTAAGCTGTTGAATACATAAACTCGCTACTGTGGTTTTAAAGAGCAAAGACTGTGTTATATTCATCTTTATCTTCTGTCCAGCACTTAGCACCGTATCCTTCATTGAATAGTTGTTACATTTCTCTGATATTGCAGACAGAAGAAGTTCTTCAGTAAAAACTGAACTATTCAGACAATTAGTATTTAGATTAACTTTAGAGAATTCTTCCCTCAGTCTTCCTCCAGAATGTTATCATTCTTTTTTTTTATGCTTTCTGTCCCCATTTTCTTTTTCTTTTATTTTACTTTAAGTTCTAGGATACATGTACAGAATGTGCAGGTTTGTTACATAGGTATACATGTGCTATGGTGGTTTGCTGCACCTATCAACCTGTCATCTAGGTTTTAAGCCTTGCATGCATTAGGTATTTGTCCTAATGCTCTCCCTTCCCTTGCTCCCCACCCGCCAACAGGCCCCGGTATGTGTTGTTCCCCTTCCTGTGTCCATGTGTTCTCATTGTTCAACTCCCACTTATGAGTAAGAGCATGTGGTGTTTGGTTTTCTGTTCCTGTGTTAGTTTGCTGAGAATGATGGCTTCCAGCTTCATCCATGTCCCTGCAAAGGACATGATCTCATTCTTTTTTATGGCTGCATAGTATTCCATGGTGTGTATCTGTCACAGTTTCTTTATCCAGTCTATCATTGATGTGCATTTGGGTTGGTTCCAAGTCTTTGCTATTGTAAATAGTGCTGCAATATACCTAAGTGTGCATGTGTCTTTATAGTGGAATGATTTATAATCCTTTGGGTATATACTCAGTAATGGGATTACTGGGTCAAATGGTATTTCTGGTTCTAGATCCCTGAGGAATCACCACACTGTCTTCCACAACGGTTGAATTAATTTACACCCCTACCAACAGTGTAAAAGCATTACTATTTCTCCACAGCCTTGCCAGCATTTATTGTTTCCTGACTTTTTAATAATCACCATTCTGACTGGCATGAGATGGTATCTCAGTGTGGTTTTGATTTGCATTTCCCTAATGATCAGTGATGATGAGCAGCACATCGAAAAGCTTATCCACCACGATCAAGTTGGCTTCATCCCAGGGATGCAAGGCTGGTTCAATATATGCAAATCAATAAATGTAATCCCTCACATAAACAGAACCAGTGACGAAAACCACATGATTATCTCTATAGATGCAGAAAAGGCCTTTGATAAAATTCAACATCTCCTCATGTTAAAAACTTTCAATAAACTAGGTATTGATGGATCATATCTCAAAATAATAAGAGCTATTTGTGACAAACCTATAGCCAATATCATACTGAATGGGCAAAAGCTGGAAGGATTCCCTTTGAAAACTGGCACAAGATAAGGATGCCCTCTCTCACCACTACTATTCAACGTAGTATTGGAAGTTATGCCCAGTGCAATCAGGCAAGAGAAAGAAATACAGGTATTCAAATAGGAAGACAGGGAGTCAAATTGCCTCTGTTTGCAGATGACATGATTGTGTACTTAGAAAACCCCATCGTCTCAGCCCAAAAACTCCTTAAGCTGATATGCAAATTCAGCAAAGTCTCAGGATACAAAATCAATGTGCAAAAATCACAAGCATTCCAATACACCAACAATAGACAAGCAGAGAGCCAAATCATGAATGAACTCCCATTCACAATTGCTACAAAGAGAAGAAAATACCTAGGAATACAATTTACAAGGGATGTTAAGGACCTCTTCAGGAAGAACTACCAACCACTGCTTAAGGAAATAAGAGAGGACACAAACAAATGGAGAAACATTCCATGCTCATGGATAGGAAGAATCAATACCATGAAAATGGCCATACTGCCCAAAGTAATTTACAGATTCAATGCTATCCCCATCAAGCTACCATTGACTTTCTTCACAGAATTAGAAAAACTACTTTAAATTTCATAAGGAACCAAAAAGAGCCTGTATAGCCAAGACAATCCTAAGCAAAAAGAACAAAGCTGGAGGCGTCACACTATCTGACTTCAAACTATACTACAAGACTACAGTAACCAAAACAGCATGGTACTGGCACCAAAACAGATATATAGACCAGTGGAACAGAACAGAGACCTTAGAAATAAAACCACACATCCACAACCATCTGATCTTTGACAAACTTGACAAAAACAAGCAATGGGGAAAGAATTCCCTATTTAATAAATGGTGCTGGGAAAACTGGCTAGCCATATGCAGAAAACGAAATTGGACCCCTTCCTTACACCTTATACAAAAATTAACTCAAGATGGATTGAAGACTTAAATGTAAAACCCAAAACCATAAATACCCTAAAAGAAAACCTAGGCAATACCATTCAGGACATAGGCATGGGCAAAGACTTCATGACTAAAACACTAAAAGCAATTGCAGCAAAAGCCAAAATTGACAAATGGGATCTAATTAAACTAAAGAGTTTATGCCTAGCAAAAGAAATTAGTGTCAGAGTGAACAGGCAACCTACAGAATGCGAGAAAAGTTTTGCAATCTACCCACTGACAAAGGTCTAATATCCAGAATCTGCAAGGAACTTAAATAAATTTATAAGGAAAAAGCAACCCCATCAAAAAATGGGCAAAGGATATGAACAGACACTCCTCAAAAGAAGACATTTATGTGGCCAACAAACATATCATTCTTATAAGAAGAGAATCTCTGTGTGTATTATAATTAGGAATCATTCTTTTTCTGCTTGTCTGCTGGGCAAGGTAAATAAATTGATTAATGCATCTTAACTAAGAAAACAGGGACTTGAGAACTCACCATTATATGCATGGTTTACAACACTCAGTTCTTCAATTCTATCAGGAGAAATTATAACTGGGTGAAAGACGCCTTTAAATTTCACTTCAGGCCCTAAAGGATCAAAAAAAAAAAAAAATCAATAAGACTAGAATAAAGGAACTAACTGCCTTTTAAATTTGAAATTATTATTAAACTAATATCTTTAAATATCTAAAAATATTGTATCTTTCTATTCATCTGTTTATTGCCAAATCACATACAGAGAGAATGGCTGGATAGATTTTCATCAAACTTGGAAGACTCTGGAATTGTCAACCTTGAAACTTGGGCCATATGGCATGTTCAAAATTCTCTCTGGGAAGACTCTAGGGGCTGCTCCTCAAGCTGAGCACACACTGGATGCAACAGGAAGACCCTGTAGCGGTTGTTTAAGTAAAACATATACCTATTGAGACACCCTGAGAGAGGAAACAAAGAGCAATTTGAAATTTGAGGCCCAGATTAGTCCCCAAAAGGAAAGACAGGACAGCTGTCACTGAAGCTCCTGCTGCTGGTTTGCTATGGAGCAAGCCCCTTCGGTACAACTCTTGACACTGCTCCAATAAGAGGCAAGAGGAATCTACTTAATAACAGTTAGAAAGTCTCTTGAGCAATGCTCAGGAAGTCTAGCTCAAATGATTAAAAATGCTATTTCAGACTGCTTTTCCTGAGAACACATGTATATGAAGTTTCCCCAGCCCACCCCGGCCCCATCCCAAGCCCTTTTTCTCAATTTCCCTATAAAAAATCCCTGGGGTTCTACATACCCACAGAGGTGTTTCCCATGATAACAGGAGCCTGGGGATACTTGAATTTAAATTCCAGCAGTTCCTTCAGGGTCACGGGGGAAAACCACATCATTCTCTCACTGCCAAACACCCTGGTCCTTTGCGACTGTTTCTCAGCCATTATCTATTGAAAAAGCAATAGGGATTCAAGGTACCCAATGATGCCATCTCCACCTGTTTCCACTCAATCATTAGCACTGTAGATACAGAATGAGAAAATACATATCTTCTAAAAAATAAAGTACAAAGTGACCTAAAAGTAGAGCTTTACAAGGAATTAGAATTCAGAATAAAAGCACGATGGTTCTTTACTCCTGGGAACTGCTTGGTCTGTCTCCCTTTGGTGCTCTTGTCTCAAAGAACATCATTTTAATGTTAGCAAATATAGTAACATGCTGAATCTTGTTAAATCATTCTATGGAGGAATAAACTTCAGCAAAAGTGAAAGTAGGAAACATGTCTATACCTACAAACACTGTGATTTCACGATTTTATAGAAGCTATCTGCTGCTTCTTACAGTCAACTCAGCTGTCCCCCATGGGGACCCCACCCCCATTCCTCCTCCTCTTCCTTAGTCCATACTCTTTAGACCTTGAGCTAAGGATGACAGAGAGGCCTCACCTATTTGCCAATCAGCTTTTGAGAGAACCCATAAACAAATACCCTTCCTGATATTTCACCATGAATTCTTCTAGGATGAGCTCAACATTGCTTTACTCACCATTAGCTCAGGAGGAAATATCAGTTCCTGGGTTGGATCCAATGGCAGAAACTCCTCTTCTGCGAAGAGTTTTGGACTTGTCTAAAAAGAGAACATATCAGAAATTACTGTTATCGAGCAACTTTAAAATCCTTTGTGGAATAAGGTCAAAAGATATAGATACACAGTCAGATACAGCAAACCGACAAAAAAGTCCACTGGCCAGCCACAATCCCCGCGCTCCAAACCAAGGGCTCTAACACAAACCTTGTCATCAGCAACTCAGTGCTGATGCCAATGGGCCTCTGGAGGCCTCAACTCCCTGTACCTTCTCTTTGGAGTCTGGGGACAGTAGAAGAGGAGGCAGCAGCCGCAGACACAGCTGGAACAAGAACGGCTCCCTGAACCTCTCCTGTCTCTACTTGTTCTACCTGTTCTTTTATTTTCATGACATCTCCACTTTACTTCTGGCCCTTGAAAAATAACTTGAAAAAATGCTTTTAAAAGCTAAGAGACACTAAGGAACCAATGTGTTTTCCCTCCTGTAGATAACTGTATTTAAATGGGAATAATATCTGGAATGAGGACAAAGTTGCTGCGATATAATTTTTTTTTATAGAGAGATGGAGTGAGAATGGGAGAGGGCACATGTTGACATACCTCAAGTTAGTCAACTTGGGTAGCCATTTGTTCTTCCTAAGAGTATGTTGGCTCCTGTTCATGTCCTGAGAAAGCCTTATAAAAGCTTTACATTTCACTGACCTTACTTCCTTCCTCAAATTCTGGCAATCCATTGATTCCTTGATCCAAACAGCAAACCCCATTTTCTTTACTTTGACAGCAGCCCGAAGTCTAGTGGACAAAAAACAAATCACTAGGAATTTATTGCTGATTCTACTAACTAGTAAATAAAGCAGGTGAATGCCAGTTGAAACATAATGCTGAATCAATATCGTTAGATGCCATGAAAGAGAGCCATTTGTACTTAAACATATCCAAACCAACATTAATGAAAAACCTGAGCTTACAGAAAATTTTGAATAGCAGTGATTACTAAATAAGTTAAAAGACATAAAGATCTTATAACTAAGCGTGGCACATAGCATTAAATAGTAAATATTAATAATGATTAACTGTTAATATTGTTAGTATTTTAAATATTAATAATAAATATTAACAGGTATTGTTATTGTCATCACTGTTCTTATCTATGATATACTGAATTCATTGTTTAACTTCCAGAGGGCAATCTTATATCCTTCATTTCAACTTTGTTTGTTCATTTATTCATTCAACAAATATTGAGTAGCTACTCAATGACTATATGGTGACTGGACCCGGAGATATACAGCCTCTACTGTGAAGCAGCCCACAGTCTGGTGAAGACATGGGATAGCAAATGATCAGTTGCACCACATTGTGACCAAAGCTGTGACGGGACATGTGTATGCCCGTCACATGTTCGCAGAGGGCTATAGGAACACCAGGCCAGGGTACCTGACCCAGGCAAAGAGGTCAGGAAAGACCTCTTGGAAGCAATGACACACAGCCAGTGTCAAAATGCTCAGGTGTTCATTATGCGACCACCAAGGCAAGCTCAATGAATGAGGTTAAGTGCCCTGCTCAAGATCAAATAACAAACAGCAGCTAGAAACCTGGAGATAAGAAGTAGCCATGTATTAGTAAGATGGCTGCCCCCCTAATCACTGACAACCATTACCATTTCGTTTCACTGGGGAAAACATACTCAAACATGTGGTCCTTTCCACTTACTTTACAGAAAGTCTTGCATGCATCAATTATGGGCCTGTATCCAGTGCAACGGCACAGGTTACCTGAAGGAGAAAAACCCAGCTCTGTTAGCCAAGTGACCCAGATAGAGGCACAGTCTACCAAGAGTGTGATGGAAATGAGGACCCTATCATAGAGGAAAGATCTGTTTGACATTTTAGTCCACCTAATCTACAAAGTCAGATCTTTTCAACAGCAACTTGGGATATTTCATTAAGAATCTTGAGGCAGATTTTAAAAGCTCAGGTATTTGTACTTTCTCCTGTAAAGTTATGCCTTCTGCTTGTGACAGGTGCTCAAACAACACAATAATTTCAAACCAAAAACTTGCTCTACAGTCACATTCAAGAGCTAAGCCTTATTTTAAAAACAACTTATTTTTACTTTTATTTTTGAGACAGGGTTTCATTCTGTCGCCCAGGCTGCAGGTGCGGTGGTGCAGTCTCAGCTCATTGCAACTTCCACCTTCCGGGTTCAAGCAATTCTCCTGCCTCAGCCCCCCGAGTAGCTGGGACTACAGGTGTGCACCACCAGGTCAGGCTAATTTTTGTATTTTTAGTACAGATGGGATTTCACCATGTTGGCCAGTCTGGTCTCAAAATTCCTGACCTCAGGTGATCCACCCACCTAGGCCTCCCTAAATGTTGGGATTACAGGCGTGAGCCACTGTGTTCAGCCAAACTAATTTTTTTTTTAAAAAGTAAAATCCATTTTACTGAGCTGTTATTGACATGCAAAAAGCTGTACAACTTGGTGAATTTGGAGATAAGTCTTACACCCATGAAACCATCACCACGGTCAATGTTATAAACATATCTATTACCTCTAACTTCCCTCCCATCATTTATTTATTTATTCATTTATTTTGTGATTACTATAACATCTGCCCTTTCAGCAAATGTTTGAGTATACAATACAGTGTTAACTATAAGCATTATGCTATACAGTATCTCTAGGACTTACTCCTTTTGCATAACTGAAACTTTTTACCTTTGACGAATACATCTTTGTTTTCCCGTTCCCCAGGCCCTGGTAATCACCATTCTATTCTCTACTTCTGTGAGTTTGACTACTTTAGATTCCTCATATAAGTGGGCTCATGTAGTATTTGTTCTTCTGTGCCTGGCTTATTTTACTCAGCATAATGTCCTCCAGGTTCATTTACGTTGTTGCAAATAGCAAGCTATACTTCTTTTTCTAAGGAAAAAACCCCTCATTCTTAACACTTACTGTGACAAAAAAAAAAAAAAAAAAGCACTCTAAGCTTCAGCTGACAGAAAGATCAAAGTTATTATACAGCAGCAAAGGTAGTTATTAAACTGTGAAAGCAGTAGGGCACATTATTTATTTATAATAAATCATCAGGCCAGCGTTTCTCCCACAGTGCGATCCGGTGTTCCTCCTCCACCCCTAAATCTGAAGTCTTATTTAAAAAACAATATTACTGAGTCAAACTCTCTAGGGGTGGGTCCCAGGAATCTTCATTACCCACAAATTCCCATGTATGACCTAAGTACCCTGAAATCTGAGAACCCCTTATCACTTGTTTACATCATAAACAGCCATGAAATCAAATTCATGATAAGATCTGAAGGAAATCAGGCAGAAGACAGTTTATGAGCGATGTCTCTCCTTTCTACATCCATTTGTTCTGGTTTTCCTTGGAACATTTTTGCAGAGTAAGTGTACATATGAGCTTTAGGCTCATGTTCTCTAGCAGAGAAATGAGGTCTTCGGGAGGCCTGAGACAAAGACAAACGGAGCCATGGAGAAGTTCACCAGAAACAGAACTTGAGAGGGTATCACTTAAAAAAACGTGTTTAGAATCTTGTTGATGAGGATGTCCCCCCCCGCCACATACACACTGAGCTCCTGAACTTGACAAAAACGCTCTAGGGTGGATAGACAGTTCTTTGCAATAAGTATCAAGTTTCACCATAAGATCTCAGTCTCTGACTTTATGCTGTAACCATCGCAGCCCTCTGATGTTGAATATGGTCCTGAAAGCACCCACCACCCAGTAGGGAGAGTGGTGAGGGAGCAGCATGTGGAGATAACAGGACTCTTCCCAAGGGCTGATGAATAACTGGCTTTTTAATGATTATAAAAACAAAAGAGACTTCAGAAATACATCAGCCAAATGCAATGTGTGGGTTGGTTTGAATCCTGATTTGAACAAACCAATTCTTCCACTTATTGGGGGTGTAACTTTGAACAAATCACTCTCCCCAAACCTCAGTTTCTCCATTTATGAAATGGGGATAACAATAGTACCTATCTTATAAATTTTTTGTGAGGATCAAATGAGATAATCTTCAAATAGTATTTAATACTATTAAATGTGTGTGGCACATGAAAGGTATCCAATATTAGCTGTTATCATTATCATCATCATCGTTTAAAAGTAAAAGCATGAGGGGAGGCTGAGGCACAAGAATTGCTTGAACCTGGGAGGCGGAGGTTACAGTGGGGCCAAGATTGCGCCGCCGCCCTCCAGCCCGGGCAACAGAGTGAGATTCCGTCTCAAAAAATAAATAAATAAATAAAAATTAAAAAATAAAAGCATGCATATATAACCTACCACCAAGGGCATCAGTTAACTGATCCAGAGTGGGCTCTGGGTGGTTCCTGAGCAGCGTGTAGATGGACATCACCATCCCAGGTGTGCAGAAGCCACACTGGGTGCCATGACACTTGGCAATCCTCTCCTGGAAGCACAGAAAGGTTAGAAATGCAGAATTTGGGGCCCCATCCCAGGCCTAATGAATTAGAGCCTGCATTCTAGCAAGATCCCCAGGTGATTTGTCTGCATGTTAAGATTGCAGCAGAGGCCCCTGGGAGCCCTTCTCATCCCAGGCACCTCCCTCCCCAGGGCTGGGTTGTTGTGAGGTTGGGCCTTATCTGCTTTTGAGCTTCACTTAAGGCAGTGGTTACCACTCTTGAGAATCACCCGGACAGTGTTAAGATTTCAAGCCCCACACAGCACCACAAACCAACTGACAGAGTCTCTGGGAATGGGGCACGGGCATACATCTTTTAAAGATTCCCACATGGTTGGTTTCAACGTGCAGTTGTGGTTGTGAATTACTGAGATAAAAGAAATCCTTCAGAGAAATAAACCAAATTACACTCAAGTTGAGAAGTGGAAAAAAAATAAATAAAAAATAAAATGCTTTTATTTCTTTTATACGTTTCCCTCCCCCTAGCATTTTTGCTTTGGAGTCTAACTTCTAAGGTTCAAGTCGATTTTGGAAGCTGTCTTCTGGCAACATTGTAACAATGGGAGTTCCGCATCAATGAAGAAATGAAAGGGTATTGTATGCCTGTGTATGACCAGGTCTCACATGGGCATCCAGGCAGAATTCTCTCCCTCTAGTTAATGATATGTCATAATGATCCAGGCAAAATTCTCTCCCTCTGGGTAATGATCTTTCAAATAAACAGAATCCAAGATTCCTTCAAATCTAGAAAATTTGAACTTGGGTCATTTTCTATGTTGCTCCTATCTTTTCCTTCTATCTTTTCTCATATTTGATCTTCATTAACTTCAATAAAAATGAGGAAAAGTGGCTTTTTTTTTTTTTGAGACAGAGTCTTGCTCTGTTGCCAGGCTGGAGTGCAGTGGCATGATCTTGGCTCACTGCAACCTCCACCTCCCAGGTTCAAGTGATTATTCCTGCTTCAGCCTCCCGAGTAGCTTGGGACTACAGGTATGCACCACCATGCCCAGCTAATTTTTGTAGTTTTAGTAGAGACAGGGTTTCACTACATTGGCCAGGATGGTCTTGATCTCTTGAGCTCGTGATCTGCCCACCTCTGCCTCCCAAAGTGCTGGGATTATAGGTATGAGCTACCACGCCTGGCCTAGAAATGGCATTCTTATGGGCAATATATACATAAAGACTCAGGTGTCTGAAGATGCCTTTTTACTTGAGTCTAAAACTCTAACAAGGTGCTTCTTTAGGAGAAAAGCCAAAAAACTTATTGACAACTCCTATCATCTGTCTTCCAAACAAGCTCTAAATATAACAAAGCTTTTTGGTAGCTGAAATTTTCACTCAGCCTTAAGATCATGTTGTTTTCCACTTTATAAAAAAAAATAAAATTATATCCCTCAATGCACATGGCTCTTCTTTCTCTTTCTTCCTTCATCTTTTCTTTCCTTCCTTCCTTCCCTCCCTTCCTCCCTCCTCTCTCCCTCTTTTTCTCCTTCTCTTTCTTACAACAGGGTCTCACTCAGTCACCCAGGCTGAAGTACAGGGTGCAATCATGGTTTACTGCAGCCTCAACCTCCCAGGCTCAAGTGATTCTCTCACCTCAGCACCCCCGAGTAGCCAGGACTATAGGTGCTCACCACCACACCCCACTAATTTTTGTACTTTTGTAGAGACATGTTTCACCATGTTGCCTAAGCTGGTCTCAAACTCCTGGGCTCAAGCAATCCACCTGCCTTGGCCTCCCAAAGTGTTGGGATTACAGGTGTTAGCCACTGCACCTGGCTCTTGTTTCTTTATGAGTTTGGAAGATGTCAAATAGATAGGTCCCATCGAATTAGAACACAAAAAACAAACCCACAAATGTCAGGGCATTCTTAGAGAAGAAAAGGTTTTCTAGCCTTCCAAAAGCATTTTTCCAACAAGTTAGTCAGAAACACTCACATATCCCAATATGCCAGGCTTCACTCTTGTTCCCAGCTAGGTTGTATCTGTTGGAGTGGCCGAGCCAGCAGGCCCCAGGCTGCTCCGCTCTCTTAATCTCAGGGACTCAATGTCATGAGGTTTCTAAAGCACAGAAAGCCTATAAGGAAGAGGCACATCCTCACCTGAACAGGATGAATTCTGGTGTGGGTGCTTCCTATGCCTTCTACTGTGGTGACGGCAGCACCATACAGAGAACAGATGGGAATCAGACAGGCATTGGCTGGGTGATGCCTTCAGAATGCAAAAGAAAAGCACAAATTACAAATTATGTCGCATACAGTGGGAAAGGGGCCAGGCATTCACTGAGCTTCTCCACTGTGGCAGGTTTTTGTATAATGTACCCAGGTTTTACACATACATTTCCTCCTTAGCTCAGGCACAGGCCCATTTTAGAGAAGTGGAATCTGAGGATCAGAGTGATTTACTCAGGGTCACAGCCAGAGTGTCAGAGGCAGGATTAAAATTACGCCTCCTAATTCTAATTCCAGAATGGTGTCCACTTATCAAAAACTGTCACAACTTTGATGGTTTTTGCTCTTGAATGAGGGGTTGACATTCTCTAGTCACAGGTAACCATGCACCTATGGCAGGCCAGGTCTCCATTAGCAACCAGAGCAGCCAGACTTCACCAACACCTCACTGTCACGCTGATGGATGCATAAGTTAAACATTAAAGAACTGGAGAAACTGGTGCCTTAGTACAAAGACCAGAAGGTAAAAACAAGCCATTAAGAGTTGTAAGAGACTGCCACTCCCATTCTAAAAACCAAAGTAAACCATACGAGGAACATAATCACATTTTCAAAGCTCATCAGATGCTGAGTACACAAAGAAACTTTATGAGCAAAACTTAATAAATAAATAAACTAAACTCCGATGTGACAACCCCTTCATAAGAGAGAAGATACAGTTGCTCTCATCCCTGAGATACAATTATTCTCTTCCTGAAATTGAAGGAGGAAAAGGAACCTGCCTTAAACAGGAATAAGGAGAAACCAGACCAACTTCCAACAAATTTTGAATGGTTGCATGTGGGCTGATAACAACAGATTCAAATACAAAGCTGGGATGCATTATCTTCAATCTCTTCCCCACCAGAGATCACTGAGTGCCGGGGGTAGTTCCCCAAAATAGGCAGGGAAGGAGAGCTAAAAGAAACTTTCCAAGCATACTGGTCCTTAAACAAAGAAGGCTGGGGGAGAGACAGGAGAACTGAGAGAAACCCTAGGTACTCAGACTTCACAGAGCATAGGGTAGTCGCCACTCCCTAGAGGCTAAAGACAGAGCAACATGGCTGCGACAGATCTCCCAAAGCATGGAAGGTGAGAGAGGTAAGCAAAGAGAAATCCCTCATGAACTAAAAAGCTGACAGCCAGGCCGTAAAGCAGGGAGGAACCTCTCAGAGTTCAGACAGCAGGTAGTTTGGTGTGGAACACAGGCAGATATCTGAAACCTCACCAGTGCTCAGATCCTTAGCCTTCAAGTGCGATCTGTGAAATGATGTAAAATCGTCTAACATTAGCATAATTGGATTCCCAGAAGAACAGAGGGAAGAGTGTGTGGCACAGAGTAAATATTTGAAGAGATAATGCCTTGAGAAGTTTCCAGAAGACATCAACACACAGATCCAAGAAACTTGGCAAATGTGAGGAAGGATAAATACCAAACATAAACAGATGTTAAACATAATGGGAAGCCATTGGGGGCTTATAAGTACGGGAATGACTTGATCTGATGATAATTAAAGCAGGTCACTCTGGCTGATGTATGGAGAATGCACCAGATGGGAGGAAGGAGATAAGTTAGGGGCTGGAAGAGTAATATATGAATGTGATGATGGCATTATCCTCCACTGCAATTTCAGCCTTGCCTTTCCTCCCCAGACAGGGAGTTAGGGAGCCATTCAAGTTTTGACAGGGGATTTTTTTTTTTCTTAGAGACAAGGTCTTGCTGTGTTGCCCAGGCTGGACTCAAACTCAAGCAATCCTCCTGACAGCCTCCCAAGTAGCTAGAAATGTGTGCCACTGTACCTGGCTTTGATGGGGAATTCTTTGACCGTATGTTATCCTCATTGATGCTACATTTTTTTCCCAAAACATTCATATTCCTAGGACCATGTCTGTCTTGTTCATCATTGTACGCCAAGTGGCCAGTTCTTTTCACATGGTAGGTACTCAATATATATTTACCAAATGAAGGAATATAACAAAGTTCAAAATTATAAAAATTCAACCATATCTGGACTTTGCTGCACGGTACCTTATCCTCTTGGTGATGGGGTTGTATCGTGATATCATCACTGTACAAGCACCACAGCCTCCTCCTCCACAGCCATACTTAGTTCCTGTGAGTCGAACTGGAAGAGGTATAGTTAAAGATCATATGTGTTATGTAATTCTCTTTCTAGAATAGCCCTGCCACTAGGAGACAGTAATATCACAGACTCTTAAATGTTAGTTAAGTTCAATACATATTCATCAAATAATGTGTTTATGTCTTAATTACTATTATAGAAGCTATAATAATCTTGTAAATTCTTGATTTCCTTTTGTGTGTTATATCTTGCATTCTCCCTTTGAAAACAACTGGACGTCAGGTTGCCAAAAATAGGGCTGAACTGAAAAAAGAAGAGTCTATATGTGTAAGCACTTGAGTATTTGAAGGTATGAACACATTGCACATTTATTCTCATCCTTATCTCTGTCTTTGATGACACAAAGCAAAATATTAAATTGTAGATAATGCTTGGAATATTTGTGTCATCTTAGCCATGTTTGTGTATTTCTCTGCCTTTCAGTCGCAAAAGCTGCCATCTGTTCCCTAATATCTGTTCTCTCATAATTCCTTAGAAATAGAAACACTGATTTTTAGCCACACACATGGCTTCCCAGAGTAAAAAATAGACTTTCCCAGACTCCTCTGCAGCTAGGTGGGGTCATTAACAATGCTGGCTACTAGGATGTAATTATAAGTGTTGTGTATGACTTCCAGGAGAAGAGTGTCCTTAAAAGGAGAGGGGTGCTTCTTTCTTTGCTCATTACTTCTTCCTATTTGCTGGAATTCAGATATGAGGGCTGGGCCTCCATTAGTCATCTCTGATGGTGGGGAGAAAGCTGTGTGCTGAGGAAGGTGCTGCTTGGTTCCTCAACAACATTGTGACACTGCTTTACCAGCTCTGATCCACCTACCTGTGGGCTTCCTTTATGTGAGTGTGATAGCCATGCAAACATGCCTCACAGACCTCCCTTCAACACAGAGGGTAACTGACCAAGGGACCCTGTTGCTGTACTTTAATACTGATCACTCCAGTTTTCATTAAGACCATGCTTCCCATGGACTGCTCTCCACCAATGGCTTAGTGCTATGGAGAGACATGGAGTCCTTGTCAACCATCCCCAGTGGTTCTGAAGAACATGCCTTAGACTGACCAGCAGTCTAGGGCCCTTCCACTCAACCTTATCTCCAGGGTCAGACTTACACGGTGATCAAATGGCTCCCTAAGTCTCCTCTGATTCACTCCCTACTTCCTTTCCCACAGGCATTTCTCCTAATAAAATCCTGGCACATTTAATCTCATTTTTGGTGTCCACATCCTGAAGAACCTGAACTAACACAATGAGAAAGAAAGAAACTCCTACCTTCTATCTTGTTTACCATGAGGTGGAGTTTTCTGTCACTCATAGTGAACCAAACTTTAAATATTATACATAGGTACTGTGGATAATCAGGGAGTCATGTTCATTGTTTTTTTATGTCTAAAGATCTTGAATGACTTTCATGAGCATGTTTCAGAAACATATTCATGTGTCTGAAAAATAATTATTGATGCTTTGGAGTTATGTACTCTTTTGGTAATTTTACTCTCTCCAGGGGGAAAAATGTACACACCCTCTTTGAAACATAATTTTGCATATAATTCAGTAGTGTCTTTCACCGTCGGGTAGCCCACTGGAGTTCATGCATAGCAAGCTAAAAATACATTCCTTTGATGGCATTTATTTGGCAAGTTTTTCTAGGATAACATTTTCAGGTTTAGTTCTTCCGTTTTCCTTTTACTTTCATTTCAGGTGACTTCTGTGCTCTCTTTTCCTAATGGGCATAATAATTAGTCCTTAAGGACAGAGTATAAATATTGTGACTCTAATTCTAAAGGATGCTTAGTTAGGTCCTTTTAACGTCTATTAAGTTTCCATTACTAGTTTCCCCATTTTATACAGAGACTAGAAGAAAATTGGTTCTTCTGACGGCCACATTTGTGCACTGCCTATAAAATGATAGGACTTTCTCAAATATGAGCATAAAACCATGATAGTAGGGAATATGTCTCAGTGTCTCTAATGTATATTTGAAATATCATTTAATGAGGATATTGGAGTTATACAAATACACACACACATACACAGTCAAAGTAAAGAAAAGGATACGCTTCTTCCTCAAATAAGGCAACAGCATTGTTTCAGGATCGACATTTTTTTCTATCACCTATACCAAAGGGAAAATAAGAGTTAGTTGAGAGAGCTAATATGAAATTCACATTGGTAGGATCACACTAATTTGAGGGAAATGCATGTTAATTAGCCCTTTTACTCATATTTTCAAGTAGATTTCAGCTTTATGGAACAGCTGTGATATGCAAACCACCACTCTTATGTGTAATCTTGAGCCCCACCACAATTGTGCTCCTGTCCTTGGTCCTGAATTATCGCTGTTCTCTAAGGCAATTGTTGTTTCTGCTAACAGAAACACTACCTCCTGTCCAGTTTTTTCTAGAAAGTTTAAAGCAGGTGAGAGTAAAGACATTAGTAGAACATTCAGACTTGGGGGAGGAGTGGATGAAATAAGAAAGGAAAGGAGGGAGGGGAATTGCTGGAATAGAATAGCCTCTGAGAAATTGATATAGTTAATTTTTAAAAAGACTTGTTTGTTTATCTTGTTCAAATAATTGTGGTTTCCAGTAAAAGATAACCAGCCATGGCCCCAATCAAATAAACAAAGGGGAAGATAAAACATGTATGCTAAGTGATGCAAAACTGTGCAGCAAGGACATACTTAGGCAAGTTCATGGGAGCAGCCTGGCACATAGCAGCAGAACAGCATGCTGTTTTTTCTCAAGGATGACATCAAAATGTCAAGATTGGTTATGTTTTCCAAAGTGATCATGTTTTCTCTTTTTTCACAAAAATTTGACATTTCTTTTGGATTCATAGAACACATAGAAGCATGACTTGCTTTGCCATTTCAGAAGCTGAATTCATCTTTCACCATATTATAGTAATTTTCCCTCCTGGGAAGTAGTAGGTGAGGAGTGGACATATGCTTATTCTAGGGCTGCTGCCTCACCCTCAATTCTAACAGGCTATATTCCAGGCAAGGTGTGGCATATGCCAATTGCCAAGGTCAGATCTGTGCCCTAGAAGAGTCCGCAATATAGAAAGATTGGTGCATGTGTGTCTGTTTGTGTGTGTGTATGTGATAAGAAAAAATATGGGGTGCCTCTCAGGTATCTTCAACTTAATTGGCTCTCAAATGGAACTCTTTATTTTATTTTCCAAACTTACTTACTCCTTCCCTTCTTTTCCTTAACCTTTTAATGGCCTCAGTATCTGCTAGGTCACCTAAGCTAAAAAACCTGAGCTATTTTCAACTTTTTTTTTTCCAATCCACCACAATCAGTGTCACCAAGTTCTTCCACTTGGGCTTCCAATGTTCCTCTAAACTCCTTTCTCTTCTACTGTCACTGCCCATGAGCCCATATCACCTATTGTCTGAATGATTATAAGACCTGCCTGAGAGTTCTCCCTGCCTCCACTCTTGGTACCCGCAATATCGTCCTCTGCACCACGACCAGAGTGACTGCTGTAAAACCCAAGCCTGATCGTCTCATGTATATGCCTAAATTTAACATGGCTCCTGGCTGCCAAACTGCCATTCTGGGAATTCCTGAATCATGGAGATGCTTGTTAAAATGAAACCGCTATGGAATCAGGATTTCTGGTAGAGGGAACCAGAAAATGTGCTTTTTAAATGAGTACACTGAGTGGATCTTAGGTGAATTAATAACCAACTATTTCCGGAATACAAGAAGAAATTCGAACTCAGGCCACACGGATGAACTGGACAGTCCAGGGGGTGCGTTGGACTTTCACCTTCACTGCATTTGCATGCAAGGTTCCCTCTGTCCTGAAAATCCTTCCTCTCTTCTTGGCAGAATTTTGTATGTCATTCACCACCCTGCTCAAGTGTTCTCTATGGAGAGTTCTGCCACCTAAAATACCCTTTTGCATCTCAAAGTAACCATCCTCCTCTTTGTTCCCATGGCTGATGTCTTCACCTCTTCTTTTATGACACTTTTTACACTGTATCATAATTATTTGTGTGTGTACAAGACTATCTCGATCCTGAAAGAAGCCATCTTCTGCTGTTCTTCTTTATGCCAAACACTGAGCTTGGTGGTGGGGAAATATCACAGGATGTAATAAGTGTTAATTAATGAAATGAATGACTGGAACATGCTATGTATGATTTGGTATGAGATACCAAGAAGGAAGGAATTTCTCATAGACTTGGGCATCTGAATAGATGAAAAATAAAGAAAAACACAGAAGTTATTGGTGGCAGAAACTGTAGGTTGTCTATCCTGGCATGCATTCTCCTTTCCTTCCTTCCCGCTACTTGGAATAGGGATGAAATGGCTAGAACCCCAGCAGTTATCTTAGACCATGAGGCAACATGTTAATGGCAGGAGAGAAAAAAGAGAGAAGAAACGTGGGTCTCAGATAACACCATAAAGCTTCTGCCCCAACCTCACAATGTCTGTTCCTAGATATGATGGTAAACAATAGAAGCCCCGTTTTAATGGATAGACAGGGTCTGGGTAGCCTAGTTAGTAAAGAATAGCATTTTAGGCTTGAGGAATATTTCTATATTTGAGGAAAGAATTCATGGAAGAAGGTGGTCATGCTTGTTTGGGTATGTGTTCCAGGAAATGTTTCAAGGGATTGGAATCTGGCTCAAAGTCCCACCAGTTTGAAATGTGTTTTGTTGTTGTTGTTGTTGTTGTTGTTTTGATGTAGTGAGGGTTGTATTTGGAGGAAGTGGGGGCAGAGATCTAGCACGCATCTTGTCCTGGCAGCTCTGGGAATGATACAGGGAGGTTAGGACTCAGAGGGAGGCTAGAAGGCATACAGGGGATGGGTAACAGTTATTCTGGTTGACTCTGGATTTGAGAGATGTTGCCAGTTCTCAGGTCAGGGTCATTGCATGTACTCATCTCAGCATAGTCTTGAATCTGAGGGTGGAATCTGCCCCTCTGTATCACTGCCAGCCCTTTTGGGAGAGTCCAAGTTCATGCTGTACTTGGTTAAGAAATCACTTTTCTCTGTGTACTGCCAGTGACTAGTGCCTGAGGAGGCCCTGCCAGATCCAAGACAGAGTCAGAAAGAGAAAGGAAGAGAGAGATAAGAGGAGAGAGAGTAGAAAATAAGGAAGGGGTAGAGGTGCATGTGAAGGGACAAGGCTGAGAGGTAGAAGAGGAGGAAAGAAAGGGGTGTATGCTGTGAGATGCAGTTAGTAGAGAACAATAATCTACAGCAGCCTCAGAGGAGAGAAAGAAGCCTCAGGGAACAGCCATGGGGACACATCTTCCTGAGCTTTAGGTTGCTTTTAAAATTCATTTTGCTTGTTACTTCTTTCTGCCTAAGGTGCCTCCACCTTCTCCACTTTTCTCTGAATCATTGCAGCCATTCCAGAAGCCCAGAAATTTCCTCTCTCAGCCTTGTAAACCAAGAACCTTAGAGAATGCTAGCCAATAAACTGCTCTTTCCAGATTCCTACACCAGTACCAAAAGTCTATGCTCATTGTGCAAATAATGCAGGATGACTGCTTCTTAGCATCCTTGACACCTCTAAGCAGGTTCTGGCTCTGCTAATGAAACAGATTATTTTATAGTCCAGATAGCAACAATTGTTTCCACATATCAATTTACAATCTGTTTACTGTGTACACCCACCCTGCTAACCTCTCTCTATGCAACTTAATCAGCCCCAATTTCAAGGGAAAAGGTTCTGTTATTAGCTCCATTTTGCAAAAGAGAAAACAGAAGCTCAGCGACATTAAGTACCTTGCCCGAGGCCCCAGACCCGCCAAGTGGCAGAGCAGATAGCACAGGATTCAAACCCATCCCTGACTAGTTCTAAGGCCCATACCTTTGATTTCCACACCTCATTGCCTCATGAAATGACATGCTTCATTTCCTGAGTTGAGGTTGTTATGTGGCATCTATGGCAGAATTTATTCATGGGCTCTTCCTCCCTTAAACTCCATGTTAAATGGGTCATCTGTTCTTCTGGGGGCCTTGGTAGAGTGAATAAGATTTCAGAAATCTCTCTGCAACTAGGTCCCTGGCCAACGTGCGCTGTCCTTGCCTCCAGATGTCGTTACCTTCTGCCTGAGGACAACTTTTGGTGACCTGAGAAAATTTAGCAAAAAGCAGAATAGAAGCCAATCATGTCACCTATTTTCTCCTAAGTGGCTTCACTTCTAAGCTTCTTTTTCAAAGGTGAGTTTTTAATTCCAGAGATTGTGTTTGACTTCAAAAGCCCTCTTCTAGGGTGGATTTTCTCTCACACTCTTCTCAACAATCCCTTACTCTCTGGAACGAAAAAGTTTATGCTAGGCTGGGCACAGTGGCTCAAGCCTGTAATCCCAGCACTTTGGGAGGCCGAGTCAGGGAGATCACCTGGGGTCAGGAGTTTGAGACCAGCTTGGCCAACATAGTGAAACCCCATCTCTACTAAAAATACAAAAATTAGCGTGGTGGTGGGTGCTTGCAGTTTCATAGTCCCAGCTACTCAGGAGGCAACAGAGTGAGACTCGATCTCAAAAAAAAAAAAAAAAAAAAAGCTTATTCTAGTTCTTTCCATGTAAGTAATCAGGCTTGTTTATTAAGTACCGAAGCACACACCTAACAGAATTTAGAAGGGAGGAGAAGGAAAGGGAAAGATTAACACAATTTCTTCTAATGGGTAATTGCAAAAACAGAATCAATATCTCCAGATTATACTTTACAAATAACCACAGGACATTTGGCCCATAGACAAAGTGAGTCCGTAGATAAGAACTAGCTTATCTAATTTTAAAAATCAATAGAGCACAAACTTGTTGGCCATTATGTTAAAAATACCAATATTTGTTTGGAAGTGGGGGAAGGAGAAGCGAGGAGATGTTAGACTCACAATCCCTGTTTCTTCATTTAACCCAAACCCTTACCATCACCTATAAAGCCCTAGTAATCAGGCCACTGCCCATGTTGCCAGGCCCACCAACCTACCTCCTTAAGCACACAGAAATCCTCCTACCTCAGGACCTTTGCACCTGCCATTCCCACTGCCTGGATGCTGTCTCCCCAGATGTTTGCATGGCTTGCTCCTCACTGCATCCCAGTCACTGCTCAAATGCCACCCTTTCAGACAGGCCAAAACATCCATCCCCTCTAAGTATCCTGCATACTCTCTGTCCCCACGCTGTGCTTTATTTTTTATATTAGCACTTCTCACTTCCTGACATTACACATTTCCACGTATTTATATGCTTGCTATCTCCCCAGCACAATGTAAGCTCCATGCACGCAAGGACTTGTTATTTCTGTGCTCTGCTGTATCTCATAAGCCTGGAACACTGACTGGCATACGGTAGGCCCTTAACAAATAAGTGGATTGAATGCTCATGATCACTCTTTATGAAGTAAGTGGTATGATCCCCTTTTAACAGAGAAACTGGGCCTCTGAGAGGTTAGGTTTTCTCAATCAGAATTAGAATTGGAATTGAAGACTTGTTTGTCTAAACAACAAAGCCAGTGTTGTGTTTACTATACCATTCTATTATGCAAAAGAAGAAAAAAATGACATAATGTCAATCATCTCACCCCATTGTCATATTTCACCCTCACAGCAGTCCTGTGAAGGGGTCCTAATGACCCTTACAGATCAGGAAAAACTAGCTCATCTTATCCAATGTAGAACCCAGGCAGCAGGGGCAGACAAAGTTTTTGAGGGGCCTAATGTACAATTTGGGGGATCCTCTTTAAGAAACATAATACAAAACCACAAATGAAATTAGGCTCAGGGTCTTAGAACAGGCCTCACAACTAGGGCCTGGTGCTTCACACTGGTTAGCTTCCAGGGGAGGCAGCTGGTGCCCGTCGGGAAAAGTGTTGTGGCTGCCCTTAGCCAGAAGCAGTGGTCACAGGTGGCTCTGAATGAACCGGCACCAACACGAGCACCAGGGAAATCAGGTGCCACTGCTCTTGCTTGGTTGTTAGCTCTGTTTTTGTTGTTTTTAAGAAATAGGATCTCACTCTTTTGTCCAAGCTGGAGTGCAGTGGTGTGATCACAGCTCACTGTAACCTTGAACTCCTAGACTCAAGCAATCCTCCTTCACCCTCCCCAGTAGCTGGGCTGCAGGCACGCACCACCACACCGGTTTTTTTTTGTTGTTGTTGTTTTGTTTTGTTTGGTTTTTTTTTTGTAGAGACAAGGTTTCGCCATGTTGCCCAGGCTAAACTCGAACTCCTGGGCTCAAGCAATCCTCCTGCCTCGGTCTCCCAAAGTGCAGATTACAGGCGTGAGCCACAGCTCTCAAGGGAGCTCCTTAACCTTCCTGCCTCAGTTTCCTCCTTCAGAGTAATGTCAATGAAACTGGAACATTAAGAGTGAGCAGAGTTGATGCTCACATTAAGGGGGGTGTTTTAAAGGATGCCCAGGGGGCTTTGCTTCTCCCAAACATCGGACACTGCCTGGAACTGTCCCTCGGGTTGCGCAGAGCGAGCCCAGCTTCTGAGGCGACAGAGCCCGCACCCAGCAGTGGAACCCGTGAGGACCTTGGAGCCCCCAGAGCCTGACTTGGGTTCAGCTCTGCCAGGAACTAGCTGTGACTTTGGAAAGTAACGATTTCTTCATCTGAGAAACGATGGGGGTGGTTTGAATGTGTTCGTCTCTACGGTCTTGTCCCGAATCTAAGTTGCTCTCTGCGCTTCCAAACGCACCCCGCGAGCTGAGGCTCAGCCATTTCTGTAGGCTGCTCTCAGTGTACTGGGGACGTTCCCGTTATCGGCTGGGATTGAGGGAACGAAGATCTGGGAGTGCTGACCCCTGATGGGCAAGAATACTTTTTATCTTACTGTTTAGGGAGGGCGTGTGGTTGGAAATCAGCTTGTGAGCCTTGGAAGGAGAGGAAAGGGGAACATAAGGAAGGTGGGGGCCCAAAGATCCAGGACAGTCCCTGAAAACGCAGCCTTTAGCTGCCCCGGAGGCAGGGGTGGGAATGCGAAGGCAAAGCCGCTGTTACGGGAGAAAGCCAGTCCGTGCCTGAGTGCCTTAAACGGCGGGCACGAAAGGATGGGACGAACGGCAGGGGCTCCTCTCTGCCCCGGCCCTGGCCGCAGGTCTGGGGGCAGAGGAAGCCCGCGGGCGCTCACCTTGCGGCCGTTCACGTAGAAGAGCAGCTCGGACGCCCGGTCCATTGTGGTGTCCGCGCTGGTTCGAGGGCCCGGAGCGGGAGGCGGAGGTTCTGGGAAGTAGCGGGCACCTGGGACCCGGCGGCACCGACCCGCCGAGTGGGGCGGGGCTTGCTGGAGCCTAAAGTCCAACCCATCCACCCCGACGGAGAAAGCCTTGATTAAGATCCAACGTTCCTGAGCTCTTTGCCAGGAACTCTTCCCGGGACACCAGCACGTGTGTGGGCGTCACTGGCGCCCTCTATGTGGGCGGAAATCATCCGGCGAAGATGAAGACGACCCCTTCATCTCCTCGCCAGTGGCGCTTAGCGTCTGTGTCACACCCTCTTGCGTCTTAGCAAACATTGTAAGTCCTGGGACATTGCTTTTGATGGTCTTATGTTACTGCATATTTTAGGTGGTGTTCCAGCTGGATTTAAGTCTGGGAACATTAGTAACTCCCCTCCAACCAGGCCTGCTGTAGTCCTGGACTCTTAAGTGTAAACAATCATATTTATTCCAACTCTGCAAGAGCGGATCTTAGGGAAAACAAATAGGTTTACAACTTGATCTTTTAGAAATATAAGGTTGGTGCAAAAGTAATTGCGGTTTTTACCATCACTTCCAATGGCAACAACTGCAATTAATTTTGCACCAACCTAATAATTACTGGTTTTAAAATGAAGTGCTATCTTGATATAAACTTAAAAATTTTATCACTATTTACAGTTTATCCAGTAACTAACCACAAAGTTTATCTGGTAAATAAGAACAGAGATGTAAAACATCTTGGAAAACTTAAAAAAAAAAACTTGGAAAATACAGCAAAGCATAAAAATAAAGAACACCTGTAAGCCCACAACTTAGAACTTACCACCGTTCACTTTTTTAGTCTATCCTTACTTTTTGAAACATGTACTTTTAACACCTTTAAAAACTTAAGTGGGACAAACTAGTTATTTTCCAGGCTTTTTTCACTTGCCATACCTTAGAACATTTTCCCATGTTATTTCATTTATGTAAACACAAAAATTTTATTGTGAAATTTTCCAAACTTTGCACATAAAAGTGAAGAGTGCAATTGGCATCTACCTGCCCTTCACTGAGCTTTAACAATGGTCAACGTTTTGGCATACTCCATTTTTTGTAGTATTTAAAAGCCAATCCTGGACATATTTTAGCCCTAAATACTTCAAAAACACACATACACATCCTTTTAGTCAGCCGCAACACCATTTCACGTGTCTAAAAAATGTCTTTTACACTTGACTTCTTTGAATCAAACAAGAGCTGTGCAATGTATTTGCATGTGGTCTCATCAGTCTCTTTTGATCTAAAACAGACTTTTTAACACTATTAACACATTGAAAAAGAAACCAGGTCAGTTGTTCTATTGAAATGAACCATTTTTTGAATGTGGCTAATTGCTTCTCCCTGGTATTGTTTTTCTACTCTACTTATTTCCTATGCACTAAATATTAGATCTAAAGCTTTGATTAAATTCAGGTTCAATTTTTTGGGGGGGAGAGGGCAAGAACACTTCATAGGTGGTACCATATAATTAATATTGCAGCACAGCAGGAAGCATATGGTGTCTGGTTGTTTCATTCGTAATGATGCTAACATTGATCAGTGGGTTCAGAGGGCTATTCCTTTGTAATGAATTTCTCCATCAACATTTCACCTAATTGTTTTACATCCATTGTTGAGCATTGCCTGAGCGGTAGTTTTAATAGGGGTTTGCAATTTTTCTAATTCTAGCATTTCTTCTTCATTCATCAACTGGGATTCTTTGAATAAAACTATCCATCCTTCACTAGAGCTATTGACTAAACCCCTCCAGCACTCTGTACCCCCACTGCAGTCTCTCAAAGTGTGGTACTAGGACAATCCTCGGACGGACTCACCTGAAGCATCTGATTAAGATGCAGATTTCTGGGCCCACCGCGTTAGTGGTCAGATATTGTCTAAAAAAGTTTTCCATCTAGGTGGAATAGAGTTTGAGTAGTCATTTGAATTCAATAAACTGTGTATTGATCTCAGATATGAACAGGATTTATTACTACTTATTACTGGAAGAGTAAGTGATCTTTAAAACCAAATTATAAAAACCAAATTCAAAAGAGCCTGAAAGGTTAATCTCCTCCTCTAAGTCATCAGATTACATATAATAGAAATAATACAGAAGCTGACATTCAACATGTATTTCTGAAAACAGAAGAATGAAGGGAGAGAAAACGGGCCAGGGCAGGAGGTGGCTTTTAAACCCTTTTGGATGTCCACATATATTGAATGGGTTAAAAACAGACAGCAAAACAAGACAGCCTAGTATACAAGATAACCAATGCAAAGGTATTTATTAACACATTTTATTTGGTTAAAAGGTTATTGTTTGGTTAAAGGCTACTAGGTAAAAAGAAGCTTAAATAAACAGGAAGGTAAGTTATATGATGACCAAAATGACTCAAAAAGTTTAATGTTACAAAATAGCTATTTTATGCACATATACCTATTAATAAACATTAAGAATGGACAAATCAACACTCCATGAAAGGCCAAAGAAACAAAAAAAAAACCTTTTCATTAAGCATTTCATCTTCTTGATACTATATTTCTGTTTTGATTCCTTATGCTTTGAAAATTCAGAAAAACCAGAATCCATAAATTCACTTCATCTTCTCATCTTGCTGCAAAGTAGAAAAAAAGGAAGATTAATAACAACCCAAAATTAATGCTTTTGCTGTGAAGCATGGAGAAGAAAATTGTTTCATCATATCAGTAGAAAAGAAGTTTCCTTAAACCATAAGCTTTGTTAAATACTTGAAATACTCTAATTTTTCTTAAATCTTATAGTTCTCACTATCAGAGTACTTCAAATAATTCATTTCAAATATTTAAGAAAAATTAATCAACATAGATTTTATATATTACATGTTTATTACATAGTTCCTTTTTGTTAGAAATTTAGCATATGTTCAAGAACATGTGAAAATATACCATTTAAAAACAAAGTAAATGCTCATGTTCCTACACCCAGGTTAAGAAACAAAATATTACCACACCTCCAATATGCCCCTTTCTGATCACAACCCTCTCCTCCCCCAAAAAGGGACCACTATCCTGAATTCTATTATCACTCCTTTCTTTACAGTTTTGTTTTAAGCGTTTGTGTATTGCTCTCCCACAAAGTATATTGTTTGGTTTTATCTGTTTGATAGATATCTTTATATAAATGGAATCGTACTGTAGGTGTTTTTCTGTGACTTTTTCCACTCAACATCTTCATTCATTTTCAAGCCTCTCCTTTATTGAAACATTAAACATTTTATATTCTGTGTCTGATTGCTGTTTCTGCTGATACCTTGTTCCCCTGTGTATGTAATGTTTTTCTTTACTATGAGGTAGCCCTTCATTTTCCTTGGAACTTTGGCTGTGCAAAACATGTTGAGGTGTGAGATGGACAACTCCCTACAAAATATTTGCTTCTAATAGACAACAGAGCACTATAGTTCATGCACTAATTATACTAAATCCTCAGCTTAACTTTTTTTTTGCCTTCGAAATATTGTGAATTCCAGCTATAATCTGCAATAAAGGCTGTATTTTGGTTATGAATTCTAAGGAAAGATTTTTTTCCTCCTTAATTCAGCACCCAAGTTATTTCCTGGGGCTGAGCAAGCTAGTGGGGAGGTTATTTTTAGTTTGCTCTTTTACTGAGAAAGTAGATCAACTTTATGGAAGAAGATCTATTAGACTATTTATTTTGGATAAACCCTAGGATTTGTCTTCTGTCCCTAGCCCCATAGGGTTGTGAATGCAATGTTTAGGTTCACCTAGTTAGACAAATATCTTCAGGATAAGGTCAGTTCCCCTCTGAGTTCCTGCTATCATTTGATCTTTGATCTGAGCTTTTCTTACTTTCCTACTAAAAGAAATGTTGGTTGGCTAATAGTCATTAGTTAAGAAATGCATTCAAGGTATGTTTTTTAGTATTTTACCCAATAATTTTATTTTTTCAGTAAGAGGGTAGATTCCTGCACCTAATACATCATGTTTCAAGTTATGGAGTTTAGTTATATTTTACATGCATGTGTGTAAATGTGGTTTTTAGATGAAATACATAGACATGGTCCCAAATTTAAAAAGGTATACAAGATTAGGTGGAAAGGTCTCTTTCACTCCTTCGTACTCCTCTTCAGAGCCAGTGTGATACCACTGCCTTGGGTAATTAGATAGAGTTTAATTAATCCTTTCAAAAGAAGTACCTATTCTAAATAAAACACAGCAAAATGCTGTAAGGAAATAAGGTTCTATTTTAGTTTAAATGTACAGTGCATGCAGATGATTTGCTATACAGCTTAGTTGGTAAAATTTTTAAAAGCAAAAGCCACAACATTCAGTATAAATTCCGAGTGATGACCATCCAGTTGCCACTTTTTTTTCTTCCTTCTTTTTGGATTGGAAATGGTATACACTAGGTATATCACAGCTTCTAGTAGCTCCCATGAAAGTACATCCTAATTAAAGCTGCTTGCTATTATGGAATGATCATCATAGGTATTGAAGATAGGAGTGGTAGGAGTTATCAGGAAGGTCTCATAAATATGTTTTTAAAGTCTTTATATCTTAAAGACTTTAAGTCTTTAGTCCAGAGCACTGAACATGACAAATGAGGACATTTTTAATATAATAAAGGCCATAATCCAAAATGAATAAGTAATAATCATGATATTTACATAGCAAAAAGCAGAGCAACCACCCTTCTGAAGCAAAAACTACAGGAGATACATGGAAACACAGGACACAGTAGATTTTAATATACAACTCTTAGTATAACCTTAGTACAAAACAGATCACTTATTTACAAAAAATAAGAAACAGAAGATCTAAGCAACATAATAAATACAGTAAATCTCATGGATATATATCAAACTTTAGACCTTGATTATGGAGAATATACATCTAAGCAATCACAGCACAGTTATAAATGCTGATCCTATAGTAGGTCACAAAGAAAATACTGGCAATTTCCATAAAGCAGAAATATTACAATAAATAATTTCTGACCAAAATGCAATAAAACTAGATTTACAAATAAAAACAAAAAACCAGAAAGGTTCATCTACCTGGAATTTTTAAAACCTCCTAATAACTCCTAAAGAAAAGGAGAAACTTAAAAACGACATTGAAAACACTATGTATCAGAATCAAGATACATTGAAAGCACTGATCAGAGAAAAATTGATTGCAAAAGACACTTTAAAAAAAAATTTTTTTGTGTGTGTTCTATTTACTTATTTTTATTTTTAATTTTTTGAGTCAGGATCTTTCTCTGTGCAGTGGCACAATCATGGCTCACTGCAGCCTTGACCTACCAGGCCCAAACTATCCTCCCACCTCAGCCTCTCTAGTAGCAGCTGGGACTACAAGCACATGCCAATGTGCCTGGCTGATTTTTAAATTTTTTGTAGAGTGAGCGTCTCCCTGTGTTGCCCAGGCTGGTCTCCGACTCTTGGGCTCAAGTGATCCTCTCACCTCAGCCACCCAAAGTATTGGGATTACAGGTGTGAGCCACTGTGCCTGTCCATAAAACACTGTTATCTATATAAATGAAAGAATAAAAACAATAAATTTTAATGGGAAAACAACAATAATAAAGTAAATCAAAGAAAACACAAAGAAGGAAATAATAAATATGAAGCAGAAGTCAGTGAAGTAGAGAACAGAAAAATAGATCCAATTAGTAAATCAAAGTACTGATTTTTTGGAAAAGTTAATAAATAAACTACTACCTAATTTGATCAAGAAAAAGAGAAAAAGAACAAACACAAAAAATAATAAATGATATAGGTAAAATAATTATGGGAAAAAAGATTTAAAATTAATTTACATGTCTAATTCATAAAAGATACTTTGCAGACTTTTATGCAAATAAATTTGAAATCTTAGATGAAATGGATAATTTCCTGTGGAAATACAAATAACAAAAATTGACCCCATTACAGCAAAAAAGCTTAAACAGACTAATTTTCATACACACAAAAAACAGTCAACGTTATTAAGGAACTATCCCACACAAAACAGTACTAGGTCCAGATGGTTTCAGAGGGGGATGCTAACAAACTTACAAAAACCAGAGAGTCCCACTGTTCTAAAATTATATAAGTATATAACATACAAATAATTATAAACATAAATTATAATGCACTATAAATTATAATGAAATATAAATTATTTCATTAAAGGAACCAAGATGGTGACTTTCTTGATTCCCTTAATATGATACCTAGGCCAGATAAAGACAATTCAAAGGTGGGTAACTATAGACTCACATCAGTTATGAATGTTGATATAAAAATTCTAAACAAAATATTTTGGCAAACTCAATTCAACATCACATTATGAAAAACATACTCCGTGATCAAGTGAGATTTATTCCAGGAAAGCAAGGTTAGTTCGGTACTGGAAAACTCATCAACAGATGCCATGTTAATACATGTAAGTAAATGAAGTATATTACTATCTTCATAAATGCTGAACAAGCCTTTGACAAAATTCAACAATCATTCATGATAAAAACACTCAATAGGCATCAAGGGGCATTTTCTTAGTAAATTATGTACATATCTTAATCCTACAGCAAGTATCTTGTTTAATGGAGAGACAAAAATACTTCAACAGAAGCATTTCTACTAAAATCAGGAACAAGGCAAGCATGCCTACTATTCCTGCTACTATTTTAACATTGTACCTGAGTTATTAGCCAATGCTAATATAAAAACAGTAAGAGGCATACAAACAGGGTAATGAAGTAAAACTATCTCTATTTTCAGATGATATCATACTATACCTGGAGAACTCAAGACAATCAGTGAGATAAGAGAATAACAGAGTTCAGAAAGTAACAAGATATAAACTGACACAGAATTCAACAGCTTTCATATATACGAACAACATTGGGCATCAGTTACATGTCCATATATAATAGCAACAAAGAAAACTAAATACTTATAGACCAGTGGTTTTCAACTCAGGATGCTTTTGCCTCCCAGTTGAAATTTTGCAACATATGGAGACATTTTTGGTTGTTATAAATGTGAGGGTGCTACTGACATCTAGTGGATGGAGGTCAGGGATACAGCTAAACATCCTACAATACACAGGACAGCCTCCCATAAAAGAGAAATACCTAGCCCCAAAGGTCAACAGTGCCAAGGTTATGAAACCGAGCCAGACAAGTCAATACCATCCTAAGATTCATTTGTAACAACAAACATTCAAGAACAGTGAGGGAAACAATGAAAAAGAAAAACCATGAGAGGATACTAGCCCTACCAGACATTAAAACATACTATAGATCCTCTACAATAAACAAGGAGACCACTGGCAAAGGTGATGAGATGTCTCACTTCCGAGATGACATTTTGTTATATAAGACTCTATCCTGCTACAGGACTTGCTCTAGAGATTCTCCACAGCTGGCTTTGAAGTAAGTGGCCATGCTGTAAAGGAGGCCGTGTGGCAAGAAGCTAAGGACAGCCTCTAGTCAACAAGAAGAAGATGAAGCCCTCTGTCCAGAACCACAAGGAAATGAATTCTGCCAACAACCTGTGTGACTTGGAAGCAGATTCTTCCCCAGCACAGCCTCCAGATGAGAACCAGCCTGGACGACACCTTTAGTGCAGCTTTGTCAGACCCTAAGCAGAGCACCTAATTAAGCTGCATCCAGATTGCTACTTAAGCCACTAGGATTAAGCCACTATGACATACTGGAACATCCTGTGTGTCAGAAAGTAAGAAAGTGCTCCAAATAGTATGAAGTCATGTCAAAAGGACACGGAAGCCAACCTGAAGGAACTCTTAGTGGTCAAAGTTGGAATAACTTGAGCAACAAGATAAATATTGATGGCATTGGACTTTCATCTATAGAACAAAAGAGATACCCACGATATATATCTATATCTATATCTATATCTATATCTATAGAAAAGACAACTCTTCCTTACAGATGAATTCCAATTAATGTAGAAGGAAAGGGAGAAATCAAAAATCACTACTAGTAGTACCCACAGTAGTACTGTTGCAGGCAAGATCCACCAATGGATGCTAAAATTAGTGGGTGAAAGTTTGAGAAATGGAATATATAGACTCAAAGTATCTCCCTCCCATGTTCATTAACAATAGAGGAAAAGATTGTGACTTCACAGTTAAAAAACCCAACAGACACCACCTTAACCAAGGAATCAAGGCTAACATGACTAGTAATGAAACACACTGACATGATGAAGCCTTGAAATGAGGCAAGAAGGACATATAATTTCTGTGAAATATTTGCCAAAAAAGCACAACTGCATTGCAATCATGAGAAAATATCAGAAAACCCAAACTGAGAGATATTCTACAAAATAAACTGACCAGTAGTCTTCAAAGGTGTCCAAGGCAGAAAAAAAAAAAAAAGACTGAAAACTGTCATAGGTTGGAGGATGCTTAGGAGAAACAACAACTAAATGCAATGTGGGACTCCAGATAGAATTCTGAAACAGAAAGTGATGTTAGTGAAAGTCTATAGTTTGGTAATAGTATTGTACCAATGCTAATTCTTTAGTTTTGATAATTTTACTGTGGGCACATAAGACATTAAAATTAAGGAATGCTGGGAGAGGACCATAGGGGAAACCTTTGTATTATTTTTACAACTTTACCATAAGTCTAAAATTAGTTCAAAATAAAGTTTAACTTACAACTCATTAAAAGGCAAATGACCCAACTGAAAAATGGGCAAAGGATCTCAACAGGCATTTCTCCAGGAAGATACACAGATGGCCAGTAAGCACATGAAAAGACGCTCAACATCATTAGTTATCAGGGGATTGCAAATCAAAACCACCATGCAATATCACTTCATACCCACTAGGACGGCTAGAATCAGTCATAGAAAAACAAGTGTTGGTAAAGATAAAGAGAAATTTTTAAAAATCATCATCGTTGGTAAGCATGTAAAATGGTACAGCAGTTTTGGAAACAGCTTGGCAGTTCCTCAAACAATTAAACAGACTCAGCAATTCCACTCCTAGGGATATATCCAAGAAAAAAAAAAAAACAATACTTTACACACAAAACCTTGCAAAAGAATGTTCATAGTAGCATATTCATAATAGCCAAAAGATGAAAACAACCCAATTGTCCATCAAAGAACAAATGGATGAACAAAATGTGGTACATCTACACAATGGAATATTATCCAGTCATAAAAATGAATTGAAATACTGATACATGCTATGATATGAAAGAAACTTTAAAACATGCTGGGTGAAAGAAGCCAGTTGCAAAGACCACATATTCTATTATTCCATTCATATGAAATGTCTAGAACAGGGAAATCTAGAGAGACAAGAAGTTGATTAGTGGTTGCCTAGAATTGGGAGGATAGGAAAGTGATAACTAAAGGGTACAGGGTTTCTTTTTAAGTAAAGAAATGTTCTAAAATTGACTCTGGTAATGGTTGCACATATTGATGAATATACTAAAAACCAGAATATTGCATACTTTTTTTTTCTTTTTTGAGACAGTTTCACGCTGTCACCCAGGTTGGAGTGCAGTGGTATAATCTCAGCTCACTGCAACATCTGCCTCCGAATTCAAGGTGATTCTCCTGCCTCAGCCTCCCGAGCAGCTGGGACTACAGGCGCACGCCACCATGCCCAGCTACTTTTTGCATTTTTAGTAGAGATGGGGTTTCACCATGTTGGCCAGGCTGGTCTTGAACTCCTGGCCTCATGCAATCCACCTGCCTCAGCCTCCCACAGTGCTGGGATTACAGGTGTGAGCCACCACATCTGGTCTAAATTGTACAGTTTAAATTGTGTGAATTATATCTCTCAATAGCTGTTTAAAAAAAAAAGAAAAAAGAAAAAAAAAAGGCCCCTTGGTCCTTAATTTCACTTTTAATTTTCTTTTACCCTGCCTTATATTACTGCCATCTGCTGGTTATTGCTTTAAAATACCCATGAGAATCATTCTTTTTTGTTAGATGTGATCATTGTTGTCTAGTTTTGCTAAGAACTTTAAGTTCTTACTTTTTAGAGAGAGATATATCGAAGTGTTTTAAGAATTAAATGACTCAATATTTGAGACTCTAAAATACAACAAAAAGGATACATGAAGCAAATTCGACAAAGTGTTATAACTGTTGAACCTGAGGAATGGATAAATTGGAGGAGGGCACTATTCTCTTTGTTGGGGTATGTTTGAAATTTACAAAAATAAAGAGAAAGGACTGTTATTCTTTGAGAGTAAAGGACACATAAACCACTTTGACTTCTAGGGAACAAGGTAGGAAATAAACAAATGGGGTAACAAAAATGGCTTGCAAATCACAGGCCACAAATTTTAAAAATTATAAGTATCAGGCTACAATTTAAAATATGACAGTAGTAGAACTGGGAACTAACCAAAAGCAAATCAATTTAAATCCAGACAATTCTCCAACCCCCCAAAAATAGCCTGTCCAAAGGACATATTTCTTCAACTCTTACCCAAATCATACTGTGGTTGTTACATATCAATAATATACATTTTATTGAATTATCAGAAGTGCTCAAATACTAATTCAGGCAGAAATTTTTTTAAGGATATATTTTATAATGGCATACTAAAATCATTTGAAATACTTACTCTCTGAGGCTTGGCTCTTTAAAATAGAAAGGAGTACACCTTCTTCTTCTGCTTGTCCGTTCTGAAGATAGATCTTCTGACTTATTTTCAGATTCAGCAGTGTTATTTGAAACAAAACTGGTATTTGACAAGTCCTGTAATGGTCTATCACCTGAAAAAGAATATTATTTTTCACAAATATTTTAAAAAGTATATAGAGATACAAATAGATATGAGCTATATAGTGGTCTGCAAATCACCACAGCAAATTTTAAATCTTGATTCAATTTTGAGAGGAAAGAGACTAACATTTGAAACAAACTGTCAAAGTAGCCTATAACTTTTTCATTCTGAAATCACATATGGCTCCCAAAGTTCATCCTAGTTCAACTCTTTTCATGGAAGCACACAAATTACAGTTCATTCAACATATATGCCATTGATCACTCACTCTGTGTAAGGCACCATGAGGAGCACAAAGATAAAAAATGTCTCACCAGTCTTCTAACAAATCCTGCAACTCTAAACCTTTGTAATTCTTTTGCTTCAGTGTGCTTTTACCTGGAATTGACTTACCCGCCAAAACCTTAGGGATCTACACACATATATTGAA
This sequence comes from Homo sapiens, assembly GCF_000001405.40. Classification (NCBI taxonomy): domain Eukaryota; kingdom Metazoa; phylum Chordata; class Mammalia; order Primates; family Hominidae; genus Homo; species Homo sapiens. The sequence continues at coordinate 200,574,869 of NC_000002.12, read as the reverse complement.
ATAATAGGCTCCCAGTAAAAATTTTTAATTGGTATAGGAATGTTTAATATTACAAAATTTCTAATGGCAAAAGAAATATATATTTAAAATTCCATAGATTTGGGTCTGCATGCACATGGTAAATGGACTAAAGTTCTCCCAGGTGATTTTTTCCCCCTCCCTTTTTCTGACTCTCTACTTTTGATTTTTTTGCAATGAGTACTATTTTAATAACTGGGAAAAAAATAAAAAGTAAATACTACAGGTAAAAATCTTACTTATCCTTTAGGGCCTAAAATGCTACCTATTTAAGGATGCGTTTGAAGATTCCTCTAGTCAAAATTACTCCCCATTATATCCCTTAGCATAATACATGTGCTTAAAGAATCGTTTATTCCATTTCACCATGATGTTTGTTACATACATGGAATCTGAGGAAAGGGGGTTGGTATTGTTTATTTTTCAGTCCTCTATAATATCTAGAAGGGTTTGATCACATTAAATATACGTTGTTGAATGGGGAAAGAGTCTCACTCTCAAGAAACATGCAACTGTCTTCAGTAAAATAAAAACCAGTACAATTCATTATTATATACATTTAAAACATTCAATTTCCTTCAGATGTATGAAAAAGCAAATTATTTGCCTATGGTCTTTATTAGACAAGTTTGTGGTAAAGGCCAAATCCATTTATAGTTGTAAATGTCCAAGATACTCTCACTGTTATTTCCCAAAGTATGAAACTTTCTTTATTCCTTCATGCTATTTCTATGGATCATGTACTCAGTTATATATTGTTTTTAAATTCCATAAAAATACCAGTTAGAAAATACTTCACTGGCTAAGTAAAAAACGAAAACAAAAAACAAAACACTTCTAAAACTTTATCATTTCATAATGGTTATTAACCTACCTATTCCTGATTTTTGGGTTCTCCGGTTGACTTTAAATTTCATCTTGTTCATCTTCTCATGCTCATCATCACTTACTTGAAAGGCTGGGGAGCACTCCAAGGCAAAATTTTCTTTTATTATCACATTTTTACCAGAAGAAACGCTCAAAGGTACTAAACCTTCACGAACACTGTCAAAGGAAGAATCTTGTATGTTAGGTGAATGTATCTCAGACAAAGATCTAAATGCCTTTGTGTAAAAGTCTGGCTTATTTTTGACCATTTTCTCATTCTCCAAATTGTTTTCCTTATCAGCTTGTTCAGATACAGTAGACTTTCCCTGAACGCTGTCAAGTATTCTTTCCATTACTTCATGGCTCTCTGGAGAAGGATCTATGGAGGTCTTCCTTTTCTTTGACTTAGATGTCATTTTATTTACCTTTTTAACCTGACACTCTCCTTCTTTTATTTCTTCCACAAAAGGGAGATCTTTTTTATTCAAAGTGGTAGTGCTTTGCTTCTGAGTCTTACATAGTTCAACTGGGTTTCCTGGATCAGAATCTGCTTCACTAGTAATATGTTTTAAATCAGATTCTAAGGAGATAGATGTCTGTGAAGATTCTGTTAACTGTGAAGCAAGTTTGTTCTTAGCTTTTGTCAAAATGTTCTTTGCCTTGCATGATGATTCTTTCTTACGTTTTTTAACTACTTTGTAGGAATCTAAAATTTGATCACAACTTTCCTTTTCATTACTGTTGACTTCCATATAGTGTTTATTGATAATGTCTTGGCATTCAAGTTTTTGTTTAGATTTATTTACTTTAAAATCAAGATCTTTTGTATAGCTTTCTTGGACATGTGCATCTTTATCATTATCCTCATATATCTGGTTCATTTCAGAAATTATTTCTGTCTTCCAATTCACTTTATTCCTGAGCTTATTTATTTTTGATTCATTTTGCTCAGCAGATTTCCTATCAGTAACATACTTTTTCAACTCCAATATATTCTGGGTGTCATAATCACATAAATTTCCATTATCTTTGATGAGAAGATCAACTGTTTGAAATTCATTTGTGACTTGTAGATTTTCAGAAATTGTTTCTTTATCCTTTGGGGTTAGAGAGAAGAAGTTATCTTTTTCTAGGTCATGTACACCTTTGTTATCATTCTCATATATTTGGTTGGTTTCAGGAATTATTTCTGACTTTTGACATACATTTAGTCTAGGCTTCTTACCTATTTTTGAATCATTTTGACAAGCAGGTTGCATATCATGGCCATGTTTCACCCCCAAAACATTTTGAATCTCAGAATCATACAGGTTTCCACTATCTTTGGTAGAAAGAGCAGGTGTTTCAAACTCACTTGGGTCTTCTAGGTTTCCAGGGATGATTTCCTTATCTTTTTGCGTTAAAAAGAGTGAGTGACTTTTAACTGTGTATTCTATACTTTTGTCATTATCTAAATGATTCACTTCAGAAATTATTTCTGTCTTCCGATTTACTTTCTGCCTAAGCTTCTTATTAACTTTTGATTCATTTTGCTGAACGGGGTACATATTGGTGATCTGCTTTTGCAAACCCAACACATTCTGGGTCCTATAGTCACATTGATTTTCATTATCTCTAGTAGAAAGAGCTGGGATTTGAAGCTCTTTGGAAACTTCTATGTTTTCAGAGATAGGTTCTTTATCCTCTTGGGTTTTGAAAAAAAAATTACCTTTTTTTAGGCCATGCACCACATCTTTATCATTATCCTCATACATGTGGTTCATTCCAGAAATTATTTCTGTCTTCCGGTTTACTTTCTTTCTAAGCTTATTAATGTTTGATTCATTTTGCTCTGAGGGTTGAATATCAGTGACATACTTTTTCAAATCCAATATATTGTGGGTCCCATAATCACATAAATTTCCATTATCTTTGGTGGAAAGATTGGCTGTGTGAAATTCATTTGTGACGTCTAGGTTTTCATAAATGGTTACTTTATCCTTTTGGTTTGGGAGTAAGTTATCTTTTTCTAATTTGTGAATCACAAATGTCTGTCTAGAAGCTTTACTTTTATTACAAGTTAGGGAATTCTGACCCTTATCAAATTTACTCTCCTGGTGAAATTTACCTGAACTTTGGGATAAAGAGTATGTTTCCTCTTGCTCATTTGTTATTCTTTTCTCCTTTTTATTACACAGTACATTTTCTCTGTCACCTTGTTCAAAGCCAGTTTGAAGGGTCATTTTCTTTAGTTCATTCACCTGAGCCAGCTGTTCATTCATCTGAGCCAGCTGTTCATTATTGAAAATAAAACCGGGATCTTCTGCACCCCTTTTGCCATCCAGGACATCAGATCTTTCTGTCCTGTTTTCAATCTTTTCCCCAATATCGACATCTGAACTATTTTTAAACTGTCTCTTTGATCTTTCTCTCTTTTTTTCAGAGCTGGAATCTTTCACTTTTCTGAAAGTTTTCATTCCATGTTCATTTGTTTTTTTATTACTTTTCTTTTTAATGCCTGTTGAGACTGTGACAATTTTGCTGACTTCACTAGCAGTTAAATCCATGTCAGCATCATACACAGTTTTCTGCAATTGAAAGTCATCATTATCCTCAATTTGATTCATGCACTCTGCATTAGGTTCTCTGGCAGACTCAGAAGATAAGCCAGGAAGATCCTGTTTATTTCTTTGCATTTCAGTATTTGTTTCATTAGTATGACCATTTATCTCATTATTGCAATTTAATTCTGGACTTGAAATGTGTTGTTTATCTAAAACTGTTGCACAGGGAGTGTCTGCAGAAAGATTATTTGATTCCCAAGATGACCCACGCTTCTTCCTTTCAGTCACATTACTAGGAGATGGTTTCTCCCATCTGCGGCCAATAGACTGGGCGTTTCTCATCTCACTCATTAGAGAAGTCTTAGAACTTTGGTCTGAGTGGGAATGGCTTTCTATTAAGAAAAGGAAAACAAAACTCAGAAACAAGTAATGAAATAAATAAGTTACCTTAAACAAATTAGATTCGAAATCAAGCTGTTTCACAGATATAATTTCTGACAATGTGTTCTGATCAGATCCTAATATTACTAAGAATCTATGCTTATAAGAAAATAAGTTAGAAATGATGAATACTCCTAAATCACATTTTACATTTGTATCTACAGAAAATATATACTGAGAATTCTGCCTCAGCCCCAACAGTAGAGTGGAGTACAGCCAACAGTAGAACCATTAGCATACATTTCTAGAGTGAAAGGAGGCCAGCAAATGAACCCAAATAATAGTGATAGCTCTGAAAAGGATTGCTATCAAAGACTATCAACAGGCAGCTAAAATTTATATAAATTATATATACATATATTAATATATGTTTGTATGTGTGTAAATATATACACACATGTATATATGTATACTGTATACATTATATGTATACCATATATATGTGTGTATATATGTGTGTGTGTATATATTATATACATATACATATGCCCACACACACACACACACACACACACACACACATTTTCAGAAAGGAAAAACAATTCTAAGCTCTAAATTCAAAATTGTTATAGTTCCATATCCCAGTCTGAAAATCTATGGCAAATCTGTAAGCACCAGACTACACCACAGATTATCATTTAGGAATACTATGTAAATAAAATGTAAATGCCATCTTTTTTCTTGCTCAACCATTACCCAGACTCAAGTTTTTGCTTTACCATTAATTAACTGGTGATGATCTTCAAAGAGTCTCTATACCTATCTAGGCCCCCAATTTTCATATCTACAAAAAAAGAGGGTAAAACTAAGTAAATATATGGTATCTTTCAAATCATAAGCTAAGATATTGAGAAAAGCTCATTAGGTCCATTTATTTCTAAATATTTCTTCCAGAGTAACAGTATTAGGCCACTGTGGGTGTGATGTTTGTCAGCATATTTACTTTAAAATTAAATCTATCACCAGCAGTTTTAAATGGCAGAAGTTAGCAAATCGGTAACATAAGAGAGCTAACTTATTAACTGTTATACATAATTGCCCTCAGGAAGAACATCTGATGAATGTAACTAATACAAATACTCAAAATGAATTTTTAAAACAATCTCACCTCTGGGAGGTACATCAACTATAGAAGAAATATGTTCTGAATCATCTAAACCATATACATTTTGATTATTTTCTTTAAGAAATAACACTTCCGAATTATCCTGAGTTGATAAAGGTTGTGTTGTTGATCCTGAAGAGGGAATATCAGGTAATGTCTTTGATTTAATATTGTTGTCACACTGCATTTTCTCTTTATCTTCATCTTCATCATCATTTGAAGTTAATGGAACCCTAAAGGCAAGTGGGAAGGAAATGAGAAATTATGTGTTTTATAAATTTTCTTTAAATGCATGGGCAGTTATTTCTATATTCTATTTAAGATCGAACCACAAATCCACCTGGTACTTTTTCAAGTTCAATGAAGACACTTAAAGGTAGGAAATGAGTAGTTCCTACTAGAACAGAACTTGGAAGGAAACATGAATGCTTCTTAACCCCTTAGTCACAGTGGCCCCAAAAGAAGATAATTTATATATTTACTTCTTGTGCTATTAGAAGACTACTATTAAGCAAATGAAAAAAGTTCAAATGTACTTACAAACAGCCATGTATAATATTTATACTTTTCATAAAATTTTAATTCTATGTAATACCCAAAAATCTTCCTTTGGTTTCTAGCAAATGTAATTGTTTATAAAATTATGTGTGAAATAAGTTTGCTATGTTTCCAAAAGGCATCCAAGTACACTAAAATCATTATTCCTAGAGTAATTAAATCTATGGGAAGAAAACTGACAGAAACCCACAGAAATAATTTGATACACTGACATATTTGAATTCAAAGAATGAAGAGTAATATCGTCCACAAACAGTAAAGAGCTGTCTTGTATTCCAAGGAAATCACAGATATTTTAAAATAATTTATAATAAGAAAAATAAAATATTTCTGATAAATATTTATGAGAAATTTAAAGGCAACTACCAGTAGAATAGCTGTTGGGAGGAAATTTCTATACCACTTGAGGAAACAAGTTAACAAAAATAAACGGAGAGGTTCTGCTTCTGGTAATGGCTAAAAGTTACTATCAGACCAACCCTACCTAACATAATGACTATAAATTCTGGACAAAATATTTTAAAAAACAACTACTAGAAGTCAGTGAATGGACAAAAAGCAAGTAGAGAGCTAGCGAAGGGGGTGCCAACACTTGGAAGAAGAGTGAGTTTCCCATTGTTTTACAGCCTCAGCTGGTGCCACATTCAAAAAAAGTTGGAAACCTACAGTCTTATTGGTTCAAGGTTAGAATTCAGGGCAACTATAACAGCTGTGAAGTGATGGGGGGAAATGTCAGATAAGAGAGGTAAAGAGGAGAGCCCCAAATTTTGTGTATAAATGCTCCCCAAATATCTAGCTGACCTCTGAATCCCATATATATGAGGAAGATTCGAAGCAGCTATCTAAGGATAAAACAACTAAAATGAGATTTCAGATGTTGCTTATTTTGGGTTCAGACAAGGTTAGTGCCTATTAAAATTGAAACATCAAAACTCTTTGGGTGAGCATAACTGAATCTACATTTTCTCCAACAAGGGATACACAATACCCAGGTGCAATCTAATATTATCCAATATATGAAGCAATAGAAAAACATGATTTAAACTCACATGGAAAAGATAATCAAAAGAGAATGATCTTGATACGCAAATGGCCAATAAGTACATAAAAATATACTTGACATCATTAATTAATAGGGAACTACAAATAAAAACCATGATGCAATACTACTTCATACTCCTAGATGGCTATACTCACAAGAATAGATAATTATTAACAAGTGTTGGTGAGGAGATGGAGAAATCAGTGTCAAAATACTGTGCTGGCGGGAATGTAAAATGGTGCAGAAGCTTGGAAAAACAATTTGGCAGTTTCTCCAAAAGTTAAACACGGAGTTACCAGATGACCCAGCAATTCCACTGCTAGGCATATATTCAAGAGAACTGAAAATGTATGTCCACACAAAAATTTGTACATGAATGTTTATTGCAGCATTATTCATAATAGCCAAAAAGTGGAAACAATACAAATGTCCATTGATTGATGAATGGATAAACAAAACATGGTATATCCACACAACAGAATTATTGTCTCTCCATAAAAAGTAATGAAATGCTCATATGTGCTACAACATGAATGAACCTTGAAAACAATATGCTAAGTGAAAAAAGCCAGACACAAAAGGCCACATATTTTATGATTCCATTCATATGAAATATCCAAAATGGCCAAATCCATTTAGACAGAAAGTAGATTAGCAGTTGTTAGGGGCTAGGGGGGTGGAGAATGGAGACTGCTTATAGATATGAGATTCCCTTTTAGAGATTGAAATATTTTAGAAATGAACAGGGTGAAGATTCAAAGCTTTGTGAATATACTAAAACCACTGCACTGTATACTTTAAAAGGGTGAATTTCATGTGATAAGAAATTTTATGTTAAGTGAATTATATATCTCTATGTTTTTAAAAGTAAATACAAGAAAGGAAATAATTTAAAAATAGACACCAATGAAATATAAAACATAAAATTGAGAAAAATAAAATCAATGAAGCCAAAAGCTGAGTTTGTTAAATGAACAATAAAACTGACACACCTCTAGCTAGTTTGATTAAACATACAAATTACAAAAATCAGGAAAGAAAGGTTCTCACTACAGATGCTACAGGCATTAAAAGAATAAGAGAGGTTCCAAGATGACCAAATAGGAACAGCTCCAGTCTATAGCACCCAGCATGAACGATGCAGAAGACGGGTGATTTCTGCATTTCCAACTGAGGTACCAGGTTCATCTCAGTGGGGCTTGTTGGAGAGTTGGTACAGGACAGTGGGTGCAGCCCACGGAGTGTGAACTGAAGCACTGCAAGGCATCGCCTCACCTGGGAAGTGCAAGGGGTCAGGGAATTCCCTTTCCTAGCCAAGGGAAGCCTTGACACACAGCACCTGGAAAATTGGGTCACTCCCACCCTAATACTGTGCTTTTCCAACAGTCTTAGCAAATGGCACACCAGGAGATTATATCCGGCGCCTGGCTCAGAGGGTCCCACGCCCACGGAGCCTCGCTCTTGCTAGCACAGCAGTCTGAGGTTGAACTGCAAGGCAGCAGCCAGGCTGGGGGGACGGGTGCCCGCCATTGCTGAGGCTTGAGTAGGTAAACAAAGCGGCTAGGAAGCTTGAAGCCGGTGGAGCACCCTGCGGCTCAAGGAGGCCTGACTGCCTCTGTAGACTCCACCTCTGGCGGAGGGCATAGCTGAACAAAAGGCAGCAGAAATTTCTGCAGACTTAAACGTCCCTGTCTGACAGCTTTGAAGAGAATAGTCGTTCCCCCAGCCCAGGGTTTGAGATCTGAGAATGGACAGACTATCGCCTCAAGTGGGTCCCTGACCCCTGAGTAGCCTAACTGGGAGACACCTCCCAGTAGGGACCGACTGACACCTCATATGGCCGAGTGCCCCTCTGAGATGAAGCTTCCAGAGGAACGATCAGACAGCAACATTTGCCATTCTGCAATATTTGCTGTTCTGCAGCCTCCACTGGTGATACCCAGGCAAACAGGGTCTGGAGTGGACCTCCAGCATACTCCAACAGACTTGCAGCTGAGAGTCCTGACTGTAAGAAGGAAAACTAACAAAGAGAAAGGACATCCACACCAAAACCCCATCTGTACGTCACCATCGTCAAACACCAAAGGCAGATAAAACCACAAAGATGGGGAGAAACCAGAGCAGAAAGCTGAAAATTCTAAAAATTAGAGCACCTCTTCCCCTCAAAAGGAATGCAGCTCCTTGCCAGCCACGGAACAAAGCTGAATGGAGAATGACTTTGATGAGTGGAGAGAAGAAGGTTTTAGACGATCTGTAATAACAAACTTCTCCGAGCTAAAGGAGGATGTTCAAACCCATCGCAAAGAAGCTAAAACCCTTGAAAACAGATTAGACAAATGGCTAACTAGAATAAACAGCATAGAGAAGACCTTAAATGACCTGATGGAGCTGAAAACCATGGCATGAGAACTATGTGATGCATGCACAAGCTTCAGTAGCTGATTTGATCAACTGGAAGAAAGGGTATCAGTGATTGAAGATCAAATGAATGAAATGAAGCAAGAAGAGAAGTTTAGAGAAAAAAAGAGTATAAAGAAATGAATAAAGCCTCCAAGAAATATGGGACTATGTGAAAAGACCAAATCTACGTCTGACTGGTGTACCTGAAAGTGACGGGGAGAATGGAACCAAGTTGGAAAACACTCTTCCGGATATTATCCAGGAAAACTTCCCCAGCCTAGCAAGGCAGGCCAACATTCAAATTTAGGAAATACAGAGAATGCCACAAAGATACTCCTTGAGAAGAGCAACTCCAAGACACATAATTGTCAGATTCACCAAAGTTGAAATGAAGGAAAAAATGTTAAGGGCAGCCAGAGAGAAAGGTTGGGTTACTCACAAAGGGAAGCCCATTAGACTAACAGCAGAACTCTCAGCAGAAACTCTACAAGCCAGAAGAGAGTGGGGGCCAATATTCAACATTCTTAAAGAAAAGAATTTTCAACCCAGAATTTCATATCCAGCCAAACTAAGCTTCATAAGTGAAGGAGAAATAAAATCCTTTACAGACAAGCAAATACTGAGCGATTTTGTCACCACCAGGACTGCCCTAAAAGAGATCCTGAAGGAAGCGCTAAACATTGAAAGGAACAACTGGTACCAGCCACTGCAAAAACATGCCAAATTGTAAAGACCACTGATGCTAGGAAGAAACTGCATCAACTAACAAGTAAAATAACCAGCAAACATCATAATGACAGGATCAAATTCACAAATAACAATATTAACCTTAAATGTAAATGGGCTAAATGCTCCGGTTAAAAGACACAGACTGGCAAATTGGATAAAGAGTCAAGACCCATCAGTGTGCTGTATTCAGGAGACCCATCTCATGTGCAGCGACACACATAGGCTCAAAATAAAGGGATGGAGGAAGATCTACCAAGCAAATGGAAAACAAAAAAAGGCAGGGGTTGCAATCCTAGTCTCTGATAAAACAGACTTTAAACCAACAAAGATCAAAAGAGACAAAGAAGGCCATTACATAATGGTAAAGGGATCAATTCAACAAGAAGAGCTAACCATCCTAAATATATATGCAACCAATACAGGAGCACCCAGATTCATAAAGCAAGTCCTTAGAGACCTACAAAGAGACTTAGACTCCCACACAATAATAAAGGGAGACTTTAACACCCTACTGTCAACATTAGACAGATCCATGAGACAGAAAATTAACAAGGATATCCAGGAATTGAATTCAGCTCTGCACCAAGCAGACCTAATAGACATCTACAGAACTCTCCACTCCAAATCAACAGAATATATATTTTTCTCAGCACCACATCACACTTATTCCAAAATTGACCACACAGTTGGAAGTAAAGCACTCCTCAGCAAATGTAAAAGAACAGAAATCACAACAAACTGTCTCTCAGACCACAGTGCAATCAAACTAGAACTCAGGATTGAGAAACTCACTCAAAACTGCTCAACTACATGGAAACTGAACAATCTGTTCCTGAATGACTACTGGGTACATAACGAAATGAAGGCAGAAATAAAGATGTTCTATGAAACCAATGACAACAAAGGCACAACATACCAGAATCTCTGGGACACATTTAAAGCAGTGTCTAGAGGGAAATTTACAGCACTAAATGCCCACAAGAGAAAGCAGGAAAGATCTAAAATTGACACCCTAACATCACAATTAAAAGAACTAGAGAAGCAAGAGCAAACACATTCAAAAGCTAGCAAAAGGCAAGCAATAACTAAGATCAGAGCAGAACTGAAGGAGATAGAGACACAAAGAAACCCTTCAAAAAATCAATTAATCCAGGAGCTGGTTTTTTTGAAAAGATCAACAAAATTGATAGACCGCTAGCAAGACTAATAAAGAAGAAAAGAGAGAAGAATCAAATAGATGCAATAAAAAATGATAAAGGGGATATCACCACCGATCCCACAGAAATACAAACTACCATCAGAGAATACTACAAACACCTCTATGCAAATAAACTAGAAAATCTAGAAGAAATGGATAAATTCCTGGACACATACACACTCCCAAGACTAAACCAGGAAGAAGTTGAATCCCTGAATAGACCGATAACAGGTTCTGAAATTGAGGCAATAATTAATAGCCTACCAACCAAAAAAAGTCCAGGACCAGATGGATTCACAGCTGAATTCTACCAGAGGTACAAAGAGGAGTTGGTACCATTCCTTCTGAAACTCTTCCAATCAATAGAAAAAGAGGGAATCCTCCCTAACTCATTTTATGAGGCCAGCATCATCCTGATACCAAAGCCTGGCAGAGACACAACAAAAAAAGAAAATTTTAGACCAATAACTCTGATGAACATCGATGCAAGAATCCTTAATAAAATACTGGCAAACCAAATCCTGCAGCACATCAAGAAGCTTATCCACCATGATCAAGTTGGCTTCATCCCTGGGATACAAGGCTGGTTCAACATATGCAAATCAATAAACGTAATCCAGCATATAAACAGAACCAAAGACAAAAACCACATGATTATCTCCATAGATGCAGAAAAGGCCTTTAACAAAATTCAACAGCCCTTCATGCTAAAAACTCCCAATAAATTAGGTATTGATGGGATGTATCTCAAAATAATAAGAGTCATTTATGACAAACCCACAGCCTCCAGTTTTGAATGGGCAAAAACTGGAAGCATTCCCTTTGAAAACTGGCATAAGACAGGGATGCCCTCTCTCACCACTCCTATTCAACATAGTGTTGGAAGTTCTGGCCAGGGCAATCAGGCAGGAGAAACAAATACAGGGTATTCAATTAGGAAAAGAGGAAGTCAAATTGTCACTGTTTGCAGATGACATGATTGTATATTTAAAAAAACCTCATCGTCTCAGCCCAAAATCTCCTTAAGCTGATAAGCAACTTCAGCAAAGTCTCAGGATACAAAATCAATGTGCAAAAATCACAAGCATTCCTATACACCAATAACAGACAAACAGAGAGCCAAATCATGAGTGAACTCATGATTCACAATTGCTTCAAAGAGAATAAAATACCTAGGAATCCAACTTACAAGGGATGTGAAGGACCTCTTCAAGGAGAACTACAAACCACTGCTCAATGAAATAAAAGAGGGCACAAACAAATGGAAGAACATTCCATGCTCATGGGTAGGAAGAATCAATATTGTGAAAATGGCCATACTGCCCAAGGTAATTTATAGATTCAATGCCATCCCCATCAAGCTACCAATGACTTCCTTCACAGAATTGGAAAAACCTACTTTAAAGTTCATGTGGAAACACAAAAGAGCCCGCATTGCCAAGACAATCCTAAGCCAAAAGAACAAAGCTGGAGGCATCACGCTACCTGACTTCAAACAATACTACAAGGCTACAGCAACCAAAACAGCATGGTACTGGTACCAAAACAGAGATATAGACCAATGGAACAGAACAGAACCCTCAAAAATAATACCACACATCTACAACCATCTGATATTTGACAAACCTGACAAAAACAAGAAATGGGGAAAGGATTCCCTATTTAATAAATGGTGCTGGGAAAACTGGCTAGCCATATGTAGAAAGCTGAAACTGGATCCCCTCCTTACACCTTATACAAAAATTAATTCAAGATGGATTAAAGACTTACATGTTAGACCTAAAACCATAAAAAACCTAGAAGAAAACCTAGGCAATACCATTCAGGCCACAGGCATGGGCAAGGACTTCATGACTAAAACACCAAAAGCAATTGCAGCAAAAGCCAAAATTGACAAGTGGGATCTAATTAAACTAAAGGGCTTCTGCACAGCAAAAGAAACTACCATCAGAGTGAACAGGCAACCTACAAAATGGGAGAAAATTTTTGCAATCTACTCATCTGACAAAGGGCTAATATCCAGAATCTACAAAGAACTTAAACAAATTTACAAGAAAAAATCAAACAACCCCATCAAAAAGTGGGTGAAGGATAACAGACACTTCTCAAAAGAAGACATTTATGCAGCCAACAGACACATGAAAAAATGCTCATCATCACTGGCCATCAGAGAAATGCAAATCAAAACCACAATGAGATACCATCTCACACCAGTTAGAATGGCGATCATTAAAAAGTCAGGAAACAACAGGTGCTGGAGAGGATGTGGAGAAATAGGAACACTTTTACACTGTTGGTGGGACTGTAAACTAGTTCAACCATTGTGGAAGACAGGGTGGCAATTCCTCAAGGATCTAGAACTAGAAATACCATTTGACCCAGCCATCCCATTACTGGGTATATACCCAAAGGATTATAAATCATGCTGCTATAAAGACACATGCACACGTATGTTTATTGCAGCACTATTCACAATAGCAAAGACTTGGAACCAACCCAAATGTATACAACCCAAATGTCCAACAATGATAGACTGGGTTAAGAAAATGTGCACATATACACCGTGGAATACTATGCAGCCATAAAAAAGGATGAGTTCATGTCCTTTGTAGGGACATGGATGAAGCTGGAAACCATCATTCTCAGCAAACTATTGCAAGGACAGAAAACCAAACACTGCATGTTCTCACTCATAGGTGGGAATTGAACAATGAGAACACTTGGACACAGGATGGGGAACATCACACACCAGGGCCTGTCGTTGGGTGGGGGCAGAGGGGAGGGATAGCGTTAGGAAACATACCTAATGTAAATGACGAGTTAATGGGTGCAGCACACCAACATGGCAGATGTATACATATGTAACAAACCTGCACGTTGTGCACATGTACCCTAGAACTTAAAGTATAATAATAAAAAAAAGAATAAGAAAAGCATAGTATAAGTAACTTTACACCAATAAACTTTACTGACTAGATGAGATGTGTGATTTTCTTGAAAGACAAACGTTTTCTATATTGACTTGAAAAGAAACCAAAAACTTGAAAAGCCCCATATCTATTTTAAAAATTAAATTCATAATTAAAAACTCCAGGCCCAAATTACTTCTCTTGTGAATTCTATTAAACATTAATGAAAAACTACCAATTGTACAAACTCTTTCAAAAATTGAGGAAGACAAATGCTTCTCATCCCATGAGGCCAGCATAACCCTTGTCAAAACCCATCAATGGTTTTTGTAAGAAAATTAAAGACCAATATCCCTTATGAACATAGCACAAGAATTTTAAAGAAAATATTAGCAAATCAAACCCAGCAATATATAGAAAGAATAATACATCATAACGAAGTGGAATTTTTTTTTAGGAACGCAAAGTTTGCATTAGAAAATCCACTGAAGTCACTGTATTAATAGAACAAAGAAAAAAATAATGATTCTCTCTAGAAATGCAAAAAAATCATTTGACAAAATTCAATACAAATCATTATAAAAACTCAGAAAACCAGAAAAAAGGGAACTTCTTCAGCTTGCAAGAAAGGTGCTAACTTTTCAACAGAAAAAGATAGATACCTGAAGATGATAAAATGACACCTGATTCACTTATATAGCATTTTAAATATAATAGAATTTGAAAGTAAGGGTATAGAAAAAGATATATCATGGAAATATTATAACAAACAAAGTAGACTTCAAAGCAGGAACCATTGCTAGAAATCAGAAAAACAAATCAGTCCTAAATGTATGAGTACCTAATAACAGCTTTAAAATACATATAGCAAAAATTGACAAAACTAAAAGGAGAAACAGATGAATTCATAATCATAATGGTAGACTTTAATAAACTTCTCTCAATAACTGACAGAATAAACAGACAACAGAAGCAGGAAGGATATGGAAGACTATAATTAACAAACTAGACACAGCTGCCATACATAAAAATACTGCGTTCAACCATTGCAAACTACACATTTTTTTCATGTGCACCCCAAATAATTACCAAATTAGATCAAGCTTTGTCCTAATGAAATTCCCAATATACTTCAAAAATCGAAATTCATTTTAACTATAGTCCCTAATTATAGCAGAATTAAGCTAGACATCAACAACAAAAAGTAAAAATAAAAATACCCATCAGCTTAGAAATTAAACAATATACTTGTAAGTGATCCACAGGGTCAAATAAAAAATCAGGAAAAAAAATCTTGAACTAAATAATGATATGGTATATCAAAAACCGTGAATCTAGAAGACTGATGATGTATGCCTGTAGTCCCAGCTACTCAGGAGGCTAAAGCAGGAGGATCATTTGAACCTAGGAAATCAAGTCCAGCTTGGGCAACGAGAACTCATCACAAAATAAACAAATAAAAATTGTGGAACACAGCTAAAGCAGTGATTATAGGAAAATAACCTTAAATGCTTATTTTTTTAAAAGAGAGGCTGAAAATTGATAATCTAAACTACCCCAAGAAGCAACTAATAAGAGTAATAATAATAATGAAAAGAAAAGCAAAACAGAAAGAAACAATAAAGAGCAGAATCAATGAAATAGAAAACAAATATACTAAAACAACAACATAGCTCCAAATGAGACCTTCACAAAGATGAATAAAATTGACAGACCTCTAGAGCAAGACTAAGAAAAAAAGTGATGAAACACAAATAACAATACTGAGAAAGAAGAAGAGAACCTCACTACATACCCAAAACACATTAAGCACATAACTTGATAATATTATGGACAATTTTATGCCAGTAATTTTAGATGAAATGGTCAAATTCTTTAAAAAAAATTTTACAAACCTAACATAAGAAGAAATAAGAAATCTGAATATTCTTATACCTATTAAAGAAATGAGATGTTACACCAGGCATGGTGGCTCATGCCTGTAATCCCAGCACACTGGGAGGCCGAGGCAGGTGGATCACCTGAGGTCAGGAGTTCGAGACCAACCTGGCCAACATGGCGAAACCCTGTCTCTATAAAATATACAAAATTTAGCTGGGCGCGTTGGCGAGCATCTGTAATCCCAGTTACTCAGGAGGCTGAGACAGGAGAACCACTTGAACCCGGAAGGCAGAGGCTGCAGTGAGCCAAGATCGCACCACTGCACTCTAGCCTGGGTTGCAGGAGTGAAACTCCACCTCAAAAAAAAAAAAAAGAGATGTTACCAAAACCTTTTCCACAAGAAAACTGCAAGCAGGCCCAGATAACTTCTAAACATTAAAAAAAAAAAAAAAATCCTACACAAATGCTGCCATAAAACAGAAAAAGAGGTGCACTTAATTCATTTACAGTGACCGGCATACTATAAATACAAAAACCTGACAAAATCTATTACAAGAAACAAAAATTATACATCATTTTCATCAACATACAATGATGTAAAATGATGCAAAAATATTTTTTTAAAATTAGCAATTACAATTTTGTGGCATATCAAAAGGATACTTCATCAGGAGCAGTTCATTGTAGAAATGCAATTGTGGTTTAACATTCAAAAATCCTTATAATTCATTATATGAATAAAAAATATTTAAAAATTCATAACATTAATAGAAAAAAGAAAAAATTAGTATCTACTCAATAGTGACAGAAAAAGCGTTTGATAAAATTCAGTAGTTATTCATGAAAAACTCTCAGCAAACTGAAAGTACAAAGAAACTTTCATAATCTGATTAAGAGAATCTACAAAAACCCAAGAGCAGACATCATATTTAATAACAGGAATACAATATTTAATAATGGGAATACAATATGAATGCCTGTTCTTACTTCTTTTATTCAATATTTAACAAGTAGCTGGCCGGGCACGGTGGCTCACACCTGTAATCCCAGCATTTTGGAAGGCGAAGGTGGACAGATCACGAGGTTCAAGAGATCGAGACCACCCTGGCCAACATGGTGAAACCCTGTCTCTACTAAAAGTACAAAAATTAGCTGGGTGTGATGGTGCATGCCTGTAGTCCCAGCTACTCAGGAGGCTGAGGCAGGAGAATCGCTTGAACCCAGGAGGCAGAGGTTGCAGTGAGCCGAGATCATGCCATTGCACTCAAGCTTGGTGACAGAGTGAGACTCTGTCTCAAAAAAAAAAAAAAAAAGTAGCCAATGCAACAAGGTAAGAAAAAATAAAAGCCAAAACCTGGACAAAACAAACAAACAAACAAATAAAAGAAAAGCTATATATTAGGAGGTTAGGGGGAATAAAACTGCCCTTATTCACAAATAGTAAAATTTTATTCACAAACTATTAGAATAGCAAGGTCACTGGAAACAAGGTCAATATCCAAAAATCATATTGCTATATATTAACATCAAGAAGAAAATTAAATTTAAAAAGCAGAGCTTCTCTGCCTATGGAGTAGCCATTTCTTATTCCTTTACTTTCCTAATAAACTTGCTTTTACTTTAAGGATTTGCCTTGAATTCTTTCTTGTGTGAGATCCAAGAACCCTCTCTTGGGGTCTGGATCAGGACGCTTTCCAATAACATCTTCTTGGCAAACCATGAAGGGATGATACTGAAGAGACCCCTGACCCAAAGGAAATAGACTGCAGCACCAATTGGCCAACTTTGGGTAAGTGGTGGGGTGCCCAGGTAAAGGATGGGATTGGGTTAGAGGCCCAACTTAGGGGAGTTAGTCTCTCCTAAGACAGAGTGGATTAAAGGCCCCTCTTAATAAAAGGCAAGGATGCTTCACCAAACTTCAGTTTGAGGCCCAACTTATGAGGGTTAGAGTCCCTTCTGAGATGTAGGGGATTAGAGGCCCCCATCAGTAAAGTCCCTCTTGGCTACGAACAAATTTGGCATTATGGGACATTAACCACTCTTCTCTTTGGATTAATTTGCCTTCCACTGTTTGCAGATGGCTGTGGGTGACAGGATTAGGCACATACATGTTCATGGGACATGGGGAGCTTTTTCCTCCCCTAAAGGGGGAAACCTGAGAGCTGACAGGACTGCTGGAAAAGATCCTTTCACAACTGACAAATGGCCACCTGAACTTTTGATTCAGTGTCATTGCAATGAGTGGGTCTTTCTCTGGCTTCCCTGAACTCTTTGCCTGCCCCACTTTGCCACAGGCAATCTCTCTCTCTCTCCCTCTCTCTGTCTCTCTGTCTCTGTCTCTGTCTCTCTCTCTCTCTCGGCCAGGAGTTTTGGGGTTGATATCATAGTTAGCTCTAAAAATTGTTTTGAGCAGTTAAAAGCCTTTGCAAGCTCAAAATTGGCTGCTGTAAGGTCCTTCTGGGAAGGGTAATGGAAACTGCCCAATGCTGTAGCTTACTGGCGAAGGCTTTGTCTTTTCACTATGGCAGCTTGGGTTCAATACCCAGCTTAGGGAATGAGTACTTTCTGGTTGATATCTGTGTGATCTTTATCATTTGTTGATTCTCTTCCCCTCCATGTATGACTTCTGGCTTCCCTTCGTGAATCTTCCTTTCTCTGAGCTACCTTTGGAGATTCTAGATCTTATAAAAATTGCTTACCACCTCCTTGAAAATATCATGTACATATGATTAACTTATGGTTAAGTCATAACTTTAGGCTTATTGGTTTCACCTGGGAGGTTACCTTTGGTAAAATTCAAAAGCGAGAAATATTGGCTGTTTGGCCTGGCTAAAATCAGGTAATGAGATTTAAAAGGACTTTTTAAAAGAGCACTATGACTAAAAGTCAGTAGATAATTAAAAGCGGATATTCGACTTAGCACGGTGGCTCATGCCTGTAATCCCAGCACTTTGGGAGGCTGAGGTGGGCAGATCACCTGAGGTCAGGAGTTCGAGACCAGCCTGGCCAACAATGATGAAACCCCATCTCTACTAAAAATACAAAAATTAGCCAGGCTTGGTGGCAGGTGCCTGTAATCCCAGCTACTCAGGAGGCTGAGGCAGGAGAATTGCTTGAACCCAGGAGGTGGAGGTTGTAGTGAGCCGAGATTGCACCATTGCACTCCAGCCTGGATGACAAGAGTGAGACTCCGTCTCAAAACAAACAAACAAAAAAAGCGGATATTCAAGCTCTAACAGCCTGAGACTCCTTGGGGAAAACAGAGGAGGCACCACAGACCCTGTTTTGGGAAAAACCTATTTACCTCATGAAACCCCAGGAATTGAAAGTTGATAGATCTCCCTCAAAATCTAAGGCTCTATTCTGTTTCACATTGTGTTATCTGATATTTTTGACTTTCAGGGGTATCAGAAATTCTTTGCATTATGAGAGAACATTGGGGTGTAATAATTTGGTAGGAAATATGCTTCTGGGGATAGCTAATGGCAGTTATGGTGGGGATACTCGGCTGTTTGCATGTTTGGATCAGAAAAGCATGCTCTTGGCCACCTGGAAGGTATGGAAATGTCCTTACCTCCCACTACCACTGAGAAATAAGATTCCCCTGGGGGATGGGCTAATCACAGAATGGGCTGATTAGCTTTGGGTTGCTTTGTAAAAAATGCACAGTAAAATCATTGTACTGTCTTGTTCCGTAGCATTTCTCATTTTTTGGGATCTAGGATCTGGTATAAAAATGGGACCCTTAATTTGGGGGGATTTATTTTGCCTTCCAGCTATGCCTGCTTATTAGGCCCTAGAAAGTGTATGCTTGAAATAGAAACTTAAAAACTAGCAAATGAAAAATCTTACAACTACTGGATCTTCTTTTGTTTGTCTGTGTATTTATGTGTGTGGTGTGTGTGATATAAAAGGGCTTTAACTGGCTTAAAAATAATAAGCGCTTAAATAAAACATTTTGTCAGAAAAGTAAAAAGTGTAATGCCTTTTAGTTCATGTGACTTAACTAATCTTTGGGAAAAGATTATAAAAAGTCATGGGAATGTGAATATCTTTTTGCCTTGTTGAGAGGGTTGAAGAATTGTTTTAAATTAGATAGGATAAAGCTGAAGATTCGAGCAAGTTGTGGAGGTTTGTGAAAAATTAATCTTGTAAAAAGGTTGTGTGTGAGAACATATTAAAGGGGTATTATTCTGTCTTTCCATAAATTGAACATTGGAATAAAAGCATAACAGGTTTTTCTTAGAGCACTGATCTGCTCTTTAAAAAAAATTTATAAAGGGTTGTAAAAGGTTTGAGAATCTTACCTTAAGGTCAAACTGATTAAGATTGAATACATTTTTGTATAAGGTTTTATTAAGAATTGAGTTTGACATAAATAATGCACTAATGCAGTGGTGAAATTTGGCGTATTTGGCATAAAAATCTTACAGGAAGCACTGTCAAATGTGAGTGTTTGCCTTTCTTTGTGCTTATATAAATATTACTGGTATGTGTTCCAAAATTATGCAAAATTCCTGTAACTCTGATATGGCTTAGTGTATGTTATTAATCATTATAACTGTTATGTAAAATTGTTGTGTGTCATAGAAGAAACCAAAATTTCCTTGTCGATTGTGGCTTTAATAATGGTTGTCCTAACTAAGACTTTTTGTCACCTACAGACAATTGTCTTGTTTTAATCCTCTTCAAAAGGTAATTTATAATCAGCTATAGGACTTTGACAGGTGCTCTTGAATGCAAGTTTCTAGTAACTTTGGAGATTGTGACATTAGAATAGAGGAAAAAACTTCCAGTACTCATGGAGAGTGGAAATGTTCATGAATATCAAATAGGACAGTATTTAACTGCATGGACTGAACCAATGTAAGTCTGAAGTAATCTTTTTTGGCTTTTTGCTTGAAACGTTGATGATCTTTAGTTTTTCAGTGTCAACAAAATTTTTCTTTTGAGCTATTTACAGCTTTTAAAAATTGAGTACAGTATACTCCTGTGAACAAAATTTGGAGCATGTTTGTTTCTCTCTACCTGATTTCTCTAGAATTTGAAAACTAGTTGTGAATATTCTTAATTGATGGCAATATAGTTGTTTGTATAAGTACAATAAGAATCTGTTTTCTTTTGCAACAGAACACAATTGGAAAAACTGGTTATTTTACCAAGGCATTGACTGGAATGGTGTGCTTTCCTTTAAGCAATCAAATTAGACTTAGAGAGCCAATAAAGGCCCATTGGGAAAACTGGCCTCATACCTTGTGTACACAATCCCTGTACAGGTTTCTTGACCTGCGGTAAGTAAATAATGTCATTTTCTGACAGGCCCAGGAGCCCCAAGTTATCTTGGGACCTCAAGAAGAGAGGAATTTACTCAAGTTATAGGTATCGGAGGGTACAAACCCATGGCTGGGCTCGGCTTTAAAAAAGTCTCATCTGAGATTCCTTATGGAACAATGTTCCATCAAAGCCAGTTTAAAAAGAGCTTATGTTTAAAAAAATTATTCTTGCTGCACTTTATACAAATAATCAGGCTAAGTGTAAGACTAAAGCTTATTTTTGCAAACAAATCAGTTCTATTATGATTTGTCTTTAGTAAAAATGTGATACTGGAGAGAGAAGAAAATTATGTTTCAAGCACTATGATACACCTGTTATTGGATTCTAGTCTCATCAGTTGTTTTTGAGTTTTTTTCTGCAATTTAGACTGACTCTGCTTATTCCTGTGAACCCATCAGTGGTCTCTGGCTGTTGCTCAAAAGAAACAAGAGGGATAGGTAATGTAGAAATCTCAATCAGTATTCTAATTCTGGGCACATATTGGAATCAGTTAGTGACTCCCTATTAGCTTGGTTTCAACAATTGCCCAGTTCATGGAAAGCCTTCTTATTTAGTTTACTTGGGATAATTTTACTTATTTTGTTTTACTGTTGTAGAATATATTGCTATTGTACTCCTTGTGTAGGAATGCAGTATGGGCTTCCTTAATGTTTTCCGAAATGGTGCACTTATTAATCTTCCAGGTATCACCTTTTGTCAGAACTCAAGAGTTATGAATGGTCCTCACCATACTGTTGCCTTCTGACTGAGCTCCTCTCTACCCAAATACAAGAGACCCTAACAGTTAGGCAGGAATATTATCACCCCTATTCAGCCTGAAGAAGTTACAGAAGATGAATTTTCGTCCCTCTACAACCCTTAGCATTAAGGGTTCCCTTGTAAAAGGGGGCGGGGGGGTGCGGATGTGTCAGAGGTGTTTGAGCCAGAGCAACTCCGTCTTGAACAGGGGATGGGTAAAATAAGGCTGAGACCTTCTGGGCTGCACTCCCAGGATGTTAAGGCATTCTTAGTCAATGGATGAGACAGGAAGTCAGCAAAAGGTACAGGTCACAAAGACCTTGCTGATAAAACAGCCTGCAGTAAAGAAGCTGGCCAAAACCCACCAAAACCAAGATGGTGACAAAAGTGACCTCCGGTCTACCTCACTGCTCATTATATGCTAATTATAATTTATTAGCATGCTAAAAGACACTCCCACCAGCACCATGACAATTTACAAATGCCATGGTAATGTCAGGAAGTTACCTTATATGGTCTAAAAGGGGAGAAAACCTCAGTTCCAGGAATTGCCCACCTCCTTCCTAGAAAACTCATGAATAATCCACCCCTTGTTTCGCATATGATCAAGGAATAACTACAAGTAAGCTTGGTTGAACAGCCCATACCACTGCTCTGCTTATGGAGTAGCCATTCTTTATTCCTTAACTTTACTAGTAAACTTGCTTTCACTTAAAAAACAAACAAACAAAACCCAGTAACATTCAGAATATCATTTAAGAATATAAAATAAAGCTGAGCACTGTGACACACAACTGTAATCTCAGTTATTCAGGAGGCTGAGGTAGGAGTTTGAATCTAGCCTGGACAACATAGCAAGACCCTATCTCAAAAAATATATTTTAAAAAAGTATCTATATGAAATGAATAGAAATAAATCTGAGATATGTAATAACTCAATACAAAAAAACTACAAAACATGGAGAGAATATATATTATAGCTAAATAGAGTGATATATCATGTTTATAGATGGAAGAGTCAATTTTATAAAATGTCCGTTGTCCCTGCACTGAACTATATTCCACATAATCCTGGCCAAAAATTCTAGGTTATGTATGTGTGTGTGTAAACTGACAAGCTGATTCTAAAATTCAAGTGTAAATGCAAAGAGCCAAGCTAATGTTGAAGAATAAAAATAAATAAAATGGAGATTCACACTATCAAATAGCAAGACTTACTATAAAGCTAATAATTAAGACAGTGTGGTATTGACAAAAGGACTCACATAATAGAATAGTGAGTTTAGAAACAGACCCATTCATATCCAGTCTCCTTGATTTACAATACAGATGACACTGCAGTGGGGTGGAAAAAGGATGATTGCTTCAATAAATGATACAAGGTCAGTAAGATACCTACATGAAAAAAAAAATTATGACCCTTCCCTCCCATCATACCCAAAATTCTTAAGTAGACTGAATATATAAACATGAATGGGAAAATAATAAAAATTTTAGAACAGAACACCTTGTGACCTTGCAATCAATAGAAATATTCCTTTTAAAAAAATGTATTGAGGTAAAAGATACATATATGACTTACATCTTTCCCATTTTTAAGTCTACAGTTCAGTGATAATGAAAATTCTCTTTCATTCCTCTCTCCCCCTTCCCAGCCTCTGGTAACCACAAATGTATCTTCATGAGATCCACTTTTTAAGCTCCCACATATGAGTGAGAATATTTGCCTTTTGGTGCTTGGTTTATTTCACTTAACATAATGGCCTCAGTTCTGTCCATGTTGCTGCAAATAACAGGATTTTATTTTTATGACTGAATAATACGCCATTGTGTATATATCTTCCATACTTTATCCACACATCTGTTGATGGGTGCTTAGGTTGATTCCACATGTTGGCTATTGTGAATAGTGCTGCAATAAACATGGGAGTGCAGACAGCTCTTTGATACACTAATTTCCTTTTTTTTTGGATATATACTCAGCAATGGAATTGCTAGATCATATGGAAGGTATATTTTCAGTTTTTTGAAGAACCTCCATGCTGTTCTGCATAGTGGCTATGTTAATTTACATTTCTACCAGTATATGATTCCCCTTTTTTCTTTTTTTTTTTTGCTACTTAGTTGTTTAAGCTCCCAATATATGCTGGTTATTAATCCTTTCTCAGAGAGACAGTTTGCAAATATTTTCTCACATTATATGGGTTGTCTCTTCACTTTGTTGATTGTTTCCGTTGCTGTGCAGAAGCTTTTTAGCTTGATGTAATAATCTTAGTTGTCTATTTTTGCTTTGGTTGCCTGTGCTTTTGAGGTCTTACACAAGACATTTTTGCCCAGATCACTCCTGAAGTGTTTCCCCAATGTTTTCTTCTAATAGTTTCATAGTTTTGGGTCTTAGATTCAAATCTTTTATCCATTTTGATTTGATTTTTGTGTATGGTGAGAGATAGGAGTCTAGTTTCATTCTTCTGCATATAGTTATCCAGTTTTCCCGCACTATTTATTGACCACTATCCCTTTGTAAGTTCTTGGGACCTTTGCAGAAGATGAGTTGGTTGTAAATGGTGCATTTATATCTAGGTTCTCTGTTCCATTGGTATCTATGTCCATTTTTATGCCAGTACCATGCTGTTTTGTTTACTACAGCTTTGTCATAAATTTTGAAGTCATGTAGTGTGATGCCTCCAGCTTTGTTCATTTTGCTCAAGATTGCTTTGGTTACTCAGGGTCTTTTGCGGGTTCATATAAATTTTTAGGATTTTTCCCCCTTATTTCTGTGAAGAATGTCATTGGTATTTTGATACAAATTGTATTGAATCTGTAAATTGCTTTGGGTAGTATTTTCATTTTAACAGTATTAATTCTTCCAATCCATGAGCATGGAATATCTTCCCTTTTTTGGTGTCCTATTTCTTTCATCAGAGTTTTGTCATTTTCCTTCTATAGAACTTTCACCTCTTTTGGTTAGATTGATTCCTAGGTATTTCATATTTTTTGTAGCGATGATAAATGGGATTGCTTTCTCGACTTCTTTTTCAGATTGTCCACTGTTGGTGTATATAAATGCTACTAATTATGTTGATTTTGCATCCTGCAACTTTACTGAATTCCCTTATGTGTCCTAACAGCTTTTCAGTGGAGTCTTTATAAGATCAGGCAATCTGCAAACAAGGCTAATTTGACTTCTTCCTTTCCAATGTGGATGCCCTTTATTTTGTTTTCTTGCTTAGTTGCTCTGGCCAGTACTTCAAGTATTATGTTGAATAGCAGTGAAAGTGGGCATTCTTGTCTTGTTCCAGTCTTCAAAGTACAATGCTAGATGTGGGTTTGTCATAGATGGCCTTTCCTACTTTGAGGTATATTCTTTTTATACCCATTTTGATAAGTGTTTTTATCAAAAAGGGATGTTGAATTTTACCAAAAGCTGTTTGGCATCTATTGAAATAATCATACAGTTTTTGTTCTTGTTTCTTTTAATGTGGTGAATCACATTGATTGATTTGTGTCTGCTGAGCCATCCTTAAAACCCTAGCATGAATCCCACTTGATCATGGTGAATGTTCTTTTTAATGTGTTGTTGAATTTGACTTGCTAGTACTTTGTTGAGGATTTTTGCATCTATGTTCATCAGTGATATTGGTCTGTAGTTTTATTTTTTCGTTGTGTCCTTGTCTGGTTTTGGTATTAGGGTAATGCTGGCCTTGTAGAGTGAGTTTGGAAGTATTCCCTCCTTTTCAAAGAGTTTTAGTGGGATTCATAATCATTGTTTAAATTTTTGGTAGAATTCAGCAGCGAATCCATCAAGTCCTGGGCTTTTCTTTTTTTGAGACAGGGTGTTGCTCCATCACCAAAGCTGGAGTGCAGTGGTGTGAACACTGCTCACTGCAGCCTCAACTTCCCAGGCTCAAACAGTCCTCCCACCTTAGCCTCCTGAGTAGCTGGGACCACAGGATTAGCCTGACAGGATTAATCCTCACAGGATTAGCCACCATACCCAGCTAATTTTTTATTTTGTAGGGACTGGATCTTGTTATATTGCCCAGGCTGGTCTCAAACTCCTGGCCTCAAGCAATTCTCCTGCCTTGGCCTCCCAAAGGGCTGGGATTATAGGTGTGACCCACTGTGCCCAGCCTGGGCTTTTCTTCAATGGGAGAGTTTTTATTATAGCTTCAATCTCATTACTTGTTATTGGTTTGTTGAGGTTTTCTATTTCTTTATGGTTTAATCTTGGTAGGTTATATGTGTCCAAAAATGTATTCATTTCTTCCACATTTTGTGATTTGTTGGTGTATAATTATTCATAATCGTCTCTAATAATTATTTATATTTCTGAGGTCTGAGGTGTTATGTCTCATCTCTTGTTTGATTTTATTTATTATAGTCCTCTCTCTCAGTCTAGCTAAAGGTTTGTCAATGTTGTTTATCTTTTCAAAAAACCAACTTTTCATTTTATCTTCTATACTTTTTTAGTATCAATTTTATTTATTTCTGCTCTGATCGTTATTATTTCTTCTGCTAACTTGGGATTTGCTTTGTTCTTGCTTTTCTAATTCCTTGACATGTATTTTTAGGTTGTTTATTTGAAGTTTTTCTCCTTTTTTGATATACGCATTTATTGCTATAAACTTCCCTTTCAGTATTGCTTTTGCCATACCCCATACACTTTGCTATGTTGTATTTCCCTTTTCATTTAAGAAAATTTTCAATTTCCTTCTTACTTGCTTCTTTGACCCATTGGTTGCTTAGGAGCATGTTGTTTAATTTCCATTTGTTTGTGTATTTTCCAAAGTTCCTCTCATTTTAATTTCCAGTTTTCTTCCATTGTGAAGATACCAGATATGATTTATATTTTTTTGAACTTGTACAGATTTGTTTGTGCCTAAGATATGGTCTATTCTTAAAAATCTTCCATGTGTTGATGAAAAGAATGTGTATTCTGCAGCAGCTGGGTGAAATGTCAGTTAGACCTATTGTATCTAGTGTGCAGTTTATGCTGTTTCTTTGTTGATTTTCTGTCTGGATGATCTGTCTATTACTGAGAGTGGGATGTTAAAGCCCCCTACTATTACTGTATTGCAGTCTCTCTCTCCCTTTACATCTAGTAATGTTGGCTTTATATGGAGCTGCAGTGTTGAGTGCATAGATATTTATAATTGTTATATCCTCTGGTTGAATTGACCCCTTAATCATATAGTGACCCTCCTTTACTGCCAGTTTTTACAGTCTTTGTAGTTTATCTTATCTGCTACGAGTACAGCTACTCTTGCTCTTGTTTTCTAGTTGCATGGAATATCTTTTTCCAGCCCTTCTCCACTTTGTCTATATGTGTCTTTGCAGGTGAAGTGAGTTTCTTGAAGGGAGCACATAGGTAGGTCTCATTTATTTATCCATTCAGCTACTCTATGGCTTTTAACTGAAGAACTGAGACAATTTATATGAAAACCCACAAAAGAATTCTATAATTTAACTCCACCCTCCAACATTTTGTCTTTTAGTTGTATCAATTTACATATTTTTATATTATCTATTAACAGGTTGATATAGTTTTGATAAATTTATCTTTTGGGCTTCATGCTAGAGTTTGAGTGGATTGCACACCATAAATACAGTTAACAAAGGATTCTGAGTTTGTCTGTGTACTTAATTTTACCAGTGGGTTTTATACCTTAAAAAGTTTCCTTTTGCATGGTAGTGTTTTTTACTTTCAGATTGAAGAACTCCCTTCTGCATTTCTCACAAGATGGTCCTTGGTGGTGGTGAATTTCCTCAGCTTTTGTTTATCCGTGAAAGACTTTAGCTCTCCTTTAAATTTGCATGACAATTCGTTGGACACAATATTCTTGGGTGTCAGTTTTTTGTCGTTGGTGTTGTTTGAGTGCCTTGAAAATGTTGTTCTACTCCCTCCTGGCCTGCATGGTTTCTGTGGAGAAGTCTGTTGCCCCATGAATTGGAGCTCCTTTGTGTTATTTGCTTCTTATCTCTCATTGCTTTTAGGATCTTCTCTTTGTCTTTGACCTTTGAGAGTTTGATTATTATATGCCTTGAAGTTGTCTTATTTGCATTGAATCTGTTTGGTGTTCTCAGGCCTTCCTTTACCTGGACATGTATATCTTTCTCATGTCTTGAAAAGTTTTCTGTTATTACTTCTTTGAATAAGCTTCCTATGCCTTGCTCATGCTCAGCTCTCTCTTAAACACTAATAATTCTTAGATTTGGTCTTTTGGGGTAATTTTCTGTATCTTGTAGGCACTCTTCATTCCTTTTCCTTCTATTTATTTTTCTCCTCTGACTGTGTATTTTCAAATAGCCAGCTCACTGATTCTTTCCTCTGCTTGGTTCATTCTGCTGTTAAGAACCTCTAAAGAGTTTTATAGCTCAGCAAATGTATTTCTCAGTTCCAAGATTTCTGTTTGACTTTTTTTTATTATTTTAATCTCTTTGTTAAATTTCTCTGATAAATTTCTGAGCTGCTTTTCTTTGTTATCTTGGAGATCACTGAGTTTCCTTAAAACTACTATTTAGAATTCTTGGTCCAAGAAATCACAAACTGCCACTTCATCAGTCACTAAATTTCTGCTTTTTGTCCTTTTGGGAAGCTCATGGCTCCTTGTCTGCTGTAGTTTCTAGTGAGTGTAAGTCTATGTCTTTGCCTTGAAGGATTATTTATTCCAGTTTTCTTTGTCC
Source organism: Homo sapiens (assembly GCF_000001405.40). NCBI lineage: Eukaryota > Metazoa > Chordata > Mammalia > Primates > Hominidae > Homo > Homo sapiens. The sequence continues at coordinate 200,546,422 of NC_000002.12, read as the reverse complement.
AGCCTGTTTTGGATTTTATTGAATATATCTGCCTAGCAAATCTTTTTTTTTTTTTTTTTTTTTTTTTTTCCAGATGGAGTCTCGCTCGATAGCCCAGGCTGGAGTGCAGTGGCAGGATCTCGGCTCACTGCAAGCTCCGCCTTCTGGGTTCACGTCATTCTCCTGCCTCAGCCTCCTGAATAACTGGGACTACAGGCACCCACCACCACGCCTGGCTAATTTTTTGTATTTTTTTTTTTTTTTTAGCAAATCTATACTGCTAGTTTGCTGCCTTCTTTTTGGCTCCAGGTGGTGCCTTCAACCCAGGTTCACCTTGGAGCTAGTAAATGGTTGACCACTGCCTGTCCCAAAATGGGGGAGGTCCCAAAGGGTTTAGGACAGCAATGTGGGAAGGCTGGCTAGGAGTTCACACCCAGGGGACCTGGGGAATGCACCTCCTACAACCACTCTCATTTGGCGCTTCCTTTGGCTGAGTTACAGAGCAGAGTTTCTGGGCTGGGGATGGTAGTCCAGCCTTGCTTGTCTGTCTCTGCCTGTCCTCCGGGATATTTCTCCCTTCAGGCAGTCATAATGCTACCCATCAGTTAAGGCAAGGACAGTTCTCCTGACAGGGAACTGAAGAAGGTGGGGAAGCTGGCTGACCATTTCAATTTTGCTTTTTCCAGTATAGAAACTGTGAGTTGAGGGGAGATTTTCCACATAGTTCGGGCCTGGCAGAATGGGAGGGAGGGGCATTGCACATGTGGAAGTGCAGTTCTCCTACCATCTGCTCAGAGTTTTTCCACCTCTTTTTGGCCCCGGGAAGTATCTCAACTAGCTTGATCTCTGGGCTGTTGATGGTGGTAGATCTTGGCACTGTATATTTTGTTTTGTTTTGTTTTGTTTTGTTGGGGCAAGAGAAGCCAGCTTATCTTACACTGCCGTTTTAGAACCAGAACCAATAAAGATTTTCTCAAAAGGACACAAAAATTAGTAACCGAAAAGGCGGGTGAGGGAGAAGATACACACCTCCCCGCCACAAACAAAGTTGGATTTCATAAAGAGCTACTGGTCATCTAAAGACACCATTCAGAGAGCAAAGGGGCAAGCCACAGAGTAGAAGATACACGAAGAATATGCCAGGCATGGTGGCTCACACCTGTAATCCTAGCACTTTGCGAGGTTGAGGTGGGCAGATCACTTGAGCTCAGGAGTTCAAGACTAGCCTGGGCAACATGGCAAAACCCTGTCTCTACAAAAAGTATAAAAATTAGCCGGGCATGATGGCATGCACCTGTAGTCCCAGCTACTTGGGGGACTGAGGAGAGAGGATCGCTTGAGCCCAAGAGGTCAAGGCTGTAGTGAGCTGAGATTGCACCACTACACTCCAGGCTGGGTGACAAAGTGAGACCTTGCCTCACATACAAAAATATGTATACAAAGAACACCTTAAAAAATATGACAGATAACCCAATAGAAAGTAAACATATGAAAAGATACTTAACTTCTTAATTATCAGGAAAATTAAAAATAAAACCACAAAATGATACCACTATACATCCCTCAAAATGGCTAAAATGAAAAAGACAGACAATAACAAGAATTGTTGAGGATACAGAACAACAGGAATCCTCATATATTGTTAGTAATAATGTAAATTGGTATAACTCCTTTAGAAAACTACTTAGCAGTTTCTCCTGAAGCCAAAGATAGATAGATAGATAGATAGATAGATAGATAGATAGATAGATCTCCCAAGTAATTCTACTCCACACTATATACCTAACAGAATGTGTGCATACCTTCATCAAAAGGCATATATGTGGCAGCCCTATTTGTAATAGACCAAAACTAGAAAACCAAGTCAGGTGTGGTGGCTCATGCTTGTAATCCCAGCACTTTCAGAGGCCGAGGTGGGAGGATTACTGGAGGTCAGGAGTTGGAGATCAGCCTGGCCAACATGGTAAAATCCTGTCCCTATTAAAAATACAAAAATTAGCCAAGAAGAGTGGTGGGTGCCCATAATCCCAACTACTTGGGAGGCTGAGGCAGGAGGATCACTTGAACCCGGCAGGTGGAGGTTGCAGTGAGCCAAGATCGTGCCACTGCACTCCAGCTTGGGTGACAGAGCAAGACTCTGTCTCAAAAAGCAAACAAACAAACTGGAAAACCAACAAAATGTTGACCATAAGAAGAATGGATACATTGTAGTATAATCATACAATTGAATACTATACAGCAATGAGAACAAATAATTTACAACTACATACAGCAATATGGATGAATCTAACAAACATAATGCTGGGCAAAAGAAGACAGAGACAAACATACATACTGTATAATTTCATTATATGAAGTTCAAAACCATGTAAAATTAATTGATCTATAATTAGAAGTCAGTATAATATTTTATCCTTGGGTAGGTGTTGGGTAGTGGGTAGTGACTAGAAAGGGACACAAGGAAGTATCTGAGATGTTGGTAATATTCTGTTTCTTGTTCTGGGTATGCATTACACAACAGTGTTCACTTGGTGAAAATCCACCATGTTTGAATATGTATAATATACTTCAAACAAAAGTTCACTTAAAGACACACAATACAATTTTTTGGAGGACAAGTTGACACTTAATTTGCATATCTATATGAAACAATACGTGCATAATGACAACATACTTTTGAAAAACTACTAAGGATCTAATAAACAACAAAATTTACTATTTTAAAATTACAACAATTAAAATGTACTGGTATGAAATGGTAATAACACACATAATAGGCAAGTCAATGGAACAAACTACAATGAATTGAAAGTGATACAGTAAATATGAGAATTTTTTACTATGGCACAGATAGCATTTCAATAAATAAGTGCATTTACTTGTGCACTTAAGTAAAAGCATTAAATCTATATGTTATATATAATAGAAAGAACATTTCTAAAAGAGACAACAGGATTTTGGTCAATGCTATCAATTCATTCAATCATTTTGCCTCTCTGAGCATCACTGACTGACTTGTAAGATGACAGATTTGAAATAGGGTGCTTTCTATAACTTATAATCAAATTAATAAAAAATGAGAATTGTGCACAGGAGGATAAGAGCAAAGACAAAAGTTAATTTTGTTTGTTTGTTTTTTTGAGACAGAGTCTTGCTCTGTCGCCCAGGCTGGAGCGCAGTGGCGCAATCTCGGCTCACTGCAAGCTCTGCCTCCCGAGTTCACACCATTCTCCTGCCTCAGCCTCCCAAGTAGCTAGGACTACAGGTGCCCGCCACCACACCCGGCTAATTTTTTGTATTTTTAGTAGAGACGGGGTTTCACCATGTTAGCCAGGATGGTCTCGATTTCCTGACCTCGTGATCCTCCTGCCTCAGCCTCCCAAAGTGCTGGGATTACAGGCATGAGCCACCACGTCCTGCTGGTCGACAAAAATTAATTTTAAAGTTTAGGACAGTACACAGGATAATAAAGGTAGAAACAGTCATCAGATTTATCCAGCAAAAATCAATATAAGGCCAGGAGTGAACTAGATGAAAAGAAAAAAAAGAACTATAAAGTAGCAAGACATTACAAATAAACCTGGTTGGGGGATTGACCGTAAGTTTCCTTGGAGTCCTAGAGAAACAACCTATAGCAAGACACTACAAACCAGCTCATTTCTACGTTAGTAGATAACTACAGGTTGATGATCCTGAACACTGTACAATACACACAAACACTAATTGTGTTATATAAAATCTATATACTCTGAACTAGTGTAATTCAAGCCCATATTTACCTTGCAAATGGAAGACGCATCAACTTGCACTGTTTACTAATTCGTTTCTTCTTGCTAGCTGACAGTAGAAAGGAACTCTGATGGAACTATTTTTGAAAAAAATAAAGAAAACAAAGTTTCTAACCTTATTAAATCATGTTAGTTATCACAGTACCAAATTATACAATGACATTAATAGTAAAAGAACAATTTTTGCATTTACCTTTAATAATTTAATGAGAATAATGTGATAATAAGGTTAAAACACAGTGCATCCTTAATCATGCCAACGAAAGATAATCACTGCCAACATTTTGGTATATAACCTCAACATTCTTCTATGTGTAGGAATAAATACATGACTATACCTACACAAATACAATATCTTTACATACATGCAATATGTTCATGTCTACATATGTATTATGCAATATTTTATTGAATTTTATAATACATCTTTTAAATGGCTTTTTAAAATTCAAAATCTGGGTGATTTTAATATATCTTTTATATATTTACTTATCCATATTTCTAAATTTTCAGATACAAACATGTTTTAATTATTAATAAACACCAGAAAATTAGGCAACACACAACCATGTTTTTTATTACAGAGCTAAGCTGTAATAGAAACAAGGGAATGGTGCCAAATTATCAAGCTGATTTTAAAATTCATATGAAAATGCAGAAGACCTAGAATAGCTAAAAAAACAAAGAAAACTTTGAAAAAGAAAAAAGTTAGGAGGGTTACAGTAATTGAGACAGTACAGTATTAGCATAATGATAAGACAAATAGATCAATGACATAGAACAGAGAGTCCAGAAATGGATTCACATATATTTGGTCAATTAATTTTTGACAAAAGCACAAAGGTCAAAATGGGGAACCTAAACTTCCACACTCACCAGGCTATAATAAGACAACTCTCTTCCAAATCAGCAGTACCATCAGAAAAGGCTTGGGACAGCCCAGTGTTAAAGAGCACATCCCCGCCCAACAATGTCAGTGGAGGACATATTTGGATCTCCATCCTGTTTCATATTCTTTTTATGAGATAGTCAGTTGGGTGTAGCCATTAAAAGAAGGTAGAGACTCAGGAAAAAAATAAAGTTTATTATACTTGCAGGTCCTAGAGACAAGAGGTACAGCAGGCCATGCAGAGCCACACAGAAAAGACACTAGGATGGTCAGAAGGCAGAAGATGGGAATGAGGGGAAGGTTTAGGCCAGAGCCTATTATTGGAGTTTCCATAGGAAAGGCAAGACAGGGCAGGGTGAATAGTCTAGAATTGGCTAGTTTGAATAATTTTGGCAGGCTCTAAGACACAGGAGAGGTAGGTCCCTGGTTGCCTAGTACCTGACCCTGGGACGATCAAAGCAGAGGACCATTGCCTCCTGAGATATAAAGGCCAGACAGGGGAGATATGGCTCTGGATTAGTTAGCTTGCATATCAAAAGTGCTATGGTTTTGAATCTCTCCTCCAAAACTCATGTTGAAACTGAATTACCATTGTGATGGTATTAAGAGGCAGGACCTTTAAGAGGTAATTAGGTCATGAGGGCTCTGCCCTCATGAATGGATTAATGCTGTTATTGCAGGAGTGGGTTACAGGAGTCTGGTCTCCTTTTCTGTCTTGCATGCTTTCTTGCCTTCCACCTTCTATCATGGGATGACACATGCCAGATGTCAGCATCATGCTCTTGGACTTCCCAGCCTCCAGAACTGTGAACCAAATGAATCTCTGTTCTTTATAAATTACCCAGTCTTTTTAGAGAATGAAATCTCAAATGAAAAAAGAAAAGAAAACAATAAATTACCCTGTATGTGGTATTCTGTTATAGCAGCAGCAAACAGACTAAAACAAAAGACATGCTCCTGGCTGGTCCCTTGCTATCTCTAAAAATTGGCTAGCCCTGAGAAGGGCAGTGTCTCCAGCCAATAATGTTTTAAAAGATGTAAAAACATCATAATACACAGAAAATAAAATGTCTATATGCTATACATCCCCATTCAGTGATAAGAAGGAGTTCCCCTCCCTCTCCTCTATGGTGGGGATAGAAGTGGTTTAATAAAGAACTAGGATTTTCATCACTCTTCAGTAGTAACAACCTCCCCCCTTCATTATCCTCCTCATCCTCATGTCAGCAGAGGCCATGAAAGTAATGAGGTGCACCCTTCCCTGTTCCAGCCATAGTGGTGTCAGCCTGAACTCTCAGACCCACTCATCAGTTATGCCCACCACAGTGTTGTCAACAGAGGCTGAATGGGAAGTCTAAACTTCAGTCCCCACTTGGCAGTAGGCAGCACCTCCCCTTACCACCAGTGTAGTGTCAAAGGAGGTCTGCTTAAACACAAGATGGAAATAAGATCCAATGTCTTATAATGCATCTAAAATGTCCAAGATACAATCAAAAATCAATCACTTGTCATACCAAAAATCAGGTAACTCTAAATTTGAATGAGAAAGGACAATAGATATCATCACTGAGATGACACAAATGTTGGAATTATCTGACAAAGATTTTAAAACAAGTATCATAAAAATGCTTCAACAAGCAATTACTAACATGCTTAAAACAAATGAAAAAATGGAACATCTCAGCAAACAAATAGATACAAAGAGCCGAATGGAGCTCAGAACTGAAAAATGTAATAACCAAATAAAATAAAATAAATTAAATGGGCTCAACAGCAAAACCGAGAAAAAAAGGGGGGAAAGAAATCCCTGAACTTGGAGATAGAACAATAGAAATTACTCAAACTGAACAAGAAAGAAAAGAGACTGAAAAAAATAACAGAGGGTTAGGAATTTGTGGAATAGCAAAAAAGATAAAACATTCCTGTCATCAGAGTCCTAGAGGAAAGGAGAAAGAGAAAGAGGGCAGGACTGGAAAAGTACTTGGGGACATTATGGCTGAACATTTTTCCAAACTTGATAGAGACATCAACCTACAAATTCAAGAAGCTGAGTGAACCTCAAAAAGATAAACTCAAGGAAATTCATGGCAAAACACATCAAAGTCAAAATTCTCAAAACTAAAGACAATTTAAAAAATTGAAAGTATTGAGAGAAAAATGGCATCTTACCTACAGTTAACAATTAAAAAAAGCATTGACTCAAAGTTAGAAAAGTAACAATGAACCACAAAAAGGCAAAAGAACTTATTAAAAATAAAAGCAAAAAATGTTTGAAACATCAAACATTAAATTAAATTAGAAAGATGATTCTTTTAAAAGAATAAAATAAAATAGAAAAATCACAACAACCTAAGATAGTGGGGAGAAAAAAGACAAATAAAAGCCCAAATACATAAAATTAATCAACTGGGGAAATGCAACACAGACAAAATTAAAAGAATAATGACAGACTACTCTGGTCAACTCTGTGAACATCCATTTAAAAACTTAGATGAAACAGATAACTTTCTAAGGAAAAATAATTTAATAAAACTAAACACAAAAGAAAGAAAGACATTTTCCTAAGGGGACCAATATCCACAGGATAAATAAAGTCAACAAAAAGCTACTATCACTCTCATCAGAAAAGTCCCAGGTCCAGATGGTTTCACAGAATAATTCTACAAAACCTTTAAAGAAAAACAATTATAATACTGTATCACTTTTAAAGAACATAGAAAAAGTAAAACATCCAAATTCTTTTTATGGGCTTAGTATATATAACATTTTTATCAATGCCTAAAGACTGTATGGTCTTATGTTTTTTTCCATGCATAGAAAAAAAACCTCAGAGTCCTCACTTATAACTAACAATAGAAAAATCTTAAGCAAAACTGGCAAAAAAGAATTCAGCAGCATATTAAAAGAAAAATCACTTCTGAAGTTTATTACAGAAATGTAAAATTAGGAAAGTTACTAAAATAAATAATCATACTAAGCCACCTAAAAAGACCACATCATCATCATACTAAAAAGATACTTACATTACTTAGCATTATTTGTATTTAAAAAGCTCAATCAAAGAGGGACTGCAGGAAATATATGTACCTTACTTATTTACATATAAAACAAGCATCAGTCTTACTGGGGAAACACTACCTAATATTTTATATGTATTTATTGCATCCTACTATGTTCTAGATGTTGTTCTGGTAAAGACATCCCTGCACTCAAAAAGCTTACATTCTGATGGGATGAACAATAAACAAAATTGTCATACAGTGAGTGTTAAGTGTTAAGGAGAAAGATTAAAGAAGAAAAGCAGGATATGAAATGTAAGTGCAGGGGTGAGGAGTGTTTAAATTTATGCAGAGTTGCTAGGGAAGGCTTCACTGCAGTCACTTTTGAGTCAACATTTGAAGGACGGGAACTTGTCACATGCAGACAGAACATGTACAAAGGCACTATGGTAGCAGCTCACCTCTGAGGGAGTGGGAAGAGAACTGCACTGAAAAGGTTAAGGAGTGGAAGAAAGAGGAGAGTAGCAAATGAGGTGGAAGAAATAAGAAGAGTTTCAGTTTTCAGATCACATCAAGCAATAGATAAGACTCCACTGGAGAGTTTGAAGCAGAGACTAACATTTTAACAGCATCACTCTGGCTGTTATAATAAGAAGAGAATACATAGAGGAACAAGAGAAAAAGTAAGAAGGCCAAGTTGGGATGCTAATATTAATACAATATGTAAGTAAGACATAACAGTGCCTTGGACATGCGTGGTGAAAGAGGATTGTGAGAACTGGTAGAATTGTAGACTGATTTTGAAGGCAGAACTAAAATGATTTGCCAAAGGATCAGATATGGGGTGTGAGAAAAAGACAGGAAAAGAGAGTTGTGATTACCTTAGATGAAAATCTCAAAAAGAACTGGTTTGGTGGCAAATGTGAAATTTGAGATGGCTTTTAGACATCCAAACAGATGCCAAGTAGGTAATTAGATATAAATTGTCTGGAGGTCAGAGGAGATGGTCAGGCTGGAGTTACAAATTTGAAAGTCAACAGTGTATAGCAGTAATTAAAACCATAAGATAGAATAAAATTATTTAGGAGGAGTGAATGTAGATAGAAAAGAGAAGTCCAAGAACTGAGTCATAAGGCATTCCCAAAACTTAGTAAAATAAAGAGAAACCAGCAAACAGACTGAAAAGGAATAGCCAGAAAGGTAGGAAGAGACTTAGGAGTGTGTGGTATTCTAAAAGTCATGTGAAGTCAATAGAAGAACCAAGAATTATCCGTGGGTTTTCGCAACATGGACATCAATGGTGACTTTCAGGATTTAGTGGACTGGTGGTGAAAACCCAATTGGCTTGGGATCAAGAGAAACTAGAGATAGTGAATAAATCTCTCAAAAAGCTTTGCTGTAAAGGCAAGAAGAGAGCTGAGATAGTAGCGGGGAAGTAGGTGAAGTAAGAGGTTTATTTATTTATTTTTTAAGATGAGAGATGATAACATTTTTGCATCCTGATGGGAATAATCCAGAAGGGAGGGAAAAAATTAATGATGCAAGAGGGAAAGGCACTCTACACTAACACAAGCCAACAGCAAAGGATAACCCAAGTGTCCAACAACAGGAGCCTAGTGAGGTAGATTACAAGTCCACTCTGGATCTATCCAAAGCAGCACCAAAAGAGAATGAGGAATCACTCCACATAATCATATGGAGAGATCCCCAAGATATGTCACATAAAAAGGTATAGAACATCTGGTATAGCATGCTATCTTTTGTGTAAAGAAGAAAAGTAAGAAAATATTTATTTTGTTTGTTTGTTTTTATATAAAGAAATAGATGAAAGCAATCACCTGCATGAGGTACAAGGAGAAGACAGAACGGAGAAGAAAGTAGCTGAAGGCGGACAAAAGCATGTGTGAAACTTTATTCTATACTTTTCTTATCTCGTTCTGATGTTAGAACAGTACGTCTATATGACCCATCACCTGCCCCACTTAGTAACAACTAGAAAGAAAAAGAATTTTAAAGCTTGGTATGCAAAAGTTAGTCTGTTAAATAGTAAGTTCAAGAAGGTAGCTACCAAGAATGTATACTGTGCCTTCACCTCCAGCTTCTCCATCTACCTGCTGTCCAGTTTTTACTTTTCCTTAATCTAGATGTTGACCTCAGCCCTCTGAATTCTCCAAAAAGAACCACATGAAAAGCATTTGGGAAATTTAGAATTTGTTTTAGAAAACAGTATAAAGTAGGACCAGCCTCTATTTTTTTCCCCAGTTTTTCAATTGTGTCCATCTTTAAAACAAACAAACAAAAAACAAAAACCCCAAAGTCTTTCCTCACTTAAAATGCTTCCTTTCTACTAATGTCTTTATGTTTCTGAGTCCATTTAGGAGCCAGTATGTTCCACTAACCTGTCTAATCCTGTTACTTTTAATAAAAACCTAATTTTCATATGACATTTTCAATAACCAATTATACAAAATGATAATATGCTGTTAGCCAGTTAAAACTGATATTATCATCAGTCCTTTGCACAAAACTTGAAATGTGAATCTCTAACCTTGATGTTATTTAAGTAATCTCAGTGATCCTCAGTAATCTAAAGAACAACACTATTTACATATAAATTCTACTTACCTCAGAAAGACTGCTCATTTCAATTGCAGTTATCAAGTTATTGTTCATGAGAGCTTCTATGTCTATAAGCTTCTTATTCTGCACATGTAAAATAAAGACCCCTTTTAATCAGTTAAGACTTGTAATTTATTATAATATCAGGCATTTATGAATGCCATCCATGTGAGAAAACTTAAAAAATAGTTGATATCATATTGAGCTAAAAATTGAGATCACATTCAGCTAAAATGGTATATTATATAGTACCAAATAGTATTATATAGTCCAAATAGTCATACATATCATACATACATACATGTATACACACACACACACATATGTTGAATACTTTAGAACAATTTTGTTTTCCTATAAACATTTTTCTATCTTCTCATAGTAATATATCACATGGCAAGAGAACAGTTTGTCAGCCACCGGAATTAAACCCACAAGTAGAGTAGGTCCTTTTTCCATTATAAAAAGTTCTACTCATTTTAGATTTAGATCTATAGTTGCAGCCTAGCTAATCATTGGCTCTCACTGTCCTGTCTGTGAACAGAGTTGAAATTTGGAAGGAAAAGAAACAACTATAATTCTCATTCTGTTTAGCTTGTAGCCAGGTAAATGCTGAGATTAAAAAAGAATAACAACATTCTGGGAATTCCTTTCCTTTCAAGAACACCGGAAGAACTATGACCATCTTTTAAAAATGTATTAATGTACCAAGCTTTGTTTATGATTAGCAATCGAATGTTGGTCAAAGTATTATACTGGTTTACACAGCACACAAGCACACATTTAGAATGTAGATTTAAAACACATATTTTATTACCCATTAACAGTTTGTACTTTGACATAGACTTACATGGTATACTGACTTTCAATAATTTTTCACTATTGGAGATTTGAAAAATATTTTTAAAGCTTCTATAATAATGCAGCTAAAAGATTTAAGTTATAATTAGAATTCAAAAACAATATAGCTTACATACCAAGTTATTTAGCTTTAGGCGAAGAAATGTGTTCTCAAAATTCAGTTTCTCTACTTCTTTTTGCAATAGCATCTTTTCAGTTGTAATTCTTCGAGAATTCTCTTTTTCTCTACTAAGAGCCTGAGCTAATGCCCTGTTGTTGTGCTTTAAAGATATTTTGAAAATAGAAGAATTATCTGTAAAAAGATTTTTAAAATGAGTTAATATTCAGCTTATACCTTAAGAAATTTTTATATTCCTTAGTAAAACATAGACAAAATGCATTTCACAAGTTTTAACTGAAGATTAGAAAAGGGAATAACAATACAGATGTAGTTTTGAGAAAAATAAACCCAGAGTTTAGAGGTGAGGAAATGAAAGCTAGACAGAAGATGAAGAATTCAAGAGTTGTGAGGAATGCAGAATATGTATAAAAAAGGAGTAAGAGGACTGCAGCACAGACATAGCATTCTACATAATTAGATCAGTCACAAAAATTAAATCTTGATACTTGCTGCTCTACCTAATTTCCTACCTTTGACTAGCAGACAGAATGGAGAAACTGATTCTGCAGCTCTAACTGGAAATGTCCCATAGGAATGAGGGTAGCCAATCTGGGAAAATTCTAAAGCCAGCTTCTACAGCTCCAGAACTGAACAAATTACTTAATACTCCCAACGCCCATTTTTAAACTTTGAGTGATAGAGCCATACTTTCTCTAATGTTAGATAGATAATCTAAACCCCACGGGACCTTTTACTGCCATCTAAAAGATTCTACCTCTTATTTCTAGGCATCTACTGCAATCTAAACTCGACTCCTCTTTAAAAGCACTATGTAAATATGATTTAAATCACGCCTGAAATTGCTTTTCTGTTGGAAGCAAAGAAATTTCATTGTGAATTCCCTGGTAAAGCTTACCATAAATATAGTGTGTTCCCTTAGTACATTTAAAATATCATTATATTTTCATAATTTTAACTTACATTTCACTATTCAATAACATATGCCACTGAATAAAAGTCTAGTGTATGTGAAATAAGTTTTATAAAATTTAATAACATTTTATAAGTACTCAGGGAAAACTTGGGATTCTGCAAAACAGAGTCCAAAACAGTACTTTACCTTTGGCACAGAGAGAGTAGTTTTGGATAGCCATTCTTGGCATAGCAAATGGAAACTGACTACAACAAGCTTAGGATTTCCAGAAGATAAAGAGTAATAACATTTTCCTGTTGTACTCCTCAAAGTCAGCATATTCCTTCATAACAGGGGGTGTGGAATAGTCTTGCCAAAGGGAGTAAGCAAGAGCCAGTGTAAGGAGTGGCCCTAGAGACCTAGGTGGGAGCTGCATCATGATTTACAGGCACCCAGGAGGCTGGGTTGTTTTAGAAGGCACACGTGATTGTCCTTCGCAGGAGCTATATCAGCAGATAATGTGACTAAAAGGATACCTCCCCAACTCCTGCTAAGATGGGTATGAACACTGAGATAATTTTCAGAAGTAATGAAAATTTATCTTGGGGAGTTTTCCCACCTCCTTTTTTTTTTGCCCTTCTGATGCCTTAACTCCAGAATTCATGAAATTCCATTTCCAAAGTGCTCAGTGTCTTCATAAGATTGCCTATATAAAGTCACATGTATACACACACACACACACACACACACACACATATACATTATATATATACACACGTATATATAAGCACCCAGTGTGAGCCCACCTCCTCAAGGCTACCCATCATCCAGTTGCCACAACATGCCAGAACAACCTGCTACTCTTACTACATCTGTTCCAGAAAAGTCATGTTGGTAGTTTTTTTCTGCGCTGTAGAAAGTAGCTGTCTTGGGTCACTGCAGCCTCACTGCTGAAAATTCAACTGTGTCACACTTAGGGTAAATCATCAAAACCACCCAACTAACAGGAGTTGAAGGAGATAGGAAGGATCAAATTTAAAAAGTTATCAGTTAACAAAATGGTCATTTTAGTAATTTTCTGTACTTGATAAAATAAGGTAGCAAATATATAACAATTCTGGGGAAAAGTTAAAACGTGAGTGTATTTTAAAACTGATGGCACTTACTTAGTATTTTTGTTTTTATTTTTGAAGCAAGAGAAACATTCAACTTAGTAGTCTTTGAAATTCTTTTGTCTTTCAAATGTCTCTTAATTCCTGAGGTAAAAAGTGAGCCAGTTTCCATCACTGGGCACTCCATCACTGAAGTGAAAGAAAAAAAAATCATAGTATTGATTAATAAAAGAAAAAGTATAACTGATAAATACATTTTAAAAAGTAACAATCATGACTTAATATACTTTGTGCATTAAGTATTTGCTAAACTTTACATAAAATCTGAAAGTATGAATGTAATCAAAAGTGGCTTAAGGTATAATCCAAAAAGGTAAATGATTATTTTTTTCATTTAAGCCTACATTAATCATCTATGTACCAGGTGCAGGGGAAAGATGACAGGATATGGTCTCTGCCCTCATGGAATGCATGGTACAATGCGGGTACAGACAGTGTTTTCATACAATGTAAGAAGTATAACCTTAGAGATATACACAGAGTTTAAAGGAAGTACAGAAGAGATATACCCAATCCAAGGTGGGGAAGGGGGTTGGAGAAATAGGAAATCTTAAATTTGTCTATTAGATTTATGGCCTATTATGGAAACAGGAAGATAAAGAAATCATTACATTATAGTATTACAAGAGTAATGGCTACAATACACAATGCAGAGGAGAAGCGATTAACTGTGACTGGGCAGAGGAAAAGGATCAGAAATAGCTTCACTGAGAAGCAGCAGTTGATGTTGAGCCATGTAAGACCAACCTCCCCATGCCTCCATTTCCTTCCCAAGCCTCCTTGCCTCCATCTGAAGAGATCTGAAAAAAAAAAAAAAACAAAAAAAAAAACAAAAAACTCTGTCACCTGCACCTGCCTAACCCTCAATACTCAGCCTCCCCACCACTACCTGCCTTGAGTCCACAGGACTCAGCTCACTATGTCAATCCAGGACTCAGCTCACTTTATCAATCATGGCAAGAATCCCTCAACTCCTGGGTCACGTTCATTCCCCTCACTCGAATCCCCTAAGTGCTACACATTCCTCATCTGGTCCTGTGGTAAGCTGGAAAATGGTCCCCCAAAGTTATTAGATCCCTTTAATTCTAAACCTCATGTGGAAAAAGGGCCTTTGAAGATATGAATAAATTGAGGATCTTGTAATGGGGAGATTATCCTGGATTATCCAGGCAGGACTAAATACTATCACAAGAGTCCTTACAAGAGACAGCAGAGACAGGAGTGATGCAGCCACATGCCAAGGACTGCCAGCAGCCATCAGGAATTGACAAAGCAAGGAACAGATTCTCCTGAAGAGCCTCCAGAGAGAGTGCAGCTGGGAATACACCTTGAGGTGGGAAAACCAGTGATAACTGAATTTAGACTTCTGGCCTCCAGAACTGTGGGGAAATACATTTCAGTTGTTTTAAGCACCTCATTTATGATAATTTGTTACAGCAGCCAAAGGAAATGAATACAGCCTGCCTATCTTACCCTTGCCAGACTCATGAGGTCCTCTAGAACTCACATTCCATCATCAACCAAACCTCTACAGCCTCAATCTCTTCTCTGAATGTTCCCTTCATCTTCTTGAACCACCCTCTCCCCTGAGGACACAGATTCTCCTGCAGTCCTGTCAGGCAGGTGCTGTTTTCCCTCCCACACCCCTTCTAGAGGCTACAACACATTCATGTCTGCAGACCATTCATCTTCCCTCCTCCCTAAAAATTCCCATCCTTGAATATACTGTCACTAGACTCTATTACCCCTTTCCCTTCACTGCTGTTATCAATCCCTGGGTCACTCCTCTTTATGAATTATTTCATATCCTCACTCATTGTTATTCTCTCTCAGAACACTGAAGCAACCTGTGGAGAACTTTCTCAAAACTTCCATTGCAATTACCTACATACCATACCTGTATCTGTGTATCTGTTTTCTCTCCTGTTGTTAGGGATCAACTGTGTTCCTAGATACGGATCCATGCACTGGATCCCATGCCTTCCTGCCTCCTTAAAGACATCACTCCAACAATTCTTTCCCGATATCATCAATTTTTTTCCTTTTCCACTGGACCATTCTCATCAATATACAAACACACTGCTATTTCCTCACCTTAAAGAACCCTCTTTTGTTCCCACTTCATACTCAGACTACCACTCCAATTCTCTGCAGATCTTTACAGCAAATCTCCTTGAAAACATTGTCTATACTCAGTTTCCAACTTTCTCATAAACCTACTTCAATCAGGCTTTCACTTAGACTATTCCACCAAAACTGCTTTTTTCCAAGATCTCTGATGACTTCTGTGCTGCTAAATCTAATAGTCAATTCTCAGTCTTCATCTAACTTGATCTATCAGCAGCATTTTAATGTGGTTAATTTCTCCTTCCTCAAAAATTGTATTTCCTTGGCTTCCAGAACATCAAACGCCTATGTTTTTTTCCTACCTACCTACCTACCTGTTCCTCCTCTGTCTCTTTTACAGGTTCTTCCAACCTCTAACGGGGTCTTTCCTTGAACTTCCTCTCTTTATCTACACTCCCTTCTTTGGTGATTTCATACAGTCTCATCACTTAAAATACCAGCCAGATGCCAAGAACTCCATAATTTATGTCCTCAGTTTGGATCTCTTTCCTGAACACTGGATTCATGTATCCAGCTGTCTACTCCACAATTCCACTTTAATAACTAAAGTAGATGCATCAAATTTAACTTGTCCAAACCTGCTTCACTCAGAGCATTTTCTATTTCAGTTCATGGTAATTTCATCCTTCCAGTTGCTCAGGCCAAAAATCTCTCTCATATCTCAACTTACCTTCACAATATATTTAGAATCTGACCAATTCTCAGTATGTCCATTGCTGCCAACCTAGTCAGAGGCACTACCATGTCTCACTTGAGTTTCTGCAACAGGCTTTGACTCCCTATTTCCACTGCTGCTGTCCCTACAGTGAACTAATCTATACAATCTAAAACTCTCCCATGGTTCCCACTTCTCTCCAAAGTCCTTAGTACGGTCTCTCCACTAGCTCTACACTTCTCTAATTTGAACTCCTCCTCCTCTCCCTCTATCGCATTCCCCTCAGGCCATACTGGCCACCAAAATCTAGCTGTTTGGAGCATATGCCAGGCATTCTTCAGCCTCAGGTCCTTTATACTGGTTATTCTGCATTTAGAATAAATGCTGTTTAGAAACATCTTCCTCCAGATATACAAATGGCCCATTCACTCTCCTCCATCAAGTCTCTTCAAATGTCACCCTCTCAGTGAGGTCACTTAAAACTGTAGCTCCAGGCTGGGTGCAGTGGCTCATGCCAGCAATCCCAGCACTTTGGGAGGCTGAGGTGGGTGGATCACCTGAGGTCAGGAGTTCGAGACCAGCCCAGCCAACATGGTGAAACCCGTCTCTACTAAAAATACAAAAAAATTAGTTAGGTGTGGTGGCAGGTGCCCGTAATCCCAGGTACTCAGGAGGCTGAGGCAGGAGAAATGCTTGAACCCAGGAGGTGGAGGCTGCAGTGAGCTGAGTGAGATCAAACCATGGCACTCCAGCCTGGGTGACAGAGTGAGACTCCGTCTCAAAAACAAAAAAACAAAAAACAAAACAAAACAAAACGAAACAAAACTGTAGCTCCTTCCCTCAACATCTATCACTATCTAACATACTATAGATTTATTTATTGTCTGTCTTCCCCAACTAGAATTTAAATTCTAGGAGGTCATGGATTTTTATGTTTTATTCACTGATATATTCCCCAGCGCATGGAATAGCGCCTTACAAATGATATCAACACAGTAAATATTTGTTGAATGAATAAGTAAGTCTTAGAAACTAAAAACTTGTCAGGCATCAAGATTAGGAAGGGCATTCCAGGAAGAAAGAATGGCATGTGTAAATGCATGAAAATGAAACATTTAAGAAAATACAAGTGGTCCCTTGATGCTGGAATGCTATGACCTGATTTCCCTGCTTCCCTTCACAGCAAAACTCCTTTAGAGAGTTGTCTATACTTGATGTCTCCAATTTATCTCCTCCCAGTCTCTCTTGATCCACTACAATGAAATTTCTGCTCTCACCACTACTATATGGGAACTGTTCATTAAGGTCACTGAATTACTATGTTGTTAAATCAAATACTGTGGTCAGGCCCAGTCTCTTTTTACTTGATCTGTGAAAAGCATTTAATATCAAGTCATTCCTTCCTTTTGAAATACGCTCTTCACTTGGTTGCAAAATAGCACATTCTTCTGTTTGTTCTGAGGCAGGATTTTCTCCTGCCTCGCTGACCACTTCTCAGTCCCTCTTGCTGGTTATTCTTCATCTCCCTAACCTCTTACCACTGGAGTGCCCCAGATCTCAGTCCTTGGATCTCATCTCTTTTATATTTACATATACTCCCTGGACTATCAGCCAGTATCCTGGCTTTTAAATCTAAATGCTGATAACTCTCAAATTTGTGTTCCCAATCTAGACTTTTCCCTTGAACTCCAGATTTATTCATCCAACTGCCTACTACGCATCTCCAACTAGGATTTCTAACACACATCTCAAATTTAACATGTCCTAAACTCCCCCCACCCCAACCTACTCCACCATGTCCTCCCTAGCTCACTTAATGACAACTCCATTCTTTCAGTTGCTCAGGTCAGAAAGTTCCTTTCATATCCCACATCTATTCTATGATCAATTATGCTGACCCAGCTTTCACAATATATCCACCTGGGCTACTTACCACTATTTCTACTGCTACCACTTTGATTCAAGTTGCCATTCTCTCCCATGTACATTATTTGCTATAGCTACGTGAATGGTGTCCCTGCTTCCATTTTCTCCCCGACTATCTATTCTTAACCTAGCAACCACAATGATCCTTTTAAAGCTTAAGTAAATTCATGTTACTCCCATGTTAAAAAAAACTCTCCAGTAGCTTTCCATCTCACTCAATCTTTAAAATGGCCTAGAAAGTACTATACAATTTGACACTTCTCTTCCCCAATTAATCATCAGTGAACCTTTCTAATCCTTTTCATTAATCTTTCTCTTGCTCAATAATCTCTGGCCACACTGCCTACCTTGACATGCTCTAAAGCAGAAACTTTTATTCCTTCTTCCCTTTGTATCAACTCTTCCTTCAAATGACCACAGGGCTTGCTCACTTCCTTCGAGCATTTGCCAAAATGTCACTTTCTTAGTGAGCCTTCCCAGTCCAAACTACTTAAAAACTGCACACTTACCCCCATTCTCCCCTTCTGTTTTATTTTTCTCCGTTAACTTATCAATGTCTAAGATAAAATTAAATAGTTAACTTATTATCTGTTTTCTCCTACTAAATTGTAAGTTCAATGAGGGCATAAACTTTTGTCAAATTTGTTTGCTTCTGTACCTTAGTACAGAAATGTGCCTGCCACATAGCAGCTGCTGGATAAACATTTGTGGAAGAAGTGACTATGAATGAATGGAAGAACTTTCCAATAGAAAAACCGCCCACTCTTGGAATGGGTCTCCTTTGAAAGTGTTAAGCAGATGTTGGGAGGTGTCAAGCAAATAACGGAAAGATGGTTTTAGAAGAAATTTCTGCAATGGGGAATAAGTTGAACCAGAAACCTTTCAAGATTAAGGCTCAACAGTTCTTTTAAACGTTTTGCCAGGAAGAAACTTTAAAATCAAAGATCACTATCTATCTCAAAGACAGTAGAACACAGAAACTCCCCACAAACTGTTGCATCTCACACACCTGAAAGGGATCCTAACATAGAAATCTAGTTCATCTCCCAAAAAATCCAGTCTGGAATATCAAATCTCACTTTACTAATTAGGAAACCACAGCTGGACTGCCCTCCCCAATAAGCTGGTTCTGACACAATTCCTTAATTTAATAAACGACACTGTCAATCGCCTATTCAAATCCTCATGCCAGAAATCTGGGAGTGTTCCTTGACACTGCCCTGCAACCCCCTACATCAATGACCTCACCAAGGGAAACTTTAGGAGCCAGAACCAGGCATTTGGGGTACTGTTCCAGGGTGATTTACCATATAGACACTGAGACATTATGATAGTGATTACAACTGTGTTGGAGCTCCAGTTCCAACGTTTCATAGCTATGTGATCTCAACACCTCTTCGTCTCAATTTCCAGATTTATAAAACCATAAAAAATAAGGGCATCTCCTTGTAGGGACTAAATGAGCCAATGTATGTACAGTGTCTAGTACGGGACCTGGTAAACTATCAGCACTCAATACCAGCACTCTGTGACACTTGTCCGGCCAGCATCTCGACTATCTCTAAATACGAAATACTCAGTTCCACATCCAATTCTCCTGAATTGGATACCTCATCTAAAAAATCATTGTCCCTATTCTCTACTGAAATCCTACCTGTACATCAAGCAGCTCAAGTTCTAAGTTCCAAGTTCTCCCTAGTCTTCCATCACCCCTTCGCCTTCAGCCAGCCTCTCCAAACGAGAGGGCTCCTTCGAGAACTTTGGCACGCAGTCCCTAACATTCATTCCGCAGACACGTACTGAGCGCTCACAATGCCCTAGAAACTGTTCAAGGGAGTAGAGCAGTCCCAGAGACAGAAATATCTTCCCTTAAGTAGCTGACCTAACTGGTGGCTCTCCCCGCTCGCCCTGCCGGACGCTCAAATCTCAGAAACAAGAGGCAGCGACTCAAAGCCAAAACAGGACTCCGTCAACGAACCCCTCGTAGCCGGAGAGGGGCCGCCGTCCCGGATCCCGGAGGACAGAGGGCGGAAGACGAGCCGGAGACCGAGGCGGACAGCGCCTAGAGAACCGACTCAAGAACGACACCGATCCCGACAGGGAGAGGGCGGTCACGTCAACTGCCGCAGGCCACTAACTTACCTCTCTTTCAGCGTGGGGCACCCCCACCCAGCTCCGGGAGCTCGGCGAGCAGCAGCGGCTGCGGCTTGGGTTTAAACGCCACAGCCGTTGGCGGTTGCCCCATCAGCCAATCGGGTCCTGCGAAGATGGAGCAAGGGAGGGCGGTTACTAGGAAGTGAAAGGCGGAAAGGGCGGGACGCCGCTGCTAGGGCAGGAAGGGGCGTGCCCAGGCGAGCCGGGGGCGGCACAGTCTGCGTGACAGGGGTGCTCTTCCGCCCTGTGTTGGTGGCGGTCCGCTGTCTCCTGAAGCGTTGATGGAAAAGGAAACTCTCCTCTGACATTCATTATCAATCACATGTCTGAAAGGCTTGACAGCCACCTCAAGTCTGTTAGAAGGTTTATGTTGTTTACTGGGATACTACCCACCCACATCTTACCATTTCTTCTGCATCCTTGCATTTCCAAGTGTGACGCCAGCACATTTAGTTTTCACTTAAAAGCTCTCCCCGTTTTTCTTTTAACTTTCTGGGGGAAAAGCAGCAATGACATTTCGTTGCAAACCCCGGATCTCATTAATATTTAGGTCTTGCACTAATGGTCTGTTTTAGCTGAATATACAAGAATGACGTTTTCCATTATACACAACTACATTTTAAAAATGTATTATTCACCTTATATTCCATGTCAATTCGCTTATTTTTCGCAAATTACTTTCATAATTTTTACAAAGAATTTGGAGAAACTACAAAGAATAAAATTTCCTCTTTGTATGCCATTGGACTGAAAATGAAAATAGCTTGTTAAATCAAGGTTCCAATAATTGATGATACAGTAATGCAGTCAGCTTCATATTCTTGTCAATTTTTTGTTCATTCGAAGACATTTGAGAATTACAGCTTTCCATTTTTACTTTAAAGAATCTAGACAAATGATGCAAAACATGCTTTTGAGTTAAGATCTTTTAGTCTAATATAAATCACGATCAGTCTCCAAACAGATCTGGTTACATGAATCTTGTGTAAGTAGAAAAGTATTTACTGATTGTCCAGCTGCTAAAATTCCAGAAGACAGTGGTTTACAAAGTAATATACTGGTTATAGAAATTTATGCTTACCTAGGAGTTAACTAGCACTATATCTTGTTTACCCAGCCTGACACATTAAATGCTCAATGTATGTTATATGTTTTTTTAAATGAACCTTGTAGTGACTGTGCCATTTAATGGTTATTTAATCTTGGCCAAACTACTTAATCTCTCTGGGCTTCTGTTTCCTTATTTGTAAAATGGAGTTAAACAGCATCCCATATATTTTTATGATGGTTTCAATCAATGGGCCCTTTTGTTCAAATACATTAATATTGCTCTCTTCCCAATGGACACATTTTGTAGTTACAGCTTCAAAACCAAAACAAATAGAAAAGGGAGACAGGAAAATCAGAGGTAGAAGAGATGCTAAAACATTTATCAAGACATGAATACCAAGACCTCTTTAAAAAAAAAAGTGCTAGCCGGGCGCGGTGGCTCACGCCTGTAATGCCAGCACTTTGGAAGGCCGAGGCGGGCGGATCACGAGGTCAGGAGAGCGAGACCATCCTGGCTAACACAGTGAAACCCCGTCTCTGCTAAAAATACAAAAAATTAGCCGGGCGTGGTGGCGGGCGCCTGTAGTCCCAGCTACTCCGGAGGCTGAGGCAGGAGAATGGCGTGAACCCGGGAGGCGGAGCTTGCAGTGAGCCGAGATCGCGCCACCGCACTCCAGCCTGGGCGACAGAGCAAGACTCCGTCTCAAAAAAAAAAAAAAAAAAAAAAAAAAAAAAAGTGCTACCTTATCTCAGAGCAGTTGAAAGGATTTAACTGCTTTGTAAATTGTAAAACCTCTTGAAAATGTAAATTAGTATCATATACAACCATAAACCTAAAAGTATAATTAGTCGGGTTAAATTTAACGTGATCTCAGCTTGCTTTTTAGTTATTTGCCTTTTGCCTCTTGGTATAATGGATAGAGGCAGGAGCCCTGGATGAGAAGTCTGGAGATGCAGTTATTATAGTTGTGGCTGAGCCATTAGCTGTGTGTTCCTTGTTTCAAGTATTTTATCTGTAAAAGAAACTAGTTACATTAAATGAGCTCACAGACCTGTTGTGATACTCTCCTGCACTGGGCACTGATTTTGTTCCTCTCCATCTGTTTTCCTTTATTCTTATACTTGTTAGTTGCCTGATTTTCTCTACCTAAGCATAGATTCCAGTCAATTAAAATTTGATTGTCCTAAGACACAATCACTCACACCAAAAAAGGGATGGGAAGGAAAGGAAAGAGAGAAAGTGTAATTGCCATAAAACAAAAACCAGAAAAACCCTCTTTAACATATCGGCATTACTAAAACAAAAATCATCCAAGAACAGTCCCTGAGCAGGAGCCAAGTAAAGAACACTGCAAATCAATAAAGCAATAAAACAAAGTAGAAGGAGTGTACTTACATCTTATGAAACCATCTGACCTGATCATCTGTACCAGTCTGGCAGGATGAATTGCACCAAGGAAAATTAACCCAGGCTGATAGAAGCAGAAAAGAATATTGGGTGGGTTAAAGCATTTCTGGGTAGGATAGAGATACAGGCTTGGAAAATAAGGGGAGCTTGGCAGCAGACGAGCACCTAGCCATGGTCATGCTACCAAAAATAGCCCTTTGAGGATGCAGCTGATCTTGTACAGCCAACAGTGGCACTAGATGCCGCCACTGGGACCACCACTGCTGCTGGGACCACTGGGACCACCACTGCATATGGGAAAGTGGGCATAGTTGTGCTGCAGTTTTCCCATCACTGCTGCTTGGCATTACTAGCTCCTGTTGCTAGACCTGGTTTGGGTGTGTCTGACTCGTCAAACCTGAATCATATGCTACAAGTCCTGCTGCAAGGGAGTCCTGAACAGCCTGTGTCTGGCTTTTGTTGTTGTGTTGATGATGATGATGATTATGATGATGGTGGCTTCTTAGTGAGAGGTAACCTAGACAGACTCATAAGGTGAGGAATTACCCAAACTCAGGAAGTGCATTTTGAGCTAGGCGGCCAAAAGAATGACAAAGGTTCATTTCAGTATTTTATGCAACTTTACTACAATAATTACTTTTATTTTATTTAATAGAAACCAGTTAAATAAGCTGTGCTGGGTGATGGATAGCTAATCATTATAACAGCAGCAGATAATATTTATTAAGGGCTTATCTTGTCCTAGACACTGTGTCAAGCCCTTTAAATGCCTTTTTAGTTCTCAAAATGATCCTATGTGGTAGGTACCATCATTTCCTTTTTAAAGTTGAGGAAATTGTCCCCACCTTTCTGGGTGGAACCAAGAAAGCACCAAAAATTTAAGTAACTTCTACAAGGTTTAGTTAAGTGGTGCAGCTGGTATTTGAACCCAGGCAGCCTGGCCTGAGCCTCTCAAGATAGTGAGAGAATTACTTTGTCATTTGTCACTTTGGTTTTGAGGCATGGTATCCATCATGCTAATTTCCTCATGTTTCCTGCTTGTCAGCCTCCTCTTTTTCTTCAATATACGTTTATCAGGAGCCCCTTTGCACCTGGCATTTTGCTGAGGGTAAAGATGGATGAGGCAAATGTTCTTTCCTTTTGGGAGACAGTAGACAAGCAAACAGTCCATTCCTGTATATTGTGATATGTAGATGTTGAGGTTTGCAAAAGATGCCATCAAAGCATTTAGGAAACAGGACAGCTGCGGTGACTCACACCTGTAATCCCAGCATTTTGGGAGGCCAGGGCAGGAGGATCGCTTGAGCCTAGGAGTTGAAGACCAGCCTGGGTAACTTAGCAAGACTCTTGTCTCAAGAAAGAAGGAAAGAAAGATAGAAAGAAGGAAGGAAGGAAGGAAAGAAAGAAAGAAAGAGAAAGAAAGAAAGAAAGAAAGAAAGAAAGAAAGAAAGAAAGAAAGAAAGAATATTTAGGAAACAAAGAGCAGCTCTTAAAAGAAGAGGGAAGACAAATCTTCAGGGGAAGTCACTTAGCGGTGGAACCTCGAAGGCCAAGTTGGGTGGGATTCATTAGGCTGACAGCACATAGCCTGTCCCAGGAAGCAGTTCAGAGCTGCTGGGGCCTAGGACGCATGTGGTCAGATAGGGGGAGCAAAGGCTGAGAGGTTAGACAAAGTCAAGTAACAGAAGGATCTTGGGTGCACGCTAAGAAGCTTTACTTTGTGTGGACAATGAAGGAAAGCATTGGGTGTAGGGGAGGGAGCAGTGCTTAAACTCTCAAGAAGTTTAAGAAAAGGGAGTGATAAAGATCCGATTAACTCTAGAAAATCCAGGATCGATGTTGGGGATAGATGGAAGGGGTCTTTGAGCCTTGAGGTGATTCAAGAACATTTCTGTGGTTTAGGCAAGGGCAGGGAATATGTAACAGGAGCACCAAGCTTCCTTATGTCTGACCAAGGTGTATGTGTGTGTAGAAGGGAGGCTTGTCTGGAAAGGGATAAAATAATCAGGGAACTTGGTCTACCACTTGTCCAGCTAGATAACCTCTAGCCGTGGTTCTCATGGCGACTTTTTTCTCTACACTACTCCAGTCCAGATGTTGGATGACACTGAGAGACTGGGGTGTAGTCTACTTCTCAGCCTCCACCCTGTGCCTCTGCAGGAAGTCCGAAAAGCTTAAAGTACTCCTTTACTCAATATCTCCACTCATAAAATCCAAACCATACAAAGTGGAGGCTTGAGGAAGGGGCCTGAAAAGATAGCTGCTGTACTCACTGGCTTTACCAGTGGACTCACAGTTACATGTACCACGCTGCTGGCATGGTCCTGAAGCCCACGTCTCCAGAGTTATTTCCATATGGACATTCCCTGGCTGCTGGATGGGGTCCCAGAGACCCCCATACCCTTCCTCATCATATAGCCTTCCCTTTTCCACTCTTCATTGAAAATGCAAAGGAATAGCAGCTGTGGAAAATAACTCTGCTATTTAGGAGATCTAGTCAGAAATGTCCAGTAGGCTCACAGAAATAAGAAATATGGAGCTGAAAAGGGATACTCAGATTTGGGAGTCAGCAGCAAATAGTAATTAGAAATCACAAGAGTTGATTAAGTTGTGGAGGAAGAGTGTGTAGAGGCACAAGAAGAGTAGAAGGTAGAATCACGGTGAACATCAATGAATGGAGGAAAGATGAAAAGGCAGCAAGAGAGGCAGTGAGAGGTAGAAGGAGACACGTGGGAGGGCTGAGGGAGGAATGATGGTTGGGAAGGGACTGCCAACCTGGTCTTAAGCAGCAGGAAGACCTGAGTGAGAACAGTCCTGGGGTTTGACAGTTAAGGAGTCATTCCTTTTGCAGCAGAGAGGATGCAGAGATGAGAATAGACAGTTCTTTGAGGATCAAGAAAGAAGTAACAATAGCTACAGGGGAATGAGGTTGGAGGGGGGGTTTGTATTTGTGAAAGGAAAATCTTGGGGCCTCAAAATTACTAAGCTAAAGGGAAAAGTCAAGGTGGAAACTGCTCAGGACAAAACTTTCCTCCCACTCTATTCAAAGTCATCCCTCTGCTCACTGAGATAAATGTACATTCTGATTGCCTCCTTCAGAAAAGCCTATCAGAAACTCAAAAGAATGCAACCATTTGTCTCTCATTTACCTGTGACCTGGAAGCCCTGTCCCTGCTTCAAGTTGTCCCCACCTTTCTGGGTGGAACCAATGTACTTCTTACATATATTGATTGACGTCTCATGCCTCCTTAAAATGTATAAAACCAAGCTGTGCCCCGACAACCTTGGGCACATGTCATCAGGACTTCCTGAGGCTGTGTCACAGGCCCGAGTCCTTAACTTTGGCAAAATAAACTTTCTAAATTAACTGAGACCTGTCTCAAATTTTTGGGGTTCACATATTCTTTTTAAAAGCTGGATAAGGGAGCTTGTAGAGGGAGAGAGGCTGACATAGGAAAGCAGTTAGTAGTGGTGAGGCAGGGGTTAGAATCAGGGCTAAGCTGTGAGCTGAAGGGTCTCCTTTTCCTTTGTGGTGGGAAGAAGAGAAGAAAGACCAGATATTGTAGGCATAGATAAGTTTGAAAACCAGAGTACTTTGTAAGTTTTCACATTCACATAAATGTTGGACAGTTATCTTCAAAACATTTGCTTCCTTAAAAGAAAGGCAACTCTACATTTAAAACTTCTATGCTTTTATTTCAGTAAAAACTAAGGTAAGTGAAATTATTTAGGCATAAACCAAAACTTCCTTATCTCCTGTAAACAGTTTGTCTAACAGAAAGAAATAAAATAATTATAGTCATGCCCCACATTATGATGTTTCAGTCAACTACCAAACAAATGTACGATGGTGGTCCCATA